>NC_000023.11:148718030-149021060 GCF_000001405.40 Homo sapiens
TTTTTTAACATAGAATGCATCTTTCAGTAACACTTTATCTCATATAAAGGAGTGTGGACTTACCTTTTGTAACATCAGTGAAGAAAGGTTAAGGTTCCCAACAATTTAAAGGGATATTATTTCAGTGAATCTCTATGTGAGAATAAATTAAATAAAACAGACATGCAAAAGAAAAAGTGAATTCATTTAGAGAGAGATCATGTCCCTCTGTTCTCAGATGCTTTTGAAGAAAACATAATCATGGATAATCATCCACTGTTGCATTCTCAGGTCTCCTCTGACCCCACAAAATGAGCATAGGGTCATCATTTCCTTTTCAGAAACACTTATAAATAATTGAGCGAGGCAATGATGTGAACTGGGAAGGGCAATGGACCTAGGACTAGAAGCGTGGATTTGGGGCCCAACACTTGTATTTATAATTTGTACAACCTTGGGCAAGACACCTAACCTCAGAGCTGCAGGTTCTTTATCTTCAAGTTCGAAATGATATCATCCCTACCTATCTAACTGGGTCGCCGTGAAGTTCATATGAATCAAAGGTATATAACTGCTTTGAAAAGTACAATTTCATAAATAGAAAGTACTACTATTAGTCTTCAAACATAAAAGCGGTTATCAAGAAAACCTAAAACCTCTCTCCTTCTATGTGTGTTTGCATATTTATAATTTTTTTTTATTTTATGATAGTACACATGTGGAGTCTCTGAGCCCCTTGAGAAAAGGGAAACCTGTTTTATTCATCTCTGTATCCCTGGCACTGAGCAGTGTTCTATACACACAGTAGGAGCATAGTTAGTTAGGCTAGGTTGAGTGAATGGATAAATAAACCAACTGTATTTTGAATTATTCTCATGAGGTAATGGTTTACAGTGTCCCACGATTTACCATGCACACTGTTTGATAGTTTGAGTATTCAGGTGTCTAAGAATGGATGGAGGAAGCTAACAAAACAGAGTTTAAATTGAGATGATGTCATAATTAGCTTATTTATTGTGACCTAGAATAAAGAACATGGTGATTCCACAACAGTTTTGGGGCAGTCTGGGATATTAAGGTGAGTTTTGGTTGTGGCAACCCAGAGGAAGGTTGCAGTGGCCCATCTATCTATCCCAGATGTAAGATATGCTTCACCCCTCTTTCTTGATCCATGAAGTTCAAAAGGAGGCACCAAGCATTTCCGTCCTTCTTCAAGATGAAGGTAGGCAATATGAGTTGGCTGTAGAAGGTCTACAATCAGCCAAAGGCTTAACAAGTAGCTTTTCTCTCTCTTTACAAATGAGTCCTGATCACAGTGAGGTATTTCCTTTGGCTTAAAGCTATCCAAAGCACTGATTTAAATACAGTTCCTTAGAGGTAAAATTGTATGGATTTCCTTCTCACTAAGTAAGGAAACTGAGACAAACACCAGTTAAAGGCCTCAGGGTAGTCAGAATGCTTCACTGACTGTCCCTTTTGGAACTAAGGACAACCAGAGCATAATGGATTGGATCTGAGATTCTCACATCAGAAAGTGAACAGAAGAAAACTGAATGTCATTCTGAGACTTCAGTAAAGGATAATGTCCATTTTCTCATCCACCAAATAGGGATAATTATCTCTAACTTACTAAGTGGTCGTGGGGATCAAAACAAACAACGATAACAAAACAGCCTATTTGTCTGCTATTTAAGTGCTCACATGTTCCAGAATGGATGGTGCAGGCCAACAACATGGGGCTGAGTTTGAAGTCAGAATTAGCTTCTTTATTATCAGCTAGATTTGTTGCTTTCTAACCAGCAACAATGACAACAAAACTTAGCATATGGAGGGGCCCAGCAGAGCTCCTGGCATGTAGTAGGTGCTCACTGAATGTTAAGAAATACAGACCTATAATGAGGGATGCTTGGCAATGGGTATGTAGAATGCTAAAGATAACCACTCACTTTGCCCATTTACATCAGTTAGACCATTGCCACCATTTGCACTCCCAGCCTCTTCCATTCCCCCAACTCTACTCTATTTCCCTCTGTGTTCTCTTGTGTCTTTCTCTAATTTTTTTCAACTCTCACTTTTTTTCCTCCCCTACTTTTTGCTTGGTTCCTCAGTGAGATCTATGAGCATAATATACTCCAACTACAGTAATTCACCTTGCTGAAGTGGCTGCTGAGTTCTGCTTTGAAGGAAATTTACTTATTTAATTTTGGTGGGGGGAAGTTGTGGCTGGACCACTTATAGAAATGTAGGTCTAGTTTTCTGGGAATGTTTAAAGAAACCATGCGCAAATGTACATTGTCTTCCTCCCTCTCTCCTTCCTTCCCTTCCTTTCTTCCTTTCTTCTTTCCTCATTCCCATCCTCCCCCTTTCTTCCTTCCTTCCTTCAATCAATCATATATCCATATTCATATATAGATATATATATTTAATCTTTTACCTATAACTCTTGTCAATTCTATCTTCATTTTTCCCCTTTGGGCTTATGAGTATTTATAGTTGGTGCTCCATAAATGTTTATTATGAGTAACAATGATAATAGTGATAGAAAGAGCAACACATGTGCTATTCCTCAGTGCTTTTTATCTCATGTACAAAATTAAACACTAATGTTGCCATCAGTTACTCCCAAAAAGATGGTGGAAGCATATTTGTTAGTAATATTTTGATAATAACTATATAAACAGATATTTGTCATGCTATTCTGACTCCTACATCTTCATTCACAGAAGAACATTTTATTTACATTGTCAAGTAAGAGGGTGGCAATTTAAGTGACACTTGCAATTTATCACTTGCTTTGCTTTCCAAGGCAAGTCCTAGGAGTTGCATTTTTGAAATGGGTCTAGAATCATTCTTTTCTAAGTGTTTTCAAATATACTCAGAAGGATAAAACAGATCTCTATATCCATATCTCATATTTCTATGGAGGGTTCATAGAGATATTTGTCCTCCATAGAGATATGAGATATAGATATTACCTGAACTTGCACCCTGGAATATTTTCCTTGTCTCAGGTAGTTTAGTTGATTGAAAGCCTCCAGGGTTTATAACATGTCTGTCTAACTGCCTCTTGACATTATAGGCTTAAAGTCTATGTGTAAAGAATCCACTTGGTGGAGGGCAACTTTCTTTTGGGTGTGTATTTTACAATCAAAGTGAGATATTCCAAAATGCAAAGGAAAATATATGCACAGAAAGAAACATGACACTGAACAAAATTGGACAGGCCTGACAAAAAATAGGTGTGGATAAATGAAAACTTGAACCTGGCAGTGAAGAGCACATGATTTGGAGTGGGCCAACACTGGCTCTACCATTTATTTGCTTTGGAACACTGGGGAAAGTCCTTCTCTGGTCCTCAGTTTCCTCACATGTGAAATGGGGATAATAATCGTCTCTACCTCATAGTGTCATTGTGAGTCACAAATGAAACAAATGCATTGAAAATCATTGTGCGGATAACATGAAATAATATTTATCTAGTGCTTAGCAGATAGAACATTGGATAAATAGGGGCAGTTATCACTATTATCCTATCAGACAGGTTGTCTGTGTCAGCCCTTCGTTAGGATGGCATCATCTGCCTAGGACCAACAGTGGAGGGCAGTGTAGAGGCATGATTTTATTTGACTATTTCAATTAGTAAGTGTATCAGGTTGCTAGTGCTGCTGTAACATTGTACTACAAACCAGGTGGCTTAAATAACAAACATTTATTGTCTCATAGTTCTGGAGACTAGAAGACTGCGGTGATGGCAGGGCCATGGTCCATTTGAAGCCCCTAGGGGAAGATACTTCCTTACATTTTCCAGATTTTGGTAGCCCCGGGCGTTGCCGTAGCACTTCAGTGTCTGTCACCATTGTCACATGATATTCTTCTCTGCATGGGTGTGTGTCGATGCCCAAATTTCCCTCTTCTCATAAGGACATCAGTCATATTGGATTTAGAGTGCACCCTACTCTAGTAACTGTTCATCTTAACCTCACAAATTAATCTGCAGTGGCCCTGTTCAAAAATAAGGTCATATACACAGGTACCAGAGGTTAGGATTTCAACACATCTTTTGAGGGTGGGAACGCAGTTCAACTCATAACAGCAAGTGTCTGTTAAGGTCTTATAGTATACTAGGTGCTGATCTTGATATGGAAGGACTGGTCAGAAGGGCAGAGGAAAGAGGGCTTTAAATGAGGGAAATTGTGTGAGTTCTGGTTCAGGAACAACAACAACAACAACAAAAACCCACAAGATTTTGTTCAGCAAGTAACACTGTGTTGTCAGAGTATGGATTTCCCAGTGAGCATGGTGGGTAGAGTTGCTGAGAAGACAGGCTAAGTGACACGTATCCACGCCTTCTGATATTTGGGGTTGCACTGGCTCTTTTTTTGTCTTATTCCCCCTCTTAAAGAATGGCCCTTCCCTCCACTCAGGCTCGCAAGAACTCGACCAGCGAGACCTTGTAATTTCCTACCTCTTCTCATCTTCATGTGAGATGTCCTCTTTCATCAATCACTGTAGGCTGTCAAGCTGGCCTGTGCCTGCATCATTACTGCTTGGAACATGGCAATGACTTCTTTCTAACTTGTTTTTCTGTTTCCAGTCCCTTCTCCCTAGTTCGTCCTCCATACTATTGCATATCTGAACATGTCAACACTCTGCTAAAAACTCCATCAATGATTGTCCAACACTAACATGATGAAATTCAAACTCCTTAGTTTAGCATAAATGCCTAATATGCCTACTCCCTCAATTCTTAGCCATCCTGCAGTGCCATTACAATGAACTACCACTGTAGCATCTCAACTGCCCCAATGTGTGTCATGCCTCACTACCTTTGTATACCCCAGTCCTCTGGGCAATGTTCTCTTCCTTTCTCTCCCTTTACCATCTTGCTAGCTCTTTCTCAAGTCTTCACCACTCAAGTATTACCTTCTCCAGGAAGCCCTCCTTGATCTAGTGTCTAGTCTGAGATAGGTTCTCATTTTTCTCATGCTTCATGAGTATAGGGCTGTGGTCAGTCCTCTACCTTGTCATATAGCACAGTGTACCACAGTCCCTAATTACCGTGGTTTTCCACTCCACCACACAATGAGAAGTGTGGCTTGCAAAGGCCTATGGCTCATGTCTCTCTGTAGCCCCCATGCTGAGTGCTGGGCCTAGCCCAGGGCAGAAGGCCAATTTAAATGTTCATGGGCTGGACAGTAGAAAGGTAGCAGGCTAGCCAACCTCATGGCCTGGGAGTTACCTCTGAGATGATTGATTCCCTAACGTCCTCTGGCAAAAATGTAGATCAAAATATCTCTTCTACCACATACAAACACTTTGATAAGGGAGAAATTTAATGCAACTGAGAGATACGGAGACAAACTTTCTAATTATACAGCTCACGGGCCTGGCATTTGGCAGGGATCATGTGAAGCATTCACTTTTCTCCATTTTAAGTCACCATTTCCCAAAGTTGAATTATTGAGAGCACATTAGGCAGAAGATGAGGAGTGAGAATAAAAAAAAAAATAACTTCAGTAGACAATCACCTTGTAAACATCTTGAGATGAGGCTGGCTATTAAACAGGAACGTTCGGTACCAACTGAAGCTCAGGTGAGTTTAGCCAAGCAAATCAATGCAAGTTAATCTTCCAGTGTCAGCTGGCTGAGTTTTGGACTAGTGATGAATGCCTTGACTGGAAAGATGAAATGCTGGAATGCCAGCCAGTGTTCTGACAGCTACAGATGGTGCCAATTACTGCCAGTGGAGCCTGTCCTGCTGTGAGCCCAAGATGTCTGATTTGTGGCCACAGGAAAATGAAAAAGAGGCCTTCCAGCTGGGCCTGTCACCTGTCCTTCTGTCCTTTATTGTTCTGTAACCAAAATTGTATTCAGGTTTGAAAACCTTTTTTTTTCTTTTTTTCTTTTTTCTTTTTTTTTTTTTTTGGTGATGATGGTGGGGGCATTGGACATGGGGCGGAAACAGGAACAATGTTACTCATGTTAATCATACAGCCATGCTCATTGCCAAGCGTATGCCTGAGGAGGTGAAGCAAGTCACTACCAAGGTTGGCCACTTCTTCCCATCCCGTTCCTAGCAAACAAAAGACTGTCAATTAACCTGAAACATGGAGAAAAGCAAATGAAAATAGCCCCAAGGCTCATGATGGCCATGGGATTTTGTACACATAAGCATGATCTATTGTATCTTTTGAGGAGGATGTTTCTGCTAGGAAGATTGCTGTGCCTCTCTCCTATGGCAGACCTCAGAACTGGGTTCTCCTTGTGTTTAGGCCATGGTAACAAATGAACTCAGGTACATGTTTGGAGTCTAACACCCAATGGCCCTCTACTGTGCTCATCCTTTGAGAGAGTAGGCTGCACTCAAACTTTAGAGGTATCCAACAATGATACCTTGGCATAAATTGCATAAATTGCATCCTCATTATAAGAGTAACAATATAAAAAATAATAAAATCAACAACAATATCTGCAGTCACATTCATTTATTGAGAACTTATGATGAATAAAATATTAGACCAGGTCTTTTACCTACTTTGCCCTTAATCATTTTAACAAAATTGCCTGAGAGATATTACTATCCCATTTTACAAATGAAGGCACTGAGTAACAGAGAGGTTGAATGGCTTGCCCAAGGCCACAGAATTACTGAGTAATGCCACCTAGATTTGAACACAATTCTCCAAATCTTACAAGGGAGTACAACCAAGAAGTGAAAAGAATACTATTACTTTCATGTCATATAGTTAGAGTAAGGTGTTCAATTTATGTTGCAATGAGCATAAAGGAGCTAACGCTAAGCGCTTTAGTAGTAGTGGAATAGCAATAGGGAGGACAGAAGCAACAGCGGAGTTAGTAATTAATACATCATTTAGACTTTTACTATTATTACTGTTAGCCAAGTTTTGCTTCCAGTAGGTCACCACTGAATATTATGGTTCTGGTCCTAGATAATGGATAGATAATACTAGGCACACGGGTAGTTTTTTTTGTGAAGCAGGCAAGCATATAGGGTCAGCTGGTACCCAGTTTGAGTCAAGAAGAGACATCAGCCTAGTCTAGTTGTCAAGCCATAGGGTGGCATTTGACTCTTACAGCACACCTAAAGAAAGCCACTCTAGCCATATCCATCAATAATTCCATCAGTCCTTGGAGAACCCTTCGGAGGCAGTGTGAGGAATGGAAAAGTCAGTCCCAAAAGCCCTACCCCCACAGGGACCCTGTGAGCAGTGTCACTCCTGCATGGCCTAATCTTCTGCTCCACATCAACTGAACTCTCTTAACCTGGATGTTGTCCTGCATCCAGTGTGATTTCCTGGGAGGTGGAGTGGGTTCTGGGATCCTCTTACCAGGATTTGGTCTGGAAGATCAGGTACTCTAATAAAAGACCATTTCCTCCTTTAATAAAACATGGAGCACAAACAGGCTCCAGTGCCCTCTGAGAAAATCCCAAGACAACACAGTTTCTTAAAAGGCACTTCCTCCAACTTTGTGGGCAAGCAGAGATTAGAGTTTGGGTCCTAAGAAAACTTAGCTTACTAAGATATGGCTGGTGCCTCTAGAACACTTTTACTTCTCTGACATAATGTCCGTCTTTGATAAACTTTCAGTGCATTTCTCCCTTTTCCTGTTCTCTTACTCAACACAAATCGTCATTGACTGCACTTCGACATTTCTTTCTGTCTTTGTCGAGACATCTGTGATCTCTAATTGATTTTTTCTCCAAAAGACAATTGATTATAAAAACTTAAGTGACTCAAAATTATTTTACTTGTAATACTTTAAATTATTATGGATAGTATATCTTGGCCACTTTAGTTTGCAGTCCTGGCTTTTCAAGATGGCCAAGAGTTTCTTGAAGAACTAGCAACAAATCAGAATGATTTTTTAGTTTTAAAAGAACTTTATATTTTTAAAAAATAGAGTGTTGAAGGGCTATAGGCCAGTTTTCCTCAGTAATTTCCATGTGGCGATTGTTTAGGGGTTTTCCAAGACCACCCAGTATTCATTGACTTGCTAGAAGGACTTGTGGAACTTAACATGCAGTCAAACTCAAGACTGAGAGACACAACAAGAATAAATATTACAGCAAGATCAATAAAGGAAAAGACACATCAAGAAGAGTCTTGAGGAATCCATGTGCAGGCTTCCTATGCTCTATCCCTGCCATGAGGGGCCGCACAGCAAGCTCTCACCATAGCAACAAAAATGCAGCCACATACGTGCAATATTTCTTTCCAGGAAAATCCATTTGAGACTTAGCGTCCAAGGTTTTTACTGGGGTCTGGTCACACAGGCCCACTCTGCCTAGCAACTACCAAAATTTCAGATTCCCAGAGGGAAAACCAATTTAGGGCCCCAGGTGGGCAAAACAGTCTTGTCACGGAGGGGAAATTTCTTATCGGTATAGGGAACTGTTTACCAGTCAAGTGCCCAGACTTCAGCCGAAGACCAACCTTATAAAAAAGCCTTTCTAAGGAGAGCAGTCTCAGGCCTGCCACTTTAAACTCTGTTCTGCACATACCATCCTTTTGTCCCTTGGCCAAGGTATCTTTATAGCAAAATCACTATCAGTATGACCCCATTTGGCAGGGTGAGACTAACCTGCAGTATTGATCTCAGTCGTGTCTTTTAGGGGTCATGGATTTAGCCAGTTAAAACAAATCCCACCAATCACAAAGGTCTGTGTTAAAAAGCCAGGTGGCTTCCTTCTTAAGTTTTTGTATGAACCATTTTGATCTGGCCTGGGGTATTGATTTAGGTGTAGCACAGCTCTGGCAGTGTGTTGGCAGTTGACCCAAAAACCTTGCAAGCCTGAAGTGGTATCCAGATAGCCAGGGCACACACAAGAAACACAATCCCCCAGGGCACACATGGTCCCCATGCAGACACACAACTTAACAATTGTTAGGGCATCCTGGGCAGTACAGATTAACAGAGCCCCCAGTGTGGCCTCCCACCCAAAAAAGATGTGGCAGGCATCCTTTTTCTTGTGCTTTCTGAAAGGCGGAAGCAATGCTTTATAGTCAGATTTAAATGTTTATTTATTTATTTCAAATTAATAATGACCTATAATCATTGGCTTTATTTAAGCATAATAAAATGGAAATCTGCTTTTTTTGTTTTAGAATTATCTGACTGGAATAACCTAACTGCTAAAAGCTTCTAAATTAAGATGGACAAATTTTTTTTTTCATTTTATTAAATATGTCCTATAGGAATTGAGCTATTTTGCTCTCAACTTCAAACACAAATATTTATCAAATTTTAAGATTCATTTAACAATCGAATTATACCAGCAGACAAATAGCCTTATAAAATGACCCTCAGCATCTGGGAAGCATGTCACAGTTGTGCATGTTGTATTTCCACCATATCACTTTGCAGAATTGATAGTTTCTGCTCCAAATGACTATGAATGCTAAATTGCACTCTCTTAAATGGGAAATTGGCTTATACATTAGAACTTTTGGAAATAAAGATAAATGGAGAGAGTGAAAAGGAGGTCAATGATGATACAGTGCTTTACACTTTGCAAAACACTGTCTCATAGATTCTCACAATTGTCCTCTGAGGTTGGCATTCTCATTGCCACTTTAAAAGTGAAAAAAAAAATGAGTTTGGAACACGTTGAAAATCACTCTAAATAAACGAGTAGCAATGTATAGAATTAAAGATAGATATTCTGACTCCCAACTCTACCTTTTGAGCTACTATTAATACCACAAGGCTAGCTAGCTTTTAAGCCTTCAGCCTCTCATCTTGCTTCAGCATGGAAATTGTACAGCACTAGAGTAAGCCTAGCTGACAATTTGCTAGTGTTCTTTATAGCCTTATAGTGTCTCAAGGCTGATGTTTCTGTTGCAGATGTTCCTCACTTCTTTGATTCAAGATCAAGAGAGTTCCGATAAAAAGATACTGTATTTTGTATGTTTTCTGTAATTGATGGTGTTGATGTCTTTGGTGTTAATACATGAGTGCTTTTGAAGAGCCATTAGAACAGGGAAAAAGTTGCAAGACACAAATCTCAACTTAACACTATTCCGAGACACTAACTAGTTAATCAATTGACTGTACATAACTAGCTGAGCTTGGGCGTGGCATGCAATTCTCACTCCAAAAAGAGCTGCTGCCACAGCGTCATCGGGTTTACTGTCCATTTTCCTTTGTTGTAGGCTGTTTCACAGCAAATCTTTAGCCTTAGCCTTCCCTGGGACTGGCTTCTTGTTAAAGAAATCTCTGCTGTCTACTGAACTCATTTTCATTTCCTGCCAGCAAGAAGAGAGGGGATAAAACTGGTGCAATCCATAGGCCATAGGCCCCAAGTGGACAGTTTTCTGTAGAGCTGAAGCAGACGATGGGTGGGTTTATGTAACATTAAACCCAGGTGGGTACTTACCCACTTTGCCTTGGTGCAACATGTTTTGGACTTGGCACAAATTAGTGTGTTTGTCTTTCATTCTACTTGGCTACTAGCCAGCAAGGATACTCTATTTTCATTTTGAAATTTCACCTGGCAGATCCTTAAAAGTCACCAGAGGACTTTTCCTGAGTAATAAAAAGCAACTTTTATTGAAAACTAATTATTTTTTCCGATGAATATGCCAGCTGTTTAAAAATGCTGCAGTCATGTTAAAGCACATTTTAATAGTGTACTTGCAAATGCAGATCCAGGCGTGAAATGCTTTTTGACAGTAACTTGTAAGCACCTTATTCCAATATACCTCTATGCCTAGTTACATGCAGGTCTGGAAATCTGATAAATGCCAAAAAATATCCACTAGGTGAGTAAATCAGTTATTTGAAAATGGGCACATATTATAAAGTTCACTATATAACTAACAGGTTCCCCCTGCTTAGGAATGAAGACTGACAGAAGAAATGCATACCATTATTCATCGAGCAATTTTAAGCTTTTAGAAGGGAGTAGGATTGAATTACTTGGGAAGGTTGCGGTTATTCTGGGTATACTTGGGTTTGTGTGTCACTCTGCATCTTTGCCTGTGTCTACACACGTAGTTGTGTATTCCCTGTGTTCTGGGCTCCACACTAACCACTGAGATATGTATGAAACACTAAAATGAATTAAACATTGTCTTTGCCTGCCAGGAATTTACAGCTTCATGGGGTGAATCAGAAGAGAGACAAGAACAGAAATGTAAACAAGACAGAATTATGCACGTGTGAAATAGAGGCTTAAGGGATATCTTGGACTTACACAAAGCCTGGTGTACATTCTGACTTAAGGGACCAAAGAAGAGCGTGATAATAGAGGTCCCATTTGAGCTAGGTCTTCAAGGATGAAAATGGCAATGATTAGTGGAATGTAGAGAAAGGACATTTTTCATTCATTGAAGGAATAATAACAAAGACACCAAAGAATAAAGGGGCATGGTCGGGAAGGGAGAAGAGCAAAGGAGATGAGGCTGGATGGAGCAGATGACAGAAAGTCTCAATGTGACACTACAGACGTTATTTTCTTTTCTGTTTAGATTTGTGAGAGGGAGAATGGATTTGCTCTCTGTTGAGTCTAGGCCTGTGAAAAGGGAACTGGCATACCCAGGCTTTCATTCTGGTGGTGAGTAGAAAATGAATTGGAGAGACAGGGAATAGACAAGACTAGAGACAGGGAAACAGACCAGTTAGGAGCTATAACAATAGTTCAGGGAAGGGACGACAAGGGTTTGAAAGGGGCATTAAAACAATTATCCAGTGAATTTAATCAATGCAGAGAGTGATCTCGCTAATTCGGGGAGTTGGGAAGGAGGCACTTTACTCTCAATTGCTTGTTTTTTATTGGCTTGACTTGGCCAGATAATTGTCTCAACTTTCCACTTTGCTATGCCTATGTCACCGCCACTGTATAGTTTGGACAAATTGCTTAGTATCTCTAGGTTTCATTTTCACCAGCTGTAAAATAGTGATGATAATTCTTGCTACCAATGGTAATTACCTCATAGGAATGTTCTACGCATTTGTGTGAGTGGTAGCATATCTGTGGCATGCAATAATCATTAATAAGATTTCTAATACTTCTACTAATGTGCTTGAAGATCTTCTGAAAAGTCAACACACCCAAATACTAAAACACTTGAAGTGATAAAAGGGTGACTCCATTTGATTAAGCAATAATCCCTGATGGCCTCTCTTTAATTTGCAAATCCTCTCTGATTTAATTCAAAAATTTTATTTTATAACATAAATGTAATATCCAAAGTTGTCTTAAGAACCTTTCTAGGATTTTTGCAGCAGATTGGAGGCTGCTTTCCACCAGCTCCAAAGCCGTTCCAAACACCAAAGATTTCCTAGATGATGAGTTTGCCTGTCTGTCTGCAGGTAACAGTTGAAGTCCAGAGGTGTTTTAGAGTTTAGCAGTGTCCTTTATTGATGACCTAAGGACCCAGTGACAGAAATAAGTTTTGTTATTTTTCTAAATCATGATGAAAACTTTAAGAAAAAAAATGCCTTTGTTGACTGACCTCAGATTATTGTAGAGTGTTAAGAAAATTAGGGGAAGATTTAGATGACATTTCCTTTCAGGAAGTCAGCCTACTCCTCCCCCAACATCTACTCCACAAAACAAAACTGCACATTCATGAGATGCACATGCATTGACATGATCCGAACTATGTTTTTCAGAACATCTGGGCTTGGTTGGCCAGTATTAGCCATACTTACAAAACAAAACACCCAAAGCCAATGTTGCATGTCAGTTCTACTACTAACAAGCAAACAAGTGAAACCATTCCTGGGGCTTAAAACTAGTTCACCAGGAAATTCAGGCAAGTGAGAATTGAGCTCCCCATTGCCAGTGCAGCTTTCTGATGGTGGTGTGGTCTCAGGAAGCCAAGCTGTGGAAGACAGAAGCTCCATTTCAGCTATTAACAGCCTAGATGTTGAAGCATGTTATTCCAGGATGAGGTGTTTGGCAGCCAGGAAGATTGTGTACATAAATCTGGGCAAGACTTTAAAGGCCTCTGTCTCAGATCAGCTCTTTCTGACAAGTCATTTCAGTGAGACCATTTCAAGGTATGGCATCCAGTTCCTTGAGTGACCTAAATCTCCCCGATGCTGCTCTACCCCCAAAAAGATCCCAAAGAATTCATTTCTATCTATGCCTAGCCAAGTGTCTTAGACCAATTTATAGAGACGAGTTCTGCTGCACGTGTCCACACCTCAGAGTTTAGCAGTAGCAAGCCAGGCTGTATGTATCTTTTCCCAGCTGGTCTTGGCAAAGCACCAGTCCCAAAGGACCTAAACTGAAGTGGCAACGTTTGATTTATCTAAATGAGTTGCTTTCATAGGAATGGGAAGATTTTCTCTGTGAGTGTGTGGGGCTGGCCCTCACTTGATATCTGACTACAGGTTCACTTTTTATACTCCATCCCCAAGCATCTGGGAAATTGCATTTTCCTTCAAAGTGCAACCCCTACCTTTTCTCAGAAATAACAGAAGAAAGGAAGCATTTCGGACAAAGCACTTACTTTAGAACAAGGTAGAAAACTCTAAAATTTTAGAAGGAAGAGTTTAAAAACCACTGGATACAGAGTCAAAAGGCTCATTGTTCAAGAGAAAATTCTGCCATTTTAAGCACAGCAAAAGAAACTACCCTCAGAGTGAACAGGCAACCTACAACATGGGAGAAAATTTTCGCCACCTACTCATCTGACAAAGGGCTAATATCCAGAATCTACAATGAACTCAAACAAATTTACAAGAAAAAAACAAACAACCCCATCAAAAAGTGGGCGAAGGACATGAACAGACACTTCTCAAAAGAAGACATTTATGCAGCCAAAAAATACATGAAAAAATGCTCATCATCACTGGCCATCAGAGAAATGCAAATCAAAACCACTATGAGATACCATCTCACACCAGTTAGAATGGCAATCATTAAAAAGTCAGGAAACAACAGGTGCTGGAGAGGATGTGGAGAAATAGGAACACTTTTACACTGTTGGTGGGACTGTAAACTAGTTCAACCATTGTGGAAGTCAGTGTGGCGATTCCTCAGGGATCTAGAACTAGAAATACCATTTGACCCAGCCATCCCATTACTGGGTATATACCCAAATGACTATAAATCATGCTGCTATAAAGACACATGCACACATATGTTTACTGCGGCATTATTCACAATAGCAAAGACTTGGAACCAACCCAAATGTCCAACAATGATAGACTGGATTAAGAAAATGTGGCACATATACACCATGGAATACTATGCAGCCATAAAAAATGATGAGTTCACGTCCTTTGTAGGGACATGGATGAAATTGGAAACCATCATTCTCAGTAAACTATCGCAAGAACAAAAAAACCAAACACCGCATATTCTCACTCATAGGTGGGAATTGAACAATGAGATCACATGGTCACAGGAAGGGGAATATCACACTCTGGGGACTGTGGTGGGGTGGGGGGAGGGGGGAGGGGTAGCATTGGGAGATATACCTAATGCTAGATGACGAGTTAGTGGGTGCAGCGCACCAGCATGGCACATGTATACATATGTAACTAACCTGCACAATGTGCACATGTACCCTAAAACTTAAAGTATAATTAAAAAAAAAAAAAAAGAAAGAAATACAAGCAGATGAAAAAAAAAAAAAACTACTGTGATTTTGGGGTAAGTCACTTCAGTATTCTGATCTTGTTTAGCTTCTTATGTATAGAATGGGAGTACCTAGTACCTGCTTCACCAGCCTCTCAGCATTGCTTAGAGGGCCAGAGGAGGTGATCCATGCACTCATTCTTTGAAAAATATAAAGGATTGCTTATTTGGAAGTTTCTTTTTGGGATGTGGTATGCTTTATGAGCAAAAGGCCCATAATTGTCCAGATTAACTACCTGTCACTAGAGGCAGAAATAATTCAATAACTCAGCAGCCAACTCTCTTATTCAAACAACACTGAATGACATGTTTGTGGCTTCCTTTTCCTTGTATATAAATAGCACCAGCTTCAAAATGATTTGATCTTTGGTCAAGAGGTTATTACTGACTCTGATTTAGAGATACAATTAACTTCCCATCAATAACTGTGTTCAACCTAAAATAATTATAATAATAAATATTATTTTATTGGCAAGATTTTTGTCTGGAGGTAGGGTTCACTGTTTTACCCTTGTAAGTGAGCTGCT
The DNA here is from genome assembly GCF_000001405.40 of Homo sapiens. Lineage (NCBI taxonomy): Eukaryota > Metazoa > Chordata > Mammalia > Primates > Hominidae > Homo > Homo sapiens. The sequence goes on from NC_000023.11 coordinate 148,733,154, forward strand.
GAGAATGAAGTAATAAAAATTAGTTATTTTGACTACTCATGCAACATTGTCTGCCTGCTTGGCGTTATGTGTTAAGAACATTTAATTAAGGATGGGTGAAATTGTCATTCATTTATTTATTAAAATATTTGTGACACAACACCCACATCTCCAGTACTGTCATCTTAGGTACTAAGTACTGTAGGATTTTTCTGCCCTCACACATTGTATCCCTTTAAATCTAGTATACTTTTCCTTCTTTTGTGCATTCATTCATTCATTCATCCTTTCATTCATTCATCTCCTTAATAAATATTGGAATGAACCCTTTTTCTGTCTGAGAAACTGTGTTAGTGCTCTGGAAGTTGGAACTCCGTAGGCTTGCCTATGATAAGACACCTGACACAAAGGAGACAATAAAGTAATTTTTATGAAAAATAAAAAATTGAAATATTACTGATGAGCAAAAATACATATTTTATCCAAGCAAAAGCCATACTTTCTGAAACTCCACGATTTGTGTTTTTGTGCTTGTACGTTTTACTTTTTTTCCTTTACAGTGCTGCCACTGAGTTAACATATCAATAGATGCACAACCCACCAGTGGATATAATTAATGCTTGGAAATTGTGGCTTTCAGAAAGTCCCACCAAGCACAGGAAAATGTCTTAATTTGACAGTGGGCCTGACCAAATGCTAGTTTGTTTGGAAAGACAAAACTAGCCAGTTATGCAGTGTATGGTCTATAATCTGACAGAAGGAGACCAAAACCTACCTAGCTATTTCCATCCAGTGGCCTTGGTTCCAACAATAGTGCCATTTACAGCAAGACTATTAAATATCCTTGCATGGCATCACCTTATATAAACATAGTGGTGAGGGACCAGAAGCCTGGGGACAGAACATGTGCTGCAGCCCTCTTGTCCACCCAGTGGGGACCTTCCAGGCCACATTAGACTCACACAGGGAGGGTGATGAAGTGCTTGCTCTGCACTTTATTTGCCTCTAGTTGTTGTCTATGGATTCCTTTCCTGTAATAGGCACTTGTTTGGCTACTGTACTTGAGCTATTGTATGATTTCAGCTCAGGAGTTTGGATGCAGTAGCCGGCGAGGACTATGAACATAGTAGTGAGAGACCAGCCATTAAAAATGGAAGAGGAAAGGAATAGTTAATAGGCATATATTATGTGCTTGGCACTCTGTTAGGCCTTTATGCACATTATCTCATGTGTACCTCCCAACAATACTATGAACAATACTATGAAGCTAGTATTGTATCCCTACTGTGTTGCAGAGAGAACAGCCACTTTCTCAAAGCCACACAGTAAAGCATGGAGCCAGGATACCATCCCAAGTATTCCACCATATGCTTTATTCAATTCGCCACACTGACTACTACATTATCTTCCTTTGTTGAATCAGGAAATGACGTATATGATATCTACTGAAGATGGGTCATTCTCTTGTTTGTCTTAGGCTAACCAGTGTCACAATTTTGAAAATGTTAACTAAAAACATTTTAGGAATCTTAAAAAGTCTATCTCAATATTTATGAATAAGAGTCCCCCTTCCTCACCACTTCCACCAAATAACAGAGGCAGTGAAACCCAATGTCTACTAAATGGTTCTTTATAAACATGTTTTTTCATAAATTTTGTGCATTTGTATTTTTTGTGTACCTTCAACTGGTTTGAGTATGTACGGAGACACAGGTGTGAGAACTGGAAGAACACTGAAAGATCATCTAGCATGTCTGACAGATGCAGAAATTTAGATCCAGAGAAGGAGACTGTTATTCTCTCCAAAAATCACCCAGCAAGCAAGTGAAAACACTAGAACTTCACCTTGAAGAAAATGTCATTGTGTGCCTATAGCTATAAATTAGGTCGCCCAGACTTATTAGGCATCGATTCATATAAGAATAGACCCTTAGTTTTGCAGAGGTTTGACAGATATGCACAAGTGGCTTGCTTGGGAATTACATGTATCTCAGGCTTTAAAGCAAGAGATGGCATGTTATCTTTGATGCTGGAAAGACCAAAGACCCAGGAAAATAATTTTTCATCCAAGAATGTGCAAACAAATAGTTTCTCAGATTCTCTGATGCACAGTTCTCTTTGAGAGTCTGTGTATATTTATGCACATATCCACCTTTAGTTATTCTTTCTTTCAATCCTATGTTTAGCTTTTAGGAATTTAAACAATGTGCAATTTTTGTTTTGTTTTGTTTTGCATTTCATTAAGGCACATGAAGACTATGTTGGAACACTTGGGCTAAAATGTGGTTCTACCATATAGTTTATCAATTTTAAACAGGTAAAATATTGGTACATATGAGAATATTAAAATTTGTTTTTCTAGTACCTCCATCTTTTTTCCTGCTTATGTAAACAAATGAATGCAATTCATTGAGATTTCTTTATAGTAAAAGTAAGTGAATTGTACAAATAAGTTTCTGTTTCTTTTGAGTACCTAAATATTTATTTTATTTTATTTTTCTTTAAGTTATTGGGGTACAGGTGGTATTTGGTTGCATGTGTAAGTTTTTTAGAGGTGATTTGTGAGATTTTGGTGCACCCATTACCCGAGCAGCATACACTGCACCCTATTTGTAGTCTTTTATCCCTCACCCCTCTCCCACTCTTCCCCGCAAGTCCCCAAAGTCCATTGTATCATTCTTATGCCTTTGTGTCCTCATAGTTTAGCTCCCACATATCAGTGAGGACATACAATTTTTGTTTTTCCATTCCTGAGTTACTTCACTTAGAATAATAGTCTCCAGTCTCATCCAGATCAGTGCAAATACTGTTAATTCATTCCTTTTTATGGCTGCATAGTATTCAATTGTATATCTATACCACAGTTTCTTTATCTACTCATTGATTGATGGGCATTTGGGTTTGTTCCATGATTTTGCAATTGTAAATTGTGCTGCTATTAACATGCATGTGTGAGTATCTTTTTCCTATAATGATCTGTTTTCCTCTGGTTAGATACCCAGTAGTGGGATTGCTGGATCAAATGGTAGTTCTACTTTTAGTTCTTTAAGGAATCTCCACACTGTTTTCCATAGTGGCTGTACTAGTTTATATTCCCACCAGCAGTGTAGAAGTGTTCCCTGGTCACCGCATCCATGCCAACATCTACTGTTTTTTGATTTTTTGATCATGGCCATTCTTGCAGGAGTGAGGTGGTATCACATTGTGCTTTTGATTTGCATTTCCCTGATCACTAGTGATGTTGAGCATTTTTTTCATATGTTTGTTGGTCATTTGTATATCTTCTTTTGAGAATTGTCTATTCATGTCCTTAGCCCATTTTTTGATGGGATTTTTTTTTTCTTAATGATTTGTTTGAGTTCGTTGTAGATTCTGGATATTAGTCCTTTGTTAGATGTATACATTGTGAAGATTTTCTCCCACTCTGTGGGTTGTCTGTTTACTCTGCTGACTGTTCCTTTTGCCATGCAAAAGCTCTCTAGTTTAATTAGGTCCCAGCTATTTATCTTTGTTTTTATTGCATTTGCTTTGGGTTCTTGGTCATTAAATCTTTGCCTAAGCTAATGTCTAGAAGGGTTTTTCCAATGTTATCTTCTAGAATTTTTATAGTTTCAGGTCTTAGATTTAAGTTCTTAATCCATCTTGTGTTGATTTTTGTATAACGTGACAGATGAGGCTCCAGTTTCATTATCCTACATATGGCTAGCTAATTATCCCAGCACCATTTGTTGAAAAGGGTGTCTTTTCCCCACTTTGTGATTTTGTTTGCTCTGTAGAAGATCAGTTGGGTGTAAGTATTTGGGTTAATTTCTAGGTTCTCTATTTTATTCCATTGGTCTCTGTGCCTATTTTTATAGCAGTACCACACTGTTTTGGTGACTATGGCCTTATAATATAGCTTGAAATCAGGTAGTGTGATGCCTCCAGATTTGTTCTTTTTGCTTAGTCTTGCGTTGGCTGTGCAGGCTCCTTTTTGGTTCCATATGAATTTTAGAATTGTTTTTTTCTAATTCTGTGAAGCATGATGGTGGTATTTTAATGGAGATTGTGTTGAATTTGTAGATTGCTTTCGGCAGTATGCTCATTTTTATAATATTGATTCTACCCATCCATAAGCATGGAATGTGTTTTCATTTGTTTGTGTCATCTATGATTTCTTTCAACAGTGTTTTGTAGTTTTCCTTGTAGATGTTTTTTTCTCCTTTGTTAGGTATATTCCTAAGTATTTTATTTTATTTTTGCAGCTATTGTAAAAGGGGTTGAGTTCTTGATTTGATTCTTTGCTTGGTCGCTGTGGTGTATAGCAGAGCTACTGATTTGTGTACATTAATCTTGTATCTGGAAACTTTGTTGAATTCTTTTATCAGTTCAAGGAGCTTTCTGGAGGAGTCCTTAGGGTTTTCAAAGTAAATGATCATATCATCAGCAAACAGTTGACAGTTTGACTTTCCCTTTACCGATTTGGATGCACTCTATTTCTTTCTCTTGTCTGATTACTCTGGCTAGGGCTTCCAGTACTATGTTGAAGAGGAGTGGTGAGAGTGGGCATCCTTGTCTTGTTCCAGTTCTCAGAGTGAATGCTTTCAACTTTTCCCCATTCAGTATTATGTTGGCTGTGGGTTTGTCATAGATGGCTTTTATTACATTAAGGTATGTTCCTTGTATACCAATTTTGCTGAGAGTTTTAATCATAAAGCGATGTTGGGTTTTGCTGAATGCTTTTTCTGCATCTATTGAGATGATCATGTGATTTTTGTTTTTAATTCTGTTTATGTGGTTTGTCACATTAGTCGATTTGCATATGTTAAACCATCCCTGCATCTGTGGTGTGAAACCCACTAGATCATGGTGGATTATCTTTTTAATATGTTGTCGGATTCGGTTAGCTAGTGTTTTGTTAAGGATTTTAGCATCTATATTCATCAAGGATATCGGTCTGTAGTTTTCTTTTTGGTTATGTCCTTTCCTGGTTTTAGTATTAGGGTGCTGCTGGCTTCATAGAATGAATTAGGGAGGGTTCTTTCTTTCTCTATCTTGTGGAATAGTGTCAAAATGATTGGTACCAATTCTTCTTTAAATGTCTGGTAGAATTCTGCTGTGAATCCGTCTGGTCCTGGACTTTTTTTTTGTCGGTAATTTTTAAATTACCATTTCAATCTCACTGCTTGTTATTGGTCTGTTAAGAGTATCTAATACTTCCTGATTTAAGCTAGGAGGGTTGTATTGTTCCAGGAATTTATCCATCTCTTCTAGGTTTTCTAGTTTATGTGTGTAAAGGTGTTCATAGTAGCCTTGAATGATCTTCTGTATTTCAGTGGTGTCAGTTGTAATATCTTCTGTTTCACTTCTAAGTGAGGTTATTTGGATTTTCTCTCTTCTTTTCTTGGTTAATCTTGCTAATGGTCTATCAAGTTTATTTATCTTTTCAAAGAACCAACTCTTTGTTTCATTTATCTTTTGAATTTTTTTTTGTTTCAATTTCATTTAGTTCTCCTCTGATCTTGGTTATTTTCTTTCTCCTGCTGGGTTTCGGTTTGGTTTGTTCTTGTTTCTCTAGTTCCTTGAGGTGTGACCTTAGATTTTCTGTTTGTGCTCTTTCAGACTTTTTGATGTAGGTGTTTAGGGCTATGAACTTTCCTCTTGGCACCACCTTTGCTGTATCCCAGAAGTTTTGATAGGTTGTGTCATTATTGTCATTCAGTTCAAAGAATTTGTTAATTTCCATCTTGATTTCGTTTTTGACCCCATGCTCATTCAGGAGCAGGTTATTTAATTTCCATGTATTTGCATGTATTTGAAGGTTCCTTTTGGAGTTGATTTCCAGTTTTATTCCACCATGGTCTGAGAGAGTACTTGATATAATTTCAATTTTCTTAAATGTATTGAGGCGCATTTTGTGGCCTATCACTTGGTCAATCTTGAAACTTCCATGCACTGTTGAATAGAATGCGTATTCTACAGTTGTTGGATGAAATGTTCTGTATGTATCTGTTAGGTCCATTTGTTCCAAGGTATAGCTTAAATCCATTGTTTCTTTGTTGACTTTCTGTCTTGATGACCTGTCTAGTGCTGTCAGTGGAGTATTGAAGTCCCCCACTATTATTGTGTTGCTGTCTATCTCATTTCTTAGGTCTATTAGTAATCATTTTATAAATTTGGGACCTCCAGTGTTAGGTGCATATACTTTTAGGATTGTGTTATTTTCCTGTTGGATAAGGCCTTTTACCATTATATAATGTCCCTCTCTGTCTCTTTTAACTGCCATTGCTTTAAAATTTCTTTTGTCTGATTCTAAGTATAGCTACCCCCTGCTTTACCCCCTGCTTGCTTTTGGTGTCCATTTGCATGAAATGCCTTTTTTCACCCCTTTACTTGAAGTTTATGTGGGTCCTTATGTCTTAGGTGAGTCTCCTGAAGGCAGCAGACAGCTGGTGACTTCTTATCCATTCTGCGTTTCTGTATCTTTTAAGTGGAGCATTTAGGCCATTTACATTCAATGTTAGTATTGAAATGTGAGGTACTGTTGCATTCATCATGCTCCTTGTTGCCTGTGTACTTTTTTTTAGTTTTTTCTTTTCGGTTTTTAACTTGTATTTTCGTTTTATAGGTCCTGTGTAATTTATGCTTTAAAGAGGTGCTGTTTTGATGTGTTTCCAGAATTTGTTTCAAGATTTAGATCTCCTTTTAGCAGTTCTTGTAGTGGTGGCTTGGTAATGGCGAATTCTCTCAGCATTTGTTTGTCTGAAAAAGACTGTATCTTTCCTTCATATATGATGTGTACTTTCACTGGATACAAAATTCTTGGCTGATAATTGTTTTGTTTGAGGAGGCTGAAGATAGCGCCCCAATCCCTTCTAGCTTGTAGGGTTTCTGCTGAGAAATCTACTGTTAATCTGATAGATTTGCCTTCATAGGTTATCTGGTGCTTCTGTCTCACCACTCTTAAGATTTTTTCCTTCATCCTAACTTTGGATAACCCAATGACAATGTGCCTAGGTGAGGATCTTTTTGTGATGAACTTCCTAGGTGTTCTTTGTGCTTCTTGTATATGCATGTCTAGATCTCTAGCAAGGCCAGGGAAGTTTTCCTCGGTCATTCCCCCAAATATGTTTTCCAAGCTTTTAGAATTGTCTTCTTCCTGAGGAACACTGATTATTCTTAGGTTCAGTCATTTATCATAATCCCAGACTTCTTGGAGGCTTTGTTCGTATTTTCTTATTTTTTTTTCTTTGTCTTTGTTGGATTGAGCTAATTTGAAGACCTTGTCTTTGAGCTCTGAATTTCTTTCTTCTACTTGTTCAATTCTATTGCTGAGACTTTCCAGAGCATTTCACATTTCTAAAAGTGTGTCCAAAGTTTCCTGAATTTTTTATTGTTTTTTATTTAAGCTATCTATTTCCTTGAATACTTCTCCCTTCACTTCTTGTATCATTTTTTGGATTTCCTTTCATTGGGCTTTGCCTTTGGTCCTTCCCTGATTGGCTTAATAACTAACCTTCTGAATTCTTTTTCAGGTAAATCAGGTGCGTATTATTGGTTTGGATCCACTGCTGGTGAACTAGTTTGATATTTGGGGGTGTTGAAGATCCTTGTTTTGTCACATTACCAGGGTTGGTTTTCTGGTTCCTTCTCATTTGGGTAGGCTCTGTCAGAGGGAAGGTCTAAGGGCTGAAGGCTATTGTTCAGATTCTTTTGTCCCATGGGGTGCTCCCTTGATGTAGTACTCTCCTCTTTTTCCTGGGGATGTGGCTTCCTGTAAGCCAAACTGCAGTGATTGTTGTCTCTCTTCTGGTTCTAGTCACCCAGTGAATCTACCCAGCTCCAGGCTGGTACTGGGGATTGTCTGCACAGAGTCCTGTGATGTGAACTGTCTATGGGTCTCTCACCCGTGGATACCAGCGCCTGTTCTGGTAGAGGTGATGGAGGGTGCAATGGACTCTGTGAGGGCCCTTAGCTTTGGTGATTTAATGCTCTGTTTTTGTGCTGGTTGACCTCCTGCCAGGGGGTGGTGCCTTACAGAAAGCATCAGCTGTAGAGAGGGACTGGTAGTGGGCTGGGCCCTAGAACTCCCAAGATTAAATGCCCTTTGTCTTCCACTACCAGGGTGGATAGAGAAGGACCATCAGGTGGGGTGGGACTAGGTGTGTCTGAGCTCAGACTCCTTGGGTGGGTCTTCCTGTGACTGCTGTGGGGGATGGGGGTGAGATTCCCAAGTCACTGGAGTTATGTACCTAGGAGTATTATGGCTGCCTCTGCTGAGTCTTGCAGGTAGTCAGGGAAGTGGGGGAAAGCTGGCAGTCACAGGCCTCACCTAGCTCCCACGCAAACTGAATGGTCAGTCTCACCCCCACTGTGCCTCCCCCAACAGCCCCAAGTCTGTTTCCAGAGGAAGGGCGAGACGGACTTGAAAACTTGCCCGAGGCTTTCCTCCTCTCAGCTGCTGAAGAAAAGGGCTTTTTAGTTCTTCACCCTGCCTGTGAAGTCTGCTTGCAGGATTGGCGCCCTCCCCTGGGTTCTGGCCAGGAGGCTTCTCACCCCATTCAAATTGTTACAAAGTCCAGCTAAAGAATTCCTTCTCCCTATGGAGTTTTACACCCTGCTCCTCTGGCCAATCTCTCAATGGATCCCTGTGGTGTCAGGCAAGAATGGGCTGCTTGGGGACCCAGCGAGCTCTCAGGACCTTTCTGCTGCTTCCTCTACCCCTGTATTTCACTTGGCTCGGCTCTCTAACTTGACTCAGCTGCAGGTAAAGTTGGAAACTTCTCCTGGAAACAGACCTTCAGCTTTTCCTGTGGGAGTGTGTATTCAGGAGAGGAGGGTTTCCCTTTCCTACTTCCACAGTTGAGGCACTCACAGTATTTGGGGTGTCTCCCGGGTCCTGCAGGAGCAGTCTCCTTCCTTCAGAGGGTCTGTGGGTCCTCTCAGGATTGCTGGTTTGTTCTTGCATTCAATCTGGAGCTAAAATTCACAATGCTAGCCTCTGCATGCTGCTCTGTCTGGAGCTGCAATCTAGTCCTGCCTCCCACCCACCATGATCCCCACAAGTAAGTTTCAAGTAGTGTCCATGAGTTACAATCAAGATGATAACTCCATACACTTCAAGCCAAGACTTCTATTAATCTTTTATATATTAAAATACAAATCATAATTTAGCAATGTTTACTGAACATATTTCTGCGAAGAAATCTCTTACTAGTTTCTGGATGAAAATTATACTTGATTGTGTCCTCCCAAAACTTGGACCTACCCATGTTTGTTAAAATAGGAAAGGAGAAAGTAAGATTTTGGTTTAATCATTCTATTATGTATGAGTTTGTAGGAGGTATTAGACATTATCTGTTTCAAGTACAATAAAAAGCTCTAAAATAAATGTAAGCATTTCAGTTTTAGTTTGCTGAGGAATATAGCATGCTATAGTGGAGTAATTACTGCATCAGAGTCAGAATCCATTGAACTTCTGTTTTTCTGTCTATAAAGTAAAAAATGGGACTAATAGAATCCCTAAAATTCTACCACATTGTTGGAAAACTTGCATGTGCTTTGCAGGTAAGGGATTTAAGAACGATATTTGCTGTAAAAAATGTGAGATGAGTATTATTTTCCCGCAGGAATAGGATGACCGGTTGCTAAATATCAGTGGGTTATGTTCTCTATTCCTAGACTTCCCATTTCCTTCATAAACTCTTATCAGTCCATCTTTCTGCAATCACTCAAGAGGTCTGTATGTGCTTTCCAAATTTCTTCTCTTGGCTTCAGAAATTTTATTTGGGTTTTGTTCCAGCTTATATTTTATTTGTTTATGTAAAACTTGTCTCTACTCCTCTTCCTTTTTACTTCTTTTTGTGATTTGCTGCTATTTTGTGTTTCTTGACAGAGGTAAGTCATGTATTGTTCACCTGTTTATAGCTCTATTTCTAGCCAGCTCCTTCTGTCTAAACGTTCAGGCTCACTTTCTCTCTCTAAAACTGACTTTAAAACTAATATTTTCTTTTCAGCTTGCAGTTCAGTATGTCTGTAAAGTTTTTGTGATACTATTTTCTCATGGACCAGAGATAAACAAATGGTATTACATTATAATGCTCTAATACAATCAACTGTTGCATGAATGAGGTGTTTTTCAATGAGTAACAATATTTGTCAAGCAGGTATAATTCCATTCTGACTAATGGAAAGAATTTTGTGTCCTTCAATTGATGAAAGTGAAGATTTTACAGATCAAAGTTTTAATTTAAAAAATAACTACTGAAAATTGCAATGCCTGCAAGTGTTTAAATATAGCATAGGAGCTTCTGGAGATACACATACACAAATAATTTTTCTTATTATGTACAGATATTTTGTTCTTCATGGCTTGTTAAACAATGAAAATGAACATTCGGTAATGATATTTAAATTTTGTTTGATGGGTGGGTATGTTTGTGAGTGTGTGTATCGTGATGGGGAGTGGGTGAGTGCACTTGATTTATTTCCTATTTTCTTCTTGTTTCTGCTCCTTGCATTTTGCTGGAGGACCCTGAATGCTTTATTTTCTCAACCATGTCTACTCCCCCAGTGACAAAGAACATTGAGGAACTACATGAATAGAAAAGGCAAGAGCTCTAATGAGGTCTTTAAAAAGGACTCCATTGGGTGGTCAGAGTAGGGTGTAATAGTTATTTGATTTAAAATGAAGTCCTTAATGGCGTCTATCACTAATACATTCTGAATTGATTATGGGAGTGTGGAATGCTTGCAAAGAATGGAGAAAACTGCCAAATACAGACTGAATTTGTTTGAAAGGCTTTTAAAAGAGGGGGCAGAAACATAAGTAAATATGTGTATATGAAATATATAGAAGGAAATGGGTAACTGTGTGCATATGTTACTATTTTCTACCATGGTAGGATTTCTGTATAGAAACAGCCCAAGGAATCATATCTCTAATTTTTTACGTTATATGCCGAAAGAAAGGTGTAATTAATGGTGCTAAGAATCCAAGCAGAATACCCTTATATTTTTCAAATTGATACCTTCTACCTCATCTCATTTAATGCTCACAATAGGCCTGTGAAGTAGAGGCTCCTGTGAAGATAGAGATCCTGAGTCTCAGCACGGTTAAGTAGCAATCTGCCTTGGATTACACAACCAATGAGTGGAAGGGCTGAGGATAAAACATGGCACATAACCAAGTGTCCTTGTCTATTTTTTGTAATAAAATTGTATTATTTTATTATGATAATTTAGTTAAGAATCTTGCATGTATGTAAACGTGTGAAGAAGAAAACAAGTTAAGGCATAATGTCATCACGCAGCAATATCAACTACTAATGTTTTGGTTTATTTCCTTTCAGATGCATGCATGGGTAGACAGAAGACAAGAATTGAGGTTATCATTGCAATCAGAGTTTTGCGCCTTGTTTTCCTCCTTGTAATACAATATGAGCTTTTCATCATGTCATTAGATAGTCTTCAGAATTATAATTTTAAGCTCCCAATGCCTTTCTCCTGGTTCATGCCACCCCTTCTTAAATGAATTCATCCATCATTGGTGACAGTCCAAAATGGAAAGATGACACATGCCAGCGATCTAAGAGCCTTCTAATACTCATGATCATATTGTCATGGGGAGGTGTCACTTTAGTGAGTTTTGTTTTGTTTTTATTTTTTGTTCTGTTTCATGTTTTTCACAGACGGATGGAGAGAAAGGCCTCTAAGCTGTTAGGTTTTAAAGCAGACCCTGCTTCCATTCTTAATCCTAGACTTGTCATGATTTTCTCTCTGTGATTTATCTATAAAGTAGGAGTGCCCCTCACTGGTGAGGGAAGGATTCAATGAAGATTCAGGATCCCTTAATATGTAGGACTTTGGCTGAGGAAATAAAGGATAGGCTAGGATTTTTCAAGTTGTCTCTACCATGGCACAGGGAATAGTGAGTCTTGTGCCTGGCTCCCGAGTTAGGTGGATGTGTTGGTGGATTATTGCTCTTGTAAATATCCTTCTGTATATATCCTTTGGTAAATTAACAGGTGGTCAGCACTCCTAGGTTTCCATGTTCCTTTAATTCTCATTGCCATATAACTCAGAGCCAGTCATTTCCTCAATGTGGTTTCATCTCTAAAATGAAGATGTTGGATTAGCTGATCTCCTTATTCCTACAAGTTCTAAAATTGTTGTACATCTATTGTATGCTGTTCAGTAAATGGATGACCAGACATGAGCCCTCTAATGCAGCTCCACAGGCAGTGATGGGGAAGTAGAAAACATTTTCTAATTTCCATTAACCCCTTCCCCCATCTACTCTATCTCCGGAATTATATTTTTAGAAGCCAAGTGCTTCTTGACTTTTTGCAAAACAATATTTTGATGACTTAATTTAATATAGGTCAGCAACATATGGACTCTATTTTACTTGAAATGTCCACTGGTTTAAAAATGAAACAAAGATTTTGGCAAATGTTTTTAAAAGTATCTTGAAACTTAACCCAGGTTTTCCGTGCCTATGCCTTTATATGAATGTGATTATTGTTCTTGTCTCTTTAAATACTGAAGCCTGCAGTGCCTATTACAATTACATGTCCACTAAAGAACAAGTAGGCATCAGCTGACAATCATACTGCATTTTTATTATTATTATTATTGTTATTATTTTTAGACAGAGTCTGACTCTGTCGCCAACGCTGGGGTGTAGTGGTGCGATCTCGGTTCACTGCAACCTCTGCCTCCTGCGTTCAAGCAATTCTCCCACCTCAGCCTCCCGAGTAGCTGGGACTACAGGTGCCTGCCACCACGCCCGGCTAATTTATGTATTTTTAGTAGAGACAGGGTTTTGCCATGTTGGCCAGGCTGGTCTTGAACTCCTGACCTCAAGTGATCCACCCGCCTCAGCCTTCCTAAGTGCTGGGATTACAGTTGTGAGCCACCGCGCCCAGCCCGTAGTGCATTATTGAAAGGGAAAAACGCCTGCATAAGCAAGCACAGTGTAGCTTATAAATTAAAAAATAGTAGCCAAAGCAAAAAGAAGAAATATCAGTTGAAACAGCTACTTTATTAGTAATGTGTGATAGTGCTATAGGCAGACAAATAGCAATAGTCTTCTACTTACATATATTCTTAATTAATCTTGAAACCCTGACAGGCTTTTCACTGAAAATTCCATTTTGCTCCTTTGGATATCAGACCCTGTTTGTAAGATGCTATTTAGTTTTCTCCTAGCTACAGCCTAACCTTTTCTCTCTCAAGCCTTTTAAAAATGAATATTTCATAGCATAATTTGCCTTCCTTTGTAACTAGAGTGTTTTGGAAAGCTACAAATAAGAAAACACAGGTTGCAAAGCCAGGCAGAATCCCTCCTCTTACTTCTATTGTATCAATCAGAATGTTGGTTTTTCTAAAGGGATCAAAGCCATTTATCTGTTGGAGCACATTAAACCCCTGCCTAAAGGATTTAGGCTACTGTTTTCTCTTCCAGAAAGGAATTACCACAACCATACAAGTCAGCATAGTAAGAAGCTAAGAACATTTTGTCAATTCTCCCATTCATTCATTCATTCACTCATTCTACGTTTCCTGCAACTTCCTATCCTGGGCAGGAGACAGATAAGTAAATAAGCAGTGATGATACCAAGCTTTCTAATAGAGGGATGATGCAAGGAGGGGCTTACTGCCATCAGGCAAGTTTTCTCTAGTCAATTCCTTTCTGGCAGACTGAGGGCCAATTCACTGGTAGAGACTAGTTGGGATTGACATACCAATGAGGTAGAAACAGATTGTACCAAAGCATGGAAATGCAAAATGATCTGGCCCACTTTGGAAAGAAATTCAGCATGTGTAGTCATTGACATAGTGGCAGAGAGGTAGATGGACTGGGGACGGGGTTCCTAGATACAGAGAAGCATTAGATATTTGATTATTTCTTTAAGAAAAATACAAATAATTTTCAATGACCCCATGATTTCTACATGAAGCTCTCCTGACTCACACACCCAGAGACATTTATATCAATAAAGGTTATTGTTGGCAGTAACCAAGACTCCTCATGAACTCCTATTCACCCTTCAAGACCTAGCTTAAATAGCACTTTTGTAAGGAAGCTTCCCTTGATCCTGACTTCATGTCCCCTCTCAGAGCACTGCTCAAACATCATCTTTTGCGCTAGGCTGACTTGCCTATATTGCTCACCATTGTATCTCAAAGTTCAACATGGTGCCTGGCCCCTAGAAGGAGCTTGACAAATAATTTTTGAATGAACAAAAGAATATATATTATGCCCATTAAAACTCTATGAAGGATACAGGTACAACCTTGAGCACTCACGCAAAAAAAAATATTGTAGCTAAAAGAGTAAATGGAAGTAACACAATTTGAATCTTTATTATAAGACATTTAACTTAAAAGCACCAAGTTGAAAGTTTTTGGTTTTTGATTCGTCTTTCAAAGCCCAGAGTCACTTTCCAAATAATCTGCCTGGGACTGTTTTGTTGTTTACACATCTCTTTATTTTTTTTCCTGCTGTTATTTTCATTAACAACAAATATTTTAATATCATACTAAACTGAGCTACATTAGATCAACTCGAAATCTTTTAGACTCTCAAAAGCTGGGCATTACATATTCAAAACAGGACCTAATGTTTCAGAGCTTCATATTCTACTATAATTATATGGTTCAATGCAAGTGATTATATCTCTTCTTCAGTAACGGGCTGAAAAGTTTTGGTTTGCTGGTTCCCTCATAATTTACTGCCTAGGTATAATAGGCCAGTCTTGCGGAAAAAAAGATGATAAATGATGCTGGCTAGGAATCATAGATTTATTAAATTTCTATCAAACAGTGCAACAAAAAAAAATCTGCTTAAGTTAGAAATGGGCTCAAATTTTTTAATCAAAATTCATGAGTCCTGATGCTTGGTTCAGTAGGTCCAAGGAAGGTTTGAATTGAAGACTGATTAAAGAAAATAAAAGGCTTATTTGAAGTAATTTTTCAATGACGGCTTTTAATTGGATGTTAAATCAAATTCTTATCTGCCTTTCTGCAGATAGCACATTATATAAAATACAGTTAGCGGCACTACCACTGTAACGGATACACTGAATAACAATTGACTTCTCACTTTACACTGAGAGGGTAGAAGGGCTGTGTTTGTCAGCCTGTCAGAAATTAAGTATGTAAATTAATGCTTAAGTGTATGAATATGAATATGATTTACAAGAGGCTTGGAGTATTGTTGGGGAAAATACTGAGGTTTTTCTTTCCCCTTCAAGGTTAACAAGTACTCAGTGACCTTTACAGACAGCGTGCAGCCATGAGTGTGTTAGTGTGTGTACCCACGTGTGCATTTTGCCAGTGAGCTTGGGCTGGGAGCTTAAATACTCCCGAAGAGCAAATACCGGACTCATTCTCTAATGTCCCTTTCTGCCATCCATGAGTGTCAGCCCATAAAAGCAATTTCATTAGCATTTCCTCATTTTCCAATATAAGCAGTCAGTGTGGTACTAATAATGGGTCCTTATCCATCCTTTGCAGAGGATGGGTATTGTGCCCTGTGGAGGGAAGATGGGCTACCTTGACTGGGGGGCTCAGAGAGCACCCTGGCCAGCATATGTAAGCACTTGAGACCCTATTTGGGAAAAATGGTTGGCATTCCTGAAAAAGTGCTTAACCTTTTGCAGGCCATAGTGGGGACGGGGATGGAACAGATTCATCTTTCACAGCTGACTGAGATGAGGTTGGTTTGCAAGAGTTAATGGAACTTTTGTTAAGTACTGAATTAACTCCCAGGATAGCGTCTGCAGATTGAGGGAATGGAGTTTGCATAGAATGGTTTTCTCACATACATTTTTAATGGTAGATCTTTAGTAGACAGCTCATTAATTTCATGATTCATTACCATGAATAATATCCTTTAGGCTTGGGAAAATTTTCTCCCATTTTTATTCTAATTTTTGGAGGAACTGTAAAAGCTGTGCTTCACAGAATTTAAAAAGGGGAAACCCCAGTACATAGTTTAGTTACAAATACATATTAGTTTCTCTGTTGCCCTAAACAGAATAGCTTCTATGTTGGCTTTCCATGTTTGAATACACACAATATCATCATTTTGCTGATTGAGAATTATTATTTAAACTAGTGAAATTTACGTTGCCTTCCTAAATAGTCTTTTTTTTTTTTTTTTAAGTTTAGAAACAGAGTCTAGCTCCATCACCCAGGCTGGAGTGCAATGACGTGATCATAGCTCACTATAGCATCGGACTCCCGGGCTCAACAGATCCTCCCACTTCAGCCTTCCAAGTAGCTGGGACTTCAGGTGCATGCCAGCATTCCCAGCTTGTCTGTTCCATTGCATATTTTCTTTACCACTTTTAGAGTAAAGTTATTTTAATTGACAAATTCTAAATTGCATTAATAATAATAATACCTACATCTGCTATATATTGAGTGCCTCATTTGGATCAGGCTGGTTACTTGATATTGATGGTTAACAGCAGCTTGTGGTGAGTCCTGTAGCGCCTGAGGAATATTCCAAGGCCATATGGTCAGAAGTGGCCCAGCAGGCATTGCAGCCCCACTTGGATTGACCCCAGACCCTACGTGCTGCACCATAATGTAGCATGCTTCTCTCCGTCAAATCTTCACAGCACTTGCAAGGTAGTTGGCATTAAGCATCTTTTACAGATGATGAAACTGAGGCTCAGGAATGGTAAGTAATCCAGAACACAATTAAGACATTGGTGAGACATTTGAGCAAAAAGTATTTCCATTTCTACCCTTCACCCACTGCCTCCTCCTCACCTTACACCGTGAGCACTTTCTCCACCATGATGCTGAGGGCCTGCACCCTTTATTTATTTATTTATTTATTTATTTATTTATTTTTAAGACAGAGTTTCACTCTTGTTGCCCAGGCTGGAGTGCAATGGTGAAGTCTCGGCTCACTGCAACCTCCGTTCCCCGGGTTCAAGTGATTCTCCTGCCTCAGCCTCCCGAGTAGCTGGGATTACAGGTGCCCGCCATCACACCTGACTAATTTTTTTGTATTTTTAGTAGAGACGGCATTTCACCATGTTGGCCAGGCTGGTCTCGAACTCCTGACCTCAGGTGATTTGCCTGCCTCGGCCTCCCAAAGTGCTTGGATTACAGGCGGAGCCACTGCGCCCAGCCGCCTGCACCCTTAACATTTATTCAGAGACTCCTATGCAGTCGTCTTTTCTGGGACCTCATCTTTGTTGGTTTTATTTTCTGGGGGGAATAGCATTTGACATTTTCCCATCCTTCTTTTGAAGACTCTTGACATTGTATTTTCTTGGCTCTCATCCCGCCTGTCTGTCTGTGATTTGCTGTTTTTCCCTTCCATCCCTCAGCATGAGGTATCATTTCAGTACTTTAACTTTGAGCCTTTTCAGTAATCAGATGTAGTCATTCTCTTATCCAGTCATTTCTTACTGTGCCATCTCTCCCAGACTGCTGTCTCACACTTCTAGCCATGCTCTACTTGTGTCAGATTTGGATTTAAATCTGGATCCTATGCAACCCTGGAAAAGTCAATGAACATTTCTATGTCTCTTCATTTGTAAACTGGGAATAATAATAGTTTTTCATAGTGTTAAATGAAGTGTAATATTTATAGGGTTAAATAGTTCTTGCAAAGATTAAAAAAATGAGATGGTGAAACTGGAGAACTGAGTACAGTGGCTTGCACATAATAAGCAGTCAGCAAATGGTAACTCTTGTTCTTGTTACTAGCATCCACTTTTGGGTCACATGGCACAACTTGCCTTGCATTGTCATTCTTAATGACCATATCTTGTCTCCGTGAGAGACCATGAGCAACTTGAAGCTGTAGATATCCATATATCATTCTGCCTCAATCAAAAGGTATATTCTTGTCTTCTCTTTTGATAACAAGCATTTAGAGTGGTTTATTTTCATTCTGTGAGCTGAGTATAACAATTTATACTTATTTCCAAATTCTCCAGTGTTTGCTGACTATAATTGAAACCACATAAAGATACTCTGTTTAAATCCCATAAGTAATAATTCTGTGCTAACAACATTTTTGAATATTTCAAGGAAATAGCCAGTTTCTCCAGAGAATTGCTAGTATCACCAACATTTTTGGTGAAGTTTCTGTCTTAGTTTGTTTACTTTTGTAGCCAGTTTGAAATGCTAGATGTGGACTGCTGTGGACAGGGTAAAAACCAACAACAAAGTTCTCTAGCTAGTTCATTACCTTCATTATGATGTATGTGAGAGCTAGATTATTCCCTCTATGCAATAGTTGTGTTTTCTAAATTAGGGAGTTGCTTTGGGAATGAGGGGCCTGTGGTACTTCTAGAGCATTCAGGATTTCCAGATTTGTAAACAGTTATGCACAATCTTATGATGCCCTACTCACCATGACAGAGAACATATGGCCAGACTGGCCTTTCTGTAGGAGAAAGCACATTACAGGATAAGAGTGTGCTAAGCAACCTCTAGTAGACAGGGCTTGTTCTCTGGAGAAATCTGCCTATTGTGATTGTGTGGGCATGTCAGTGGACATGAGGAGTTTCTGATTAGAAAGCCCATCTTGTCCTGGGTAGCCAAATAGCAGGTGCTTAAAAAATGGTGGTATTGACAGCCATCACCATTTCTTAACTAGGCCTCATGGATTCTGCCTAGTTAATTTGCCTGCTTTCTCTGACATGATTTATTTGTTCACTCTCCGTGCATGTTGCTTATTTCAACTGGGGTTGCTGTAACAAAGTACCGTAAACTAGAAGGCTTATAAACATTAGGAATTTATTTCTCACAGTTCCAGAGGCTGAGAAGTCCCAGATCACAGTGCCAGCAGATTTGATGTCTAGTGATGTCCTCTTACATTCTTAGTATCTTCTTGCGGCAATCCTCATGTGGCAGAAAATGCAGAAAAGCAAGGCAGCTCTCTGAAGCCTCTTTTATCGGGGTACCAATCCCATTCATGAAGGAGGAGCCCTCATGACCTAATCACCTCCCAAGGGCAACATCTTCTAATACCATAGTATTGAGGGTGAGGATTTCAACATATGAATTTGGGGGAATGTAAACATTCAGACTATAGTACATGTACTATTCCCACTGCCAGGAATACCATCCTATTTTCCCTGCTAATAATCGACTCTACCTTTGACAACAGAGCAAACAAGTTATAATATGAACTTTGTTAGTCATTGTCTTTTATCTGCTGCTGGGCTTTTCACCTACCTTTGTATCCAGTACTTACCAGGATGTCCTGAACCCAGGATGAGCTCTCTTAATGTCTGCAGAAGGAAGGAAGACAAGGGAGGAGAAGTGGGCAATTTAGTCAAACCACTGGGGAATCAAACAACTTGTTAATAATCCCAACTATGGAGTTTGTCCATCTAGTCCTAGCCCTGAATAGCATCCCAATTTTTTAAAAAATGAATTTCAAGTGAGAGAATGTCATGTTCACATTAGTATTGAATGAGCCACAGCACGTCCCTGATTTATTTATGTTGTGTGAAAATTTAAGTAGTGATGTAAGAACATATCACTTTGGGGACATTTGCTGTTTTTTAATTTAACCTTTGTGGCAGCAGAAACCATCTCCTCAATGAAGACCCCTAATGAAAGCTGGCAGAAATTCGTGTTTTTATTTTAACTTCATGGAAGAAAAATAGTATGTTACTTACATAATGTTTCTAATTATAGCTTTTTCGTTATACTATTTTAATTGTCTTCTTAAATGCAATATTTGACATGCTGCCAGGAACTTCTCAATGATTTCTTCATTGAGCAAAGGGTTCTTAGACATCAGCTACGTTTCTTAAAACTGTACACTTTCGCAACATTAAAACTCAATCTTTTCTCCCAGAGTCATGTTGCATCTTATATTCCTCCCTTCCCAGGACACATCATGCCCCTTTGCATAAATATGGAGGGTGAGGTAGGGAGAACTTGAGCAGCCATTTGTAAGGCTCACTTCTTTTTAAGCTTTAAGACCTTGGGGATGTTGTGATGATATAGCTGTTTGTCTGTGGGGGAGGAAATAGGATTAAATGAAATGAAACCATACCAGAATCACTCAACTCCACATTTTTATAGTATGCATAATCTGCTTTTTTTCTGGAAGTCATGAAAGATGTTCTTTATTTCTTGTTTTACAAAAATAGCTGCCTCTGGGTATCGATAATACTAGTTTAAATTCTTCAAAAGAATCCATGAATTGTAACTGCTCTGATAGTTCTGCAGCTATTTTTTAATTTGTATTTTTGCTGAGAAAATTATAAGCTGTGGAGTAAATTTTAAGTGCAATTATATACCCCTGGAGGAAACTCTTGAGGCAGTATCATAAATGGACTTATGAGGCAACCTCCTGATAATATGGGACAGCTGATTCCATAACATATGCATCTGGTCTTACATGCTTTGGCACATTTTCATTTATCTCATTAAATCCATTCTGACACATTTTTCATGTAATAGCTTTTCTGATAACTTCGGTTTGTAAAACATTAATATTGAATCTTTTGGGGGAAGACAGTGATGTCTCTGTTTTAATCTCCTGTAGCTATGATGTGTATCCTGCACTTTACCGAGTGGCAGAAGGCACAGCTTGTCACTGTTAATTGTGACTGGGATATGTTGTTGATGCTAAGACTCTATCCAATGTCCTGAACTGAAAAGTTTTCCGTAGACCACTGACAAAAATAGGCCATGGAGTCTGTGTTCCTTCAGTTTAGTTCTACATTCCATGAAAGCCACTACTACCTGGCCTGTTGCTTAGCCTTTCAGACATCTCTCCCATTCCTTCTGAATACATAATTGGCTCTCAATCTTACTACGTATGTCTAGCTAAGGGGTGCAGAATACAAACTCCAGAGCCTCCCAATATTTAGGCAAATTCTTTTGCACTTGAGGGAGCAAGGCGGTAAGTGGGGGTTTGATCAAGAGCTTCCCATCCAATCAATCATGGCTATGATCAAAAGTAGACCACAAAAGAGGAAGGCATAATGATAAGATTCCAAATCACTGAACCTACTAAAACTATTTTCCAAATCCTATTAGAAGAGCACTAACATACAAAACACATTGATTATACAATAGATGCCATTATGCCACATACAATATGCAATAAACACAAGTAACCATGCTATGTAACACTTTTTATCTCTACTAATCTAATAAGCAAGCTCTAACAAGCATTAATTCAACAGTAAGTACCAATAATTGTGTTAGGCTTCTTAGAATCCTAAGAAACTTTGGAGGATTGATTTGGTTTTCCATGTATTTTTAAAGTCTTTTTTTTTTTCTCTGGGAAACAGGAGCTGATAACTGTTTTCTTCCCGTCAATACATTTCCCTGTAGCAAAGACCATCAGGAAGGCATGAAGAGGGCAGGAAATTTATTTGCTTTGAGGATCCAGAAGCTATCTATGGGCTTCTTCTAGGGATCCAAACATCTGACCTTTCTTAATCTCAACTAATGGAACGAGTCACCTTTCACCTCTTCTTCCTGTGTGGCCCCTCCCACTATTCCTTTTCCCTACACCAGGAGGATAGAGTCCTGTTACAGAATCCATTCAATGTTTGGATGTTGATTATACATTGTTGAAGGAACAATTAACCATTGTTACAAGGGGATGTATAAAGTGCTGAAAAGTGGTGACTTGTGATTAGAGGTGTTCCCCTTCTTTCTTGTTGAGAGACTGTTCAATTCAACTGTACTATTAATGAACACAAGAGGAATAATACACGTAACCCCTGCCCTCCGGAAGCTCATAATCTATTATGAAGACTAAGATAAATATACAAAGGATTACAATGAAATAAATAACAGGACTCTTTCTTATAACATCTTTAAGGATTCTGAATAAGTTGAATGAAGGCATCAACATGCTGATTGAGTTCATGCACTCATAGATGGGCTTTTCATGTTGATTGTAGTGGTGATTACGTTTTGTAACTGTCCTAGCGAGTGTAGGAGTCAAAGAGATAGATTAATATTTGAAACTTCCTGATTGCTTTTCATCTTGGCATCAGGTTATCATTTTACTTGCACTTATACCAGAAACTCCCATGTTCAAACACTTCCTTCCATATTATGTATTTAGCCTTATCTTGATTATGACTGAAGCTGCGTTTGTCACTTTTGTTTTCAAATCATCGTGACGCTGAGACAGTTCAATGCTTTGTCTGTGCTTAATTATGATATTGAGTTACAGAAAAACGTTTCCCTTTTTTTTCCAATTTGCCTTAATCAGGGCCTTAAGTCTGACCTAGCTCTGAGTCATGTTGTATTTGCTCCTCAGCGAAATAGCAAAGCAGTCCCTGTTCAGGTTACACTAAATCACAAAGTGATGCGGGGGCGACAGGTTCTGCAGCAAGTTAGAATCACATGCTGTTAGGTTTTTGCCTGTATGGATCAAATTCTAACAGAAAAATAAGAAAAGGTGGAGGTCACTGCATATGTCCAGATACTCTGAAGTGAAATGACAGCATTAGAGTGACAGTATCTTATTCTTCAGACAAAGGAATTATACAGAATTTCTAATTAGAAAATCAAAAATACTCAAACATTATTTAAATTATCATACGGTAAAATATCCAGTGATTATCTGTTATCTATCTATCTATCTATCCATCTATCTATCTATCTATCCATTCATCCATCTTTCTGCTTCTGTTTACTGAGCCATCATATGAGATGTTTCATAAATTTTGCTTGGAACACCCAAATATCTTCCCTGAAACAAATATGCTGTTGGTCATCTGAGCCCTTTGCTCCTTCAAGGAAAATTAGTGGGGCAGAACAACTGAAGTTGAAACACTGGCTAGTTTTAATGTTTATAATTAGAGATTGTTTACAAGCTTGATGGACTGGACCTGAGCCAGGAAACTATTAAAAGAGGCTGGGCCCACATCATTGTGGAGCAATGTAGGATAGGGGATTCATATAAAATAGGCTTTAGAATATAACAGCCTGCATTCACATTCAGGAACTGTCTCTTTCTAGCTGTAAGGAAGATATTTAACTGCCCTGAGTCTCACTTCCATTATCTGCAAAATGGGAACAATAATAGTGCCTACCTTAGAGGGTTCTTTAGGATCACATGAAATAAACCATGTGAAGTGCTTAGCACAAAAATTGGCTATGCTGTATATGTGCTAACATTTATATAGAGCTGGCTTGGTGTAAGAATGGCACTGGCTAAGATTGGTGGGAGGTAAGAACAGTTAGCAAATTAATACAGTGAGCTTCTCTCCTTGTGCTGTGTACCTTGAACTGGGAATGATCTCATATGAAAGACTTAACTGTGCTTTCCATTTTGCTGGTGAATTATGAGAATTCTGAACTTTATGATTTTGGAATGTGAACATTTCATTTGATAGTGGTGATTTGTGTCCTTTATAATCTGCAAATAATCAACCTATTTATTTGAAATTAAAAAGAAGACAATTCAAGAATTGACTTATTTCCCTCTGACATCTCAGTAGTAGTACATTTGAATCTTCATTCATTCACCATGTCTAACTCACATAAAAACCTGCCCAAGCATGATGAATGAAGGTATAGTTTTGAATTTTAAAAATAAAATATATGAAACAGATGTTTGCAGCAAGCTTCCTCACTTTCTGGATGATTAGATATACATGGTGCTGACTGAATATTTTGTGGGCTCATCTGGCAGCTTAAGCACAAAGTGCATGCTTGCAAGTTAGCAACTAGAATATAAGAAGTTGAGACACATAAATGTAGTAAGTGAATAAAAGTAGAACTTTTGATTTCTCAAGTCATTACATTTGACCTGTTGACCCCTGGTCAGGGTGGGAGTTCATAAATGACAGAGAACAACAACATAACATGAGCACATGGAGTCCAAAAAAAGGGTCAGGTGGGGAACATAATATGAGGAGGGTGAATTTTAAAATCATATTCAATTTAAATTCATTCTGATATATTTAGAAAATGTTCAGTTCTGTAATAATCTTACCTCAAGGTATAACATAGTACTGGCCGCCATGGCCAGGATTGTATTAAAGTTCCATTTGGTATAGACCAGGAGCTTACAAATTACAAATGCTTGTTTTTACAAATAAAGTACTGTCAGCACACAAATATACCCATTCATTTACATATTGTCCATAGTTGCTTTTGCACTGCAAGGGTAGAGTTGAATAGTTGTGACAGAGACCATATAGCCCACAAAGCTGAAAATGTAGTATTTGGTCTTTCGCGGGAAAGTTTGCTGACTGCGATTTTAGAGGAACAAGAAAAAAGTTATCAGATACATATATGCCTATATGTGTGTCTATGTATATGTGTGTACTGTATGTGTGTGTATACCCATATATATAAAAATACAATTTAAAGCACCGTATATACATATTAATTAGAAAATTATAAAGAGTACTATACCATGCTACTAGCATGGTAGTTGGCTCTCAGTAGGTGCCCAGTGAATGAGAGTTATTAGAATTAAAAATAGTCTGCATAAAAAATAACCTAGATTAGATCTTTAAAAAGTGTTTTGGATCAGCAAGGACTATTTTATAAAGAAAGTGAGGAGCAGGAAGACTTGTTCATTTCTGGTAAAATGAGAACTAACCCCAATCTTTACTCTTCTTTGCCAAAATTGAGCACAATCATTGACTTAATAAGACTTAAAAATCCTCAAACCATTTTAAAAATCTATCTTTCACTCTTATTTTTGTTCTTATGCTTTATAATTATTCAAAAAGGTTAAACTCTCATGCATCTCTCTGCTTTATAAGCTGGGAAGAGAACCAGCAATATCAAAAAACAAAAGTTCGTTCTCATAACAACTGTAATTTTGTCAAAACATGCAATGTCCTAAATGCTACCACGGAGCTCATTCGGAGTAAATTCATATATTTAGATGAAGTCAGGTGACATTGATAACTATCTGAGTAATCCATTTTCCATTTGGCCTGCTGTTATTAAAAAGTACATATTTGCATTATTTAGCATGATCCTATGTAGGGCAAAGCCTCACACTGAGCAATCTGGTTGATTCCTGTGTATTGTATTTGAGCAAAAGACCATGTAAGTAGGGGCAGAATGCAAGAAGCAGAGTATGAAGCTCTTGAGAGTAATGTATAGAACAATTTTCTGAGGCCAAATGTTAGCTTGGAAAATTTGAGAGAAGAACTGTCAACGTAAATGTCAGGTTATTTGAAACAACATGATTCTTAAGACACAGAAACACGTTTCTCAAATATTGGATAGCTGTTTTTGTGATTTTGCTTGTTTAGTTTTAAGGTTGGCCCTTTGGCAGACATTTCCTGTAACTTTTTTAAAATAAAAGTGATAGAAGTTGATTGTGGAACATTGGGAAACTGCAGAAATGAATAAAAACTAGAATGAAAATCACCCATAATTTCATGAATAAGCAATAACCACTGTAGATAGCTCGGTGATATCTATGTCTCTATCTGGTTATTTATCTCCCCAAAACAGAATCATAATGAGTATGTGGTTTTCTGTCATGCCTTTTTGAGCATTTTCACTTATCATTAATTTTTAAAACTTGAAGGAAGACCTTCTATAAATATTATAGAACGTGATTACATTTTTGATTTAACATTTCCCCTTTTGTTGAACATTTAGACATTTCCATTCTTTGGTATTGTAAATAGAGCTGCAATAAACAGCATTTTGCATGAATCATTTCATGCATATTTAGCTTTTCTCCCTTAGGATAAAATCCTAGAAGTGGAATGATTGGATCAGAGAGTATGAACATTTTTAAGTCTATTGATACATATTTCCCAACTGTCCTGAGATTCCCAACTGAGCTGGGATTATAGGGGTCCGCCACAATGCCCGACTAATTTTTGTATTTTTAGTAGAGACTGGGTTTCGCCATGTTGGCCAGGCTGGTCTTGAACTCCTGACCTCAGGTGATCCACCCACCCCAGCCTCCCAAACCGCTGGGATTACAGGCATGAGCCACTGCACCCAGCCAAGAATATGTTTTAAGGAGTACCAACAACAGTCCTGAATTTTCGATGCTAAACTCGGCAGTCCTGGGCAGATGAGAACAGTTGGTCATTCTATTTTGCTTTGTGTCGCCTAGACATAGGACTTAAATCCCGGAAATGTCACGACTTTGGGTTTGGAATTTGAGAGAATCTTTACAGAAAGCTGCATTTCTGTGGGAAAGTCACTCGTTTAGTTCACATGATCCTAGAAAATATGTACACAATTATAAACCATTCTACTTTCTCTTAGGTTTTTGTACTAGACTTAACTATGTGCATGACATTCAGGGTTCTGATTTCTTTTGAATTATGAAATAAACATGTTTATACCCAAACAAGAAAGAATGAAGAGTTGTATTTCCCAAGAAATATTGTAGAATGAGTTCAAGGATTATTACTGAGATAAGAAAGGTTGAATGCAGTGTGACAATGAAGGCCCAGTGAATTCAGAGAAGCAAAATGGTTCTGAAAGTGACATTTTCTCACATAGTCCTCTCTGCTGACATTATTGTAACCACTGAATGCACAGTGCAAGCATGGTGTTGATTTTAAATCACAGTCAGAGAAATTGGGGCTGGACACATTTTTCATTATGTTTTGAGGATAGAAGGATCATTATGTTATCCTAGGAATAGTTTTGTTAATGGAAATGCCTCTGATTCTCCCTAGATCTATCATAAATAGATTAAAATAGCTTCAGCAGCATTTATCCTGTGCTTCATTTCACTTCCACGATGTACTGTGATTATGACAATGCCTGAACTGTGTCTGAGAATTGTAAGTTACATTCAGCCTGGAATAAGAAATTATTGTCCCACCAAGTAAATCCAGTAATGCCATCAACTTTTTAGGCACATTGTGAAAGCAATTGTGAATTAATACTTGCTTTGAGCCACAGTAGACAGAGTAGAGAGTGGACAATTCACCTGAAAGAGCTTTTTCACTTTTCTAACAAATGCATCTGCCCAAAAGCCATTTTGACTCTTTTCATAATATTAATGTTTTAAAATTAAAAATAAAACATTGAAACTAAGTCATTTGTGATTTTCTTTGTTCCAATTTACCATAGTTGGAATTTTCATCAGATTGGAAAAATAATTCACGCCCAAGGTAACAGTTACTATGCCAGGTTTAATAACCAAGCTTTGAACCCACCCAAATCAGGATTTAGAATGGAAACAGTGACACACCTCCTGAAAGCTTTAAGCAGCATTGAATGGAGCTGCTTAAAAAGCCAGACTGGAGTTTTCTATGGGCCTTCTTAAAAAGAACTCCAATCCCTGCCTGGTTACAGAAAGCAGTATACAAGACAAATAAGAAATACTACCTTTCTTTCTTCTTTTCTGACAGAATTCACAAAAATTTCCTCAAGCTTTCAACAGTGTCTCTGTCAGTGGCTCCTCAGGAAGAAGGATGGCCTTCAGGCATCATCAAATATTCACAGGGAAGGAGGTTTTTAAGAATTGTAGTGCCAATTGCATGCTCACAGCTGGACTGACTCAATGGGTTATGAGACAATGGAAGGGCAAGTTTTTAGTGATATTGAGGAGAAGCAAAATCAGTGAA
Source organism: Homo sapiens (assembly GCF_000001405.40). Lineage (NCBI taxonomy): Eukaryota > Metazoa > Chordata > Mammalia > Primates > Hominidae > Homo > Homo sapiens. The sequence goes on from NC_000023.11 coordinate 148,760,657, forward strand.
AATAAATTGGAAATTTCCGTTGTGTAAAACAGTGAAGTATGCTGAGGTATAGAAGTGCATGCCTAGAGTTTGTATTGTTCATCTATTTGAACAAGTGCCTTAAGTGAGGCATTGTTGGATAGTTTGTCAATATAATAAATAGTATACACAGCTTTTATTAAAACATGAAGTCATGTCCTTAGAATATAACTAGGTAAGATTTTAACATATTCCTGTGTTAAGCTGACATTCAATGCCAAGTCTAAAAATATTGAACATAAACACCTCTATTTGCCAATAGATTTAAGTGCAACTCTTCTGCATTGGGCTCTTTCCATGTTACCTCATCTATTTATGTGGCCCTAGAAAGAATGTGTGAAGAAAGCAGTCTTACATTTAAGAACACTATTCCTATGTATTCTGACCTCAGTTTCCTTATATGTAAAATGAACTTTATATCTCTACTATTTAATGAATTTGTTGTGACAATCAAGGGTTATGATCAAGGGTAACATTGATCCTGTGTTTCACTTTACTTCCTCAATGTACAAAAATATAGCTGGACGAAAGTATGGGTAGGTATAGCTTTGACCAGAATGGAAATATCTGGCTATTTGGAAACATTGAGAGATTTTTCTTTCTTTTTTTATTGTTTTAAACTACTATTTAGAACTATTATGTAACATTTTACAGATAGAATAGTTGGGGGGAAAAGTCACTGTACTTGTCGCTTAGGCCTGTGGGTGTATATGGGGAGGTCATTTACAAACAATTACTAAAGAGGTAGATGATTTTGATGGCATATCACTCAACTGTCCTCCAGTTTTTTTTGTTTTTTTTTTTTTTTCATAAAAACTTGGCCCATTATTTTGCCAATTGAAAACATTCGCAATCCAGTCTACCTTGATTTTCTGGGTCAACTCCCCATGGCTGATTAGCTCTTTAGACTGCAAACTCATTCATTTGTTTATTCAACGAATGTTTACAGAGTCCTGACTCTATGTCAGGCATGATATCAGGTGCTGGTACTACAGCAGTGAACACAACAGACACCTTCTGTATCCTCATGGAATGTAAGCTGTGTGTCTTTTCTGTTGTGGCTGCCCAAATGCCTAGCATAGTGCCTGTTGCATAGTAGATCTTAGTGAGAGTGAGATTTGCTGATGGGTGACAGATGATAGAGTGAATCAGTATATTATTAAAAAAGTGAGCTACAATAGTTCCCTGCAAGTGTAGACTTTGTAAGCTCCAAACACTATTCTCTGCCAATAATGAACCTCACTATATATATGTGCATGTATATGTGTGTGTGTATGTGTGTATATAGATATAGATATAGATATAGATATAGATATAGATATAGATATAGATATAGATAGATATATATTTTAGGAGAACTGTTGATTATTTTTACGTTTTTAAAATTTCAATAGGTTTTGGGGGAACAAGTGGTGTTTGGTTACATGAATAAATTTTTTAGTGGTGATTTCTGTGATTTTGGTGCACCCATCACCGAGCAGTGTACACTGTACCCAATGTGTAGTCTTTTATCCCTCACCCTCTCCTACCCTTTCCCCTGAGTCCCCAGAGTTCATTGTATCATTCTTATGCCTTTGCATCCTCGTAGCTTAGCTCCCACTTATAAGAGAGAACATACGATGCTTAGTTTTCCATTCCTGAGTTACTTCACTTAGAATAATGGTCTCCAATTCCATCCAGGTAGCTGCGAATGCCATTATTTTGTTCCTTTTTATGGCTGAGTAGTATTCTATGGTATATATATATACACATGCACACATATATATGCTTAGTGATATATATATATTATGTGTGTACATATGTATATGTGTGTGTGTGTGTGTGTGTGTGTGTGTATATAACATTTTCATTATGCATTCATTGATTCATGGCCATTTGAGCTGGTTCCATATTTTTGCAATTCCAAATGATGCTGCTTAAGCTAGATCTGCCATGCATATAACATCTCATTGTGAAGATCCAGGAAAGCAAGTTCCCTCAGATCGCTGAGGATAGTTGACTGATTCTCATTTCGTGTACCCCATGCATCTTATAACTTCTCAGGAGCCCCTCTGTGCTCTGGCTGCTAGGGAACTGACTGCTCTTTGTGACCCACTTGGACTAAATATCCAGGCTCTCTAAGAAAGTACTTGTGCTACTTAATCTTGGCCTGATCTCACCATCCATATTTCTTACAGTTTTAAACATTATTGTATTGTGTTTATATCCACAAACTGCCTGACATCTATTTTGTGACAGAACAGGATTGAACATGTAAAATATAAAAATGCATGTGGCACGAGGTCACTGATCTTACAGCCCAGGCTGACGACACTTTTTCTGAATAGCTAACTTCTAGAACTCTGTGTTTGCTTTGCTGAATTACTGTATATTTTAAAATAAATATACCATGTCCCTTCTCAAAACAACAAATATTGATTTCAAAAATCTTTTTTTAGTTTTGAGAATCTCAATGCATTTTATAGGTTAAAGGTATCTAGACTTGACCATACTTTTCTGCTAAAATTTATCCAGCAGTACTTGACATTGTGTTGAGCACTGATAAAGTATTTAGTGAATTTAATTATACTCCATATTTTACTTCCTGGGCTTTTCCACGGGAGTACAAATCAAAATCAAAATCTTAGTCTCTGAGATATGTGTAGAACATGTTAATCGAGTATTAACCCTCAGGTTGGCTTTCATCTCTGCATCCTAGAACCAGTATTAGTTTTGGGATGCTATATTCCAAACACTTTCTACTTTGAAGGAATGGGAAGAGATTGCTGCAGGGGTAATTTCTTATCTTCCACCTGATTTTTTTTTTTTTAGAGAGAAGTAGGTGATATGGCATGGTGACTCTAGTTATTAACAATGTGTTGTATACTTGAAAATTGCTAAGAGACATTGTAAGTGTTCTCACCACAAATAACTAATACGTATGTGAGATAATACGAAAAAATGAAAGAAAGAATAGAAAGGTAGGTGGAACATAAAAGAACAACAGCCAACATTGAGGAATATAGAAATCCACCTGATTATTTTTATGAAGTGGCACAGTAGAAAATTAGTAAGATAAATTGAGGATGAATGCAAGGATGCTCCAGTTCTGGACCTCCAGAAGGACAGCTTTGAATCTCAACTGATTTTTATTTCTACCACTGTTTCTATATTGGTGCCAGTCGGAAGCATAGCATGCAAGGTGTCACCCAATAAATGAATTTGGCCAGGGAATAAACTAACAACGATAACGTTTTCCTGGAAGCTAAGGGAGTAATTAGAGCAATGACTTTTAGAGACTTCATTTCAGAAAAGTTCATGCTTTAATATTCAAATAATTACATTAATCTGTAGATTAGTCAGCTGAAATATTAAATTTTTTGGCACAAGCTTAATGAAAATTGTCATAATGGTGCCAAAAAGAAATCTTATGGCTGCCTTTTAAATACCAAAGAAATTCTCCATTGTTGTGATAAAATACAGATGTGGCATAGAAAGAACTTGCATGGTGAGCAGAAATAGAATATATAATTAGAACAAAGAGGGCTTAAATCAAATTAATCTTCATCTGACAGGAACAGTTACATTTACATCATTGAGTGCAAAGTCATAGCCAAAATTGAAATTAGAAACAGATAATTATGATAAGAGAGGACACTTATGCTGACTTTTCTCATGCATAATTGGAGAGCATACAAAATGCAATGCTGGTTCTAATTAGAATTAGCATTAAAAGATGCCAGTTTTGATGAATTCTGGGTTTTGCCATAAAATAAGTTGTCTAAATAATTGAACTATGGACATGCAAATTTGTTTGCCTGTTTGTTGTTTGTTCAAGATACAACTTTAATAGTATCAGTGATATGAATGCTGTTAATTTCTTTTGTCAATGTCATATTGTAATTTTGTTGGCTTTGTTTTATTTCTATTTTTCTTGAGAATCTGATTTAATTCTTAAAAGTCCATCATTCATTTCTGTCTGCAAAGTCTCTTTTCGTACGTGTACTTACATATACACATGCCTTATAAAAATACAGAGTTTAATTGTTCACTTGGCATGTATGAAAAGAGTGTGTATGACAGTTTCAGAAATGCAGATGTCTAAAGACTCTGTGATACAATCCTGCTTTTTTCACCTTGGAGTTCAAATGTGCTATTTCTGAATGGTTGTACTCAAAGGGAAAATGCGCATCCCATTGACAAATTCTTTTTGAAATATTTCTTCCCGAATTATTTACTAGAATCAACCCCTTGACTGGGGGACTTTTCCAACAATCCTAGCAGTTGAGAAAAGCAGGGGCAGGTGTTGGCCATCATCTTGGGGCTTCATTAATTCATGGTAGGTGCTTCACAACTCTGTAGTCTTTGCTTTTCTTTCATTGTTGTCATTTTTAAAAACTTTTATTTATAGAGATGGGCTTTCGCTATAGAGTTGTTGCCCAGGCTGGCCAACAACTCCTGGGCCCGAGCGATCCTCACGCCTCGACCTCCCAAAGTGCTGGGATTACAGGCATGAGCCACCATGCCCGGCCAATCTTAGCTTTTCTTTACCTCTTGTTCTGTTACTCTTTTCTTATTTTCTTTTTTCTTCTTCCCTTTTCCTTCTCCAAGGTGAAGCTTCCAGTCTCTTCAGTAGTAGTAGTGGGTTTGGCTGTTTAACTAAATCTCCAGGGGCTCTTGGGAGCAATTTCATTCTTTTCCATTAAATTCATTCTGTCATACAATGATGCATATTATTGTAGATTGTGAAACTCCTAATTTCATTTTTCTTGGAACTGCATGAGTTTCTGTCAGGAGAAGTGGACCCAGACCAACCAATGAAAATGCATTTCAAAGCTCCTTAATTCTTGATTTTGGATAAAGAGTTTTTCTCTGCATAAACAAAATAGATCTTAGTTGTATAGCATACAGCGTTTCTGGCTAGGGTAACATTGAATGCCTTTCCACCTAGGGCTCTTTAAAACCCTGTGAAGGATTAGATTAAAACCTTGTGAAGGTTGTAGATTTCCTTCCTAAGAAAGTCTTTATTTATTTATTTATTTATTTTTATTTTATTTATTGTTATTATACTTTAAGTTTTAGGGTACATGTGCACAATGTGCAGGTTAGTTACATATGTATACATGTGCCATGCTGGTGTGCTGCACTCACTAACTCGTCATCTAGCATTAGGTATATCTCCCAATGCTATCCCTCCCCCCTCCCCCCACCCCACAACAGTCCCCAGAGTGTGATGTTCCCCTTCCTGTGTCCATGTGTTCTCATTGTTCAATTCCCACCTATGAGTGAGAAGATGTGGTGTTTGGTTTTTTGTTCTTGAGATAGTTTACTGAGAATGATGATTTCCAATTTCATCCATGTCTCTACAAAGGACATGAACTCATCATTTTTTATGGCTGCGTAGTATTCCATGGTATATATGTGCCACATTTTCTTAATTCAGTCTATCATTGTTTGACATTTGGGTTGGTTCCAAGTCTTTGCTATTGTGAATAGTGCCGCCATAAACATATGTGTGCATGTGTCTTTATAGCAGCATGATTTATAGTCCTTTGGGTATATACCCAGTAATGGAATGGCTGGGTCAAATGGTATTTCTAGTTCTAGATCCCTGAGGAATCGCCACACTGACTTCCACAATGGTTGAACTAGTTTACAGTCCCACCAACAATGTAAAAGTGTTCCTATTTCTCCACATCGTCTCCAGCACCTGTTGTTTCCTGACTTTTTAATGATCGCCATTCTAACTGGTGTGAGATGGTATCTCATAGTGGTTTTGATTTGCATTTCTCTGATGGCCAGTGATGATGAGCATTTTTTCATGTATTTTTTGGCTGCATAAATGTCTTCTTTTGAGAAGTGTCTGTTCATGTCCTTCGCCCACTTTTTGATGGGGTTGTTTGTTTTTTTCTTGTAAATTTGTTTGAGTTCATTGTAGATTCTGGTTATTAGCCCTTTGTCAGATGAGTAGGTTGCAAAAATTTTCTCCCATTTTGTAGGTTGCCTGTTCACTCTGATGGTAGTTTCTTTTGCTGTGCAGAAGCTCTTTAGTTTAATTAGATCCCATTTGAACGTCTTTATAAGCAAGGAGGATTCTGATCCATCAAGGATTATTTAGAGTGATGCTGCCTGAGGTTTCTCCAATTCTATGACCCTGATCATTGTCAGATTTCTTGTTGATTTAGTGTTCTCTCAAAATTTCCCAGTACTCAGAAGTGCCAAAAGAAACATCAAAGTGTGGATTCTCTCTTGAATCTTGGTTGTAGTATCTTTCCTTAGCTTTCACATTTTTCTTTGAATTGTATTTTTATTTGTTTGGTTCATTTTGGTCTAAGGGCTGGGGTAAAGGGCAAAGGAGAAAGTCATTTCATTTTAGGGACCACAGTAGAATGATACTTGAAATGCCATTTTAATATAACTTCTCAGATAACTGTTTTGTACAGGTAAAACAGTTGTTGCCAGGATGAATTATATAAATGATTCATTTATTGTATATTATGTTAAATAAAAGTAACATGGAAGAGGGAAAGGATTTTAAACATCCAAATAAAAATAATAATTTATCATAAGAAGCTCCAGTTTTTATTGTTAATGTGGTTGGATGATGTATGTTAAATAATTGTTGATTAAAAGGTAGTTGTAAAAGCTAAACATTAATAACTTAAATAACAGGATTTTAGTTGAGAAGATGATGTCATGGAAGAGAGTGTGATTGTGATGCAACAAGTGGCATCAATGTGACCATGTCAGGAAGATTTTTGTTTCTAAAACGCAAACAAAGCATTTCAAATGATAGACTCAAAAGAGCACTTTCAATTGAGATATTTAGTCATATAGGCTGATTTGCTTCAACCTGAATGCAAAGTTTCTCAGGGAATTTGCCCCTGAAAGCCACTAGCAACCTAAAGCTCAGTCTTAAGACAGAAAGGCATCCTAAACCCTGTGATTTCATAATATCCTTGTAACCACATGCTGAAAAACTAATTTGCTAAGAACTTAAAAGGGTTGACAAACAAATTACAGCCATCTTGATAGGGGGTGATTATTGGCATTACCAACTCAGTTGGGTATTCTTAATGAAATAAGACAGCTTTATTTTCACAACTTGCCTTGAAATGTAGGTGAAGGATATTTAATGCTTTTAAATTAGCAATATTATGTAGTTACATAGCACTTCACATTTGCACATATTATTGAAGTCAACTCTATTTCTTTTTCCTTCAAAGACTTCTGGGAAGTACGTCAGGATAACCAGGCCCATTGTATGGAAGGCATAATTGTAACATGTGCTCTATCTGATGAGCCTTGCCTATGTAATCTGAACTCTTACATACTATGGCCATCCGCCCTGGGAGGCTGACTGGTGCCTACTGCCGCCTTATGCCTCCTCCATGCTGTCACTTCTGCTTGGAATACTTGACTGTTTCCACTTACTTCCTCTGCCTGGTGAACTTTTATTCATCCTACGAGAGACTGATCAAATTTGTCTCTCTTCTGAAGTTTGTTCTGCCCCTTTTCAGCCCTTTTCTGAACCCCTCAATCACCCTCACCCCCAAATCCAGCAGTTAGTCCTTCCCTTTCCTAGTTCAAACTCCCTCTGTTCTGTTCTTATGGCTACTATGGCATCTATCACGCTGTAATATAGTGATCTCGTCACATATGCTTCCTGCACTTGGCTGGCCTGGGACATGTGTCCAGGTTACCTGCAAATGTCTCCTCTCCTGAAGAAGAAAACTAAGAGTCCTTAATTAAATGCAGTTCACACCTCCTTGACGTCACTTCCAGGCCTTCAGACGTGAAGCCTGCTGTTAACTACTCCTGCTGTTCTTGCTGACAATTTTATGGAGGATCTTTAAGGGCTTTCACACTGGGCCAAAAATGTGTGCATATGCATACACACACACACACACACCCATAAACACACATATTTGCAAGTTAATGTGATCTGCAAGACCTTTCAGTTTGAGAAGAATAATAGCTTTGGCTATAGAGAAGCTATTCCCATAGCTATCACATAGAGAATAAATTAAAATTACCTTCTAAGGCACAGATTAGGGAGGGAAAACAGCATTTTGGGATCATTCACCAAAAGGTCTTTGCTGTGGCAGAAAGTTATGAGGACATGTTTTTGTTCATTGTTTTTCTCATTTGTTGTACAACTGGCCATTAAATTGCAGGTGGTTCCTCCCAGCCGACAGTCCCATCTGTGTCCTGGATGGTGGCAAGTTTGTGATGGTTCAAGATCAAGTTCAAGATTCAGATCAAGAATCAGATCTTGCCAAAATGTCACTTCTTTTTTATTTCAACTTTTCTCATTTAATTCCTTTGAAGTAGATGTTATTCTTTCTCATTTAAAGGTGACAAAATTGAGACTTTGAAGGGACAAGGAGCTTGACATGTGTACAGCTAGAGTTTTATGCCCATTGGACTGAGCCTTGAAACTGTGCAACCTCTCATTTCTTTCCACAGAATGGAGCAGGGACCCTGCTTGAAGAAAACTTGGTAGATGAAAAATGATATTATAAGACAAGTACATTAGAATTTTTATTTTTAAAAGGCTTACTATAGAAGTCTTTACAATTTGGACTTGCTTTGTGGAAGGCAAGATGTGCCTTCCTTCTGAAGAGGTTCCATTGAATACATTGGGTAAAAGGCAGCTATAGTGTCATGAAGGCTGCCAGCAGGCATGGAGTGTGAGTGGTTTTCATGAGTGTGAGTGGTTTTCATGAATAGCAAGAATACAAACCTGTAACAGAAGAAACTAAGGTAACAGGGTAACAGGCAGCAGGGACAATGATGTATTTTTGTTCCCTATCGATAAACTGTTGAACACTTTTACAATACACTGTTCTTTATGTTCCTCAGAATGTGTCACTGGGAAGCTCAGTTAGAAATGTAGAGCCATTTCTTAGTACATAATGGACTAAGACCTCAGTCTTGCCCCTCCATCCTCAACTTGGCTCCTGTTTCGCTCTGGGGTCTTTAGTTTCAATGAGAATCCAGAACAGACGTTCTGAATGTTTTGGGAGAGAGCCAGAGCCGCTGGAGTAGTATGGAAAATGATGCTTCTCAGACTCAGGACTCTAAATTAATAGAACAGATTCCAAACCCAGACCCCTTCTCCTTAACTTGATATTATATTTCAGACTGACTCCCAGGAAGAATCCCCAGATTTCTAGCTGCTGAAATGGGCAGTTACAGACAAAGAAGTGCATTTTGCAAACCAATAAAAATGGTTCCATAGCATTCTGATCTCTGCTGCTGGGGGCAGAGCTTTCCATGGAAAGGTATGCCGTCTTTAGAAGTCCAGTTATCAGCAATTTCACAGGGGCCAATTCAAAGCCTTTCCAGATTATTCAGTCTTCCATCCATCTGACATACATTTGCTGAGTGCCTACTATATGCGAGTACTGTGCTAAACATCAGTGATGATGTGTGATGGGGGAAAAACTGCAAAGGACAAACATTTATCATGATTGGATTAGACACTGCCTTGGTGTGGCTTGCAGATTAGGAGAGAAAATCATGCGTGTGGCATGATATTCACACAAGCATCTATAGCTCAAGGTAGAAACTGCTAGGAGAGGTGTAGATTAACTCCAGCCAGTGTTGCTGGGGATGGCTTCAGAAGCAGAAGATTATATTTGAGAAAAATCAGCAGCTCATTCTATACGTGGACATCCTGAATTTGAAAACTGATATTTTCTTATATCAAATGACACAAATAAAATTGTTACTCCTAGATACACTTTAATCCTGTTTGGCAGGGTCCCACACACTTGAAATATCAGTGGGATTTGTAATTGTAAAGTTGGGGGTATCATTCCAAGAGCAGGAGGTACTACAAATGGAGGAACTGTTAATAAAAACATGGACAAAGAGGTAGAAACTTGTGCAAATTTAAATCACATAATAAGTGATATTGTACAGCAGTCCATAATCTATTGATAAGTGGGAGGGATTTTCCTGGCTCCTGTCGTCTGGAAGGGCCTCACACAAGTCTTCAATAGAACATATGAAGAGCTGGGAGAAAGCCTCTCACTCCTTTGTGAGGATGGTAAAACATGTTTTAATGCAGATACTTCCTTGATCTGCTTATGATGACCTTTCTGTTGCTGAAATTATTTGCAGCTTAATATGGTGTAAATGTATTTCACTGCAGGAGTATTGGTGCAGAAAAGAGTTAACATTGCAGTACTGAAACTGTAGTTTCCTGAAGCGCCTGCTTACAAGATTGGCCTGTGGCTGGCCTCTGGGAATATGGCTTTGAAAATGTTCCCTAACGGAAAAAATGTGGCTCACTGTGCCTCAATTGTTTGTACAAATGTTGTGATTCATGCTGAATACCTGCTTTCTTTCACAGGATCTGGAATTTTTGTACATGCTGGGCAGAAGGTGCCTATGTGGCTAGTCCCAAATGAAAAGATTCAGTGCTAATTCTATAATGCGCTTCCATGAGCAGAACTTCTCATGAGATGGAGAGAACACAAGGAAGCCCGCATATGGATTCCTCCAGACTCTGCCTATTTCTTTTTTCCTTATTTTCCTATCATAAGCCTTAGTCGTGAGTGAACTATATGTTGAATTCCATGGGTGTTCCTAGTGATTCTCCAAATGTGTGGGTGGTCTTATGGACCCTGCCAAACATAATTAAAGTGTATCTAGGAGTAACTATCTTCTTTGTGTTATTTGAGAGAAGAAAATACCAGTTTTCAAATTCAGGATGTCCAATTATAGAATGTGCAGCTGATTTTTCACAAACAGAATCAAGACCTGCATTTCCTCCTTACATTCATTTTCTCCTTCTCTTTTCCATGTGTAATTGCAAGAGAATGGCCCCTGATTTTTATATTGAACTGCCTAGTAATGAGCATTCCTCCAACACACTGAATTCTCAGAAAAGAAGCCCTTTCAGGCTTGTGACCATCTTGTCTCTGTTGTGATTGGCAGTAATCCAAGTAAAGACAGTAGTAAATATGTTTTCTCCTCTCACACCAGGTGATCCTCAGTGAATCTGATTGTTGACTCATTTGCTCTCTCACTGTAACAGATGTTGCTTTTGGAGATGGAAATCAATGTTACAAAGTATTAACAAGGGGAGAACTTACAAGAAAGTGAACCTAAATGATTCTTTGCTGATTTAATACAGCCTGATCTTGGCCTGTTATGTCAGATTTTGCAAACAGATTTTAAAGGGTGTAATTTTAAGTAGGAAATTAGTTCTGTGACGTGTATATATGCATCCCAGATAGCCAAGAGTAGTGAAAGTAGGAAGACGAGACCCCAGTTTGAAATGTAAAGACAGATGGAAAGTTTACTTGAAAAAGAAACCTGCAAGATTCATGCAAGACTGGATGTAGGCAGGAGACTATTGGCCCTACAAATGTGTTTTTTGACCCATAATAGGTTACAGCCTGATTTAATAGGTCACATTTCACTGCCTTTATGGGCATCCTTACATCTTCTTTTCAGGGTAATTATCTCAACACACATCTGATGTGGCAAGGTAATTGACTCTTGCTTTTGTACAGTTATAGGTTAATGAACCAGACTGACTTTTTTAGACCAAATCACTCGTTTTGTTTCTGAAATGAAATAGAAATGTATTTAGAAGGCAATGTTTGATACATTAAAAATTCTCAGATGGCTGACAACTTTGATTTCTCATCCTTTATGCATCACAGTGTGTAGCCATGAAGAAAGGATTATAGAGGCATCTGAAAGCAGCTTGGATGTTTGAAATTTAGAATCCAAGAGGAAAGAATGGCAAAATGATGCTTTTGATGAGTTTAACGTTGGCTGTATAGAACACCATGTGATTATTATAGAAGAGTGGCTTACATTTTCAAAGTTGTTTTTTTTTCTTTCTTTTTTTTCTTTCTTTCTTTCTTTTTTTTTTTTTTTGACCAGAGCCCCCTATGATTTTCAGGTATAATATGTGGTTACTTTAAATTTTCAGTTAAAGTTCTTTCCAAAAGTCTGTTTCAGATGCAATTTGTTTGTCCTCTGATGAAGCTGCATAAATATTTCTTTATTAATAATTTCTAAGTGGAGGCAGTAAAGATATTGAAACTTAGAATTGAGATTGAGAAAACAAATGCCTTATCATTTATTTTACATTGTCATGGAGTTAGCCCTATGGAATCACCAACAAAAAATGAGCAGCAAATAATAACTAATAATTCAACCATTGATAAAGAAGCAACTCATTATGTATAGCATAATCATTTTTGTTTAAAAAATGCTTGAATAACATAGACACAGAGAGGGGAACAACACACACCAGGACCTGTTGGGAGAGGGAACTTAGAGGTCAGGTGCAGCAAACCACCATGGCACAAATATACCTGTGTAACAAATCTGCACGTGCTGCATATGTATCCCATGTTTTTAGGAGAAATGAAGAAAAAATAAAAATAAAGATAAAAAAGAAAGTAAAAAAATAAAACAAAAAATATATTGCATTTGATTAACAGAAAGAAAAACACTTGAATATATAAAAAATACTAGAAGACCATACACCAAGATGTTAAATCTAGTAATTTCTAAGTGAAGAAGCCATGGATTCTTCTTTTAAAATATATTTCCTGAATCATATTTAGATATCATGCAATTTTTGTTATAAGATGAAAGAAAATATATGTATCTCTTTTAAAAAGTAATAATTAGTGCAGGGAGGTCTGAAAATAATAGTGACTATATATTTCATTGTGGTTACATCTTTTTCCCCAAATCTTCATGAGAAGAAAGTAATCCTCCAAAGAATTCTGTTTCCAGCTCTTATTAACTAGCCTCTTAAAACCAGTTGAGGGCCAGGGCAATTTAACAAGCATTTGTGAAGAGGGTAGCCTCCTGAGTAGTAAATGAGATTCATCTTGGAAATATGCAAAATTTGGGAGAGAATTAATCAGAGTGACAAATGCAAACGATGAGTATGCTATAGAGATGTAAAGCTGCTGTTCAAAAAGGAAGGAAGGAAGGAAGGAAAGGAGGGAGGGAGGAAGGAAGGAAGGAAAGAAGGAAGGAAGGAAGGAAAGAAAGAAAGAAAGAAAGAAAGAAAGAAAGAAAGAAAGAAAGAAAGAAAGAAAGAAAGAGAAAGAAAGAAGGAAAGAAAGAAAGAAAACATTGTCAAAGGTTTAGTGGTAGAATTAGCTCTCATTTCAGGAGCCCTTAAAGCTGGGAAGAAGAGGATTCCAAATGTGCAGGAAACTGGGTCTCTTATAGAAGATCTGAGCTACAAGTTGTTCATTTTGCAAAATGTCAGAATCTAGGAGAAGTGTGACCACCATGCTCCAATAAGTTATTTCATAGACATTCTTAAGCTTTTTGGAGAACACCACCATTTCCAAGAATTTCCTCTGAATGAAGAATTAGGGCTCATCTTGAGTTATTACAAGTATAACTAGCAGCACATACTCATCAGAAATGCCAAGTCAGGGTGACTGCCTAGATCCTATAATTTTAAACTCACTTGCCATTATTAGTTTACATGCCAACTTTTCCCAAAAATGAATCAGGTCAGCCACAAAGTTAAAATAATGTCAGCAAAAACAATTCAAACAATTCAAGTAAATGATTAAAGATTTATAAAAAATTATTTAGCGCAAGAGGAAAGAGACATACCAGGAACCTCACATACAATCACCATCCAAAGTTGAGTACTTAATTTAGCACTGGTAATCTTTTTAGCATGAGATAGATGTCATATCCTCCTTGTATGAGCACAGACTGACGTGGAAGAAAACAAGAGTTCGGAAAGATTTGTCTAACACCCTATAGATTCATACTGGTTTCCTGTGCTTGATGAGCACTTTAATAATTTTATCTCTTCCTCTCCTTTTCCCTCTTCCTTTCCACTCTGCTGAATTCATATTCTACATTCCTCTCTTATTTATCAGCCTCTCTGTGTGTTTCCCCGGAGATATACATAATTTCACTCCTGCTATTCTAACACACATGGCCGCTGCTCTAAAAAAAATTCCTAATAGCAACCTGTGCAATTCTTCCAGAATACTCACTCTCTCCGTCTTACTTATATTTTTGTGAATATGTTGGTTTTGCTTGGGGAAAATTTTGTTTCTTTGGGCTCAGATCAGTACGTAGGGACTGCAGTTTATAGCTAACTGGACAGGCTGTTCTCTGTAAAACAGTAGCCCAATGCTGTGCTTATTCTTTGGTCAAATGGCAGAAAAGATTAAAAACAATGATTGTTTTATCATGTAATGAACTTATGGGATCTTTTGAGTGATTAAAATGAGTGAGGTGGACTTTATTGGACTTGAACCGGCAGAGTAATTTTTATTAATTGTGTAGTTAAGCTCTTTTGCTTGATTATTTGTAATTATGCATAACCAACACATCCTTATTTTGAATGTTTATTCATGCAAATGGATACACCTTTAGTGAAAAGCTCTACAAAGTAGTATAGCCCTCTTTCTTCATTTAGATACGTTTGATAATCAGGGGATATATTTGTTATAAAAATTGATTAGGTGGCCAGCAAAGAGTCTTATATCTATCTTGGTTTATAACTTTTTACCTATAAGTTCTGTGTAATATGCATGTTTTACCTATAAGTTCTGTATAATATGCATGTTCTACTCTGGTATCTGAAAATAGCTTATAAAATTAGAACTATCGAAACAGACAAGCTGGAATAATAATGACCTGTGTGCTGGCATGCACTTTGCCTTCTTTGACAGCACTTGGTAAGTGCTATATAAATGTTAGCATTTATTGTTTTTACTTAAACTTTTCACATTAAATCTGTGAGGTAGGCATGGTTAGCCCCATTTGCCAGTGAAGCAAAGTGAGGACCAAGGTTATATAGTTTCTCTATGGCAAGTGTAACAAATTACCAAAAACTGGGTAACTTAAAATAACAGAAATTTGTCACCTCCTAGTTTTGAAGGTTAGAAGTCCAAAATCAAGGTGACTGTGGAACTTTCCAGAAGCTTTTGGAGAGAATCTTTCCTTGCCTCTTTTAGCTTCTGGTAGCTGCTGGCAGTCTTTGGCTTGTGGCCTCATTGCTCCAATCTGTGCCTCTATCTTCACATCGATTTCGTCTCTGTATGTTTTGTGTGTCTTCTATTCTTCTCCTTGTGTCTGTCCCCAAACTCCCTCTGCCTCTCTCTTATAAGGATATGGGTGATTATATTTAGGGTCTACCAGATAACTCAGGATAAATGCATCCTCTCAAGATCCTTAACTTTTTTTTTTCATGTACTTTAAGTTCTGGGATACATGTGCAGAACATGCAGGTTTGTCACATAGGTATACATGTGCCATGGTGGTTTGCTGCACCCATCAACCTGTCATTTACATTAGGTATTTCTCCTGATGCTCTCCCTCCCCTTGCCCCCCACACCCCAACAGGCCTGAGTGTGTGATGGCCCCCTCCCTGTGTCCATGTGTTCTCGTTGTTCAACTCCCACTTATGAGTGAGAACATGCAGTGTTTGGTTTTCTCTTCCTTTGTTAGTTTGCTGAGAATGATGGTTTCCAGCTTCATCCATGTCCCTGCAAAGGACATGAACTCATTCATTTTTATGGCTGCATAGTATTCCATGGTGTATATGTACCACATTTTCTTTATCCAATCTAACATTAATGGGCATTTGGGCTGGTTCCAAGTCTTTCCTATTGTGAATAGTGCTGCAATAAACATATGTGTGTATGTGTCATTATAGTAGAATGATTTATAATCCTTTGGGTATATACCCAGTAATGGGATTGCTGGGTCAAATGGTATTTCTGGTTCTAGATCCTTGAGGAATCGCCACACTGTCTTCCACAATGGTTGAACTAATTTACACACCCACCAACAGTGTAAAAGCATTCCTATTTCTCCACACTCTCTCCAGCATCTGTTGTTTCCTTACTTTTTAATGATTGCCATTCTAACTGGTGTGAGATGGTATCTCATTGTGGTTTTGATTTGCATTTCTCTAATGATCAGTGATGATTAGCTTTTTTTCATGTTTGTTGGCTGCATAAAGGTCTTCTTCTGAAAAGTGTCTGTTCCTATACTTCGCCCACTTTTTGATGGGGTTGTTTTTTTTTCTCAAAACTTGTTTAAGTTCCTTGTAGATTCTGGATATTAGCCCTTTGTCAGATGGATAGATTGCAAAATATTTCTCTCATTCTGTAGGTTGCCTGTTCACTCTGATGATAGTTTCTTGTGCTGTGCAGAAGCTTTTTAGTTGAATTAGATCCCATTTGTCAATTTTGGCTTCTGTTGCCATTGCTTTTGGTGTTTTAGTCATAAAGTCTTTGCCCATGCCTCTGTCCTGAATGGTATTGCCTAGGTTTTCTTCTAGGGTTTTTACGGTTTTAGTTCTTATATTTCAATCTTTAATCCATCTTGAGTTGATTTTTGTATACAGTTTAAGGAAGGGGGACCAGTTTCAGTTTTCTGCATATGGCTAGCCAGTTTTCCCAACACCATTTATTAAATAGGGAATCCTTTCCCCATTGCTTGTTTTTCTCATGTTTGTCAAAGTTCAGATGGTTGTAGATGTGTGGTGTTATTTCTGAGGCCTCTATTCTGTTCCATTGGTTATATATCTGTTTTGGTACCAGTACCATGCTGTTTTAGTTACTGTAGCCTTGTAGTATAGTTTGAAGTCAGGTAGTGTGATGCCTCCAGCTTTGTTCCTTTTGCTTAGGATTGTCTTGGCTATACGGGCTCTTTTTTGGTTCCATATGAAATTTAAAGTAGTTTTTTCTAATTCTGTGAAGAAAGTCAATGGTAGCTTGATGGGAATAGCATTGAATCTATAAATTACTTTGGGCAGTATGGCCATTTTCAGGATATTAATTCTTCCTATCCATGAGCATGGAATATTTTTCCATTTGTGTCCTCTCTTATTTCTTTGAGCAGTGGTTTATAGTTCTCCTTGAGTAGGTCCTTCACATCCCTTGTAAGTTGTATTCCTAGGTATTTTATTCTTTTTGTAGAATTGTGAATGGGAATTCACTCATGATTTGGCTCTCTGTTTGTCGATTATTGATGTATAGAAATGCTTGTGATTTTCACACATCGATTTTGTATCCTGAGACTTTGTTGAAGTTGCTTATCAACTTAAGAAGATTTTGGGCTGAGATGATAGGGTTTTCTAAATATGAAGCCATGTCATTTGCAAACAGAGATAATTTGACTTCCTCTCTTCCTATTTGGATACACTTTATTTCTTTCTCTTGCCTGATTGCCCTGGCCAGAAATTCCAACACTATGTTGAATAGGAGTGGTGAGAGAGGGCATCCTTGTCTTGTGCCAATTTTCAAAGGGAATGCTTCCAGCTTTTGCCCATTCAGTATGATATTGTCTGTGGTTTTGTCATAAATAGCTCTTATTATCTTGAGGTATGTTCCATTAATACCTAGTTTATTGAGTGTTTTTAGCATGAAGCAGTGTTGAATTTTATCAAAGGCCTTTTCTGCATCTATGGAGATAACCATGTGGTTTTTGTCATTGGTTCTGTTTATGTGATGGATCCTGTTTATTGTTTTGCGTGTGTTGAACTAGCCTTGCATCCCAGGGATGAAGCCGACTTGATCGTGGTGGATAAGCTTTTTGATGTGCTGCTGGATTCGGTTTGCCAGCATTTTATTGAGGATTTTTGCATCGATGTTCGTGAGGGATATTGGCCTGAAATTTTCTTTTTTTGTTGTGTCTCTGCCAGGTTTTTGAATCAGGATGATGACGGTGTCATAGAATGAGTTAGGGAGGAGTCCTTTTTTTTCTGTTGTTTGGAATGATTTCAGAAGGAATGGTACCAGCTCCTCTTTGTACCTCTGGTGGAATTGGGCTGTGAATCTGTCTGGTCCTGGGCTTTTTATTTTTTAATTTTTTGGTTGGTAGTCTATTAATTACTGTCTCAATTTCAGAATTTGTTATTGGTCTATTCAGGGATTCAGTTTCTTCCTGGTTTATGTGTCCAGGAACTTATTCATTTCTTCTAGATTTTCTAGTTTATTTGCGTAGAGGGTTTTATAGTATTCTCTGATGATAGTTTTTATTTCAGTGGGATCAGTGGTGATCTCCCCTTTATCGTTTTTTATTGTGTTGATTTGATTCTTCTCTCTTTTCTTCTTTATTAGTCTGGCTAGTGATCTATCTATTTTGTTAATCTTTTCAAAAAACCAGCTCCTGAATTCATTTATTTTTTTGAAGGGTTTTTCGTGTCTCTATCTCTTTCAATTCTGCTCTGATCTTAGTTATTTCTTGTCTTCTGCTAGCTTTTGAATTTGTTTGCTCTTGCCTCTCTAGTTTTTTTAATTGTGATGTCAATTTTAGATCTTCCTCACTTTCTCCTGTGGGCATTTAGTGCTATAAATTTCCCTCTAAACACTGCTTTAGCTGTGTCCCAGAGATTCTGGTACATTGTGTCTTTGTTCTCATTGGTTTCAAAAAACTTACTTATTTCTGCCTTGATATTGTTATTTACCCAGTCATCATTCAGGAGCAGGTTGTTCAGTTTCCATGTAGTTGTGCGGTTTTCAGTGAGTTTCTTAATCCTGAGTTCTAATTTGATTGCACTGTGGTCTGAGAGTCTGTTTGTTATGATTTTCATTCTTTTGCATTTGCTGAGGAGTGTTTTACTTCTATTTATGTGGTCGATTTTAGAATAAGTGCTTTGTGGTGCTGACAAAAATGTATGTTCTGTTGATTTGAGGTAGAGAGTTCTGTAGATGTCAATTAGGTCCACTTGGTCCAGAGTTGAGTTTAAGTCCTGAATATCCTTGTTAATTCTCTGTCTCATTGATCTGTCTAATATTGACAGTGGGGTGTTAAAGCGTCCCACTATTATTGTGTGGGAGTCTAAGTCTCTTTGTAGGTCTCTAAGAACTTGCTTTATGAATCTGGGTGCTCCTGTATTGGGTGCATATATATTTAGGATAGTTAGCTCTTCTTGTTGCATTTTTTTTGCTTTCAATTTGCTTGATAAATATTCCTTCATCCCTTTATTTTGAGCCTATGTGTGTCTTTGCACGTGAGATGGGCCTCCTGAATACAGCACACCAATGCGTCTTGGCTCTTTATCCAGTTTGTCAATCTGTGTCTTTTAATTGGGGCATTTAGCCCGTTTACATTTAAGGTTAATATTGTTATATGTGAATTTGATCCTGTCGTTACGATTCTAGCTGGTTATTTTGCCTATTGGTTGGTGCAGTTTCTTCATAGTGTTGATGGTCTTTACATTTTGGTTTGTTTTTGCAGTGGCTGCTACCAGTTTTTCCTTTCCATATTTAGTGCTTCCTTCAGGAGCTCTTGTAAGGCAGGCCTGGTGGTGACAAAATCCCTCAGCATTTGCTTGTCTGTAAAGCATTTTATTTCTCCTTCACTTATGAAGCTTAGTTTGGCTGGATATGAAATTCTGGGTTGAAAATCCTTTTCTTTAAGAATGTTGAATATTGGCCCCCACTCTCTTCTGGCTTTTAGGGTTTCTGCAGAGAGATCTGCTGTTAATCGAATAGGCTTCCCTTTGTGGGTAACCCAACCTTTCTCTCTGGCTGCCCTTAACATTTTTTCCTTCATTTCAACCTTGGTGAATCTGATGATTATGTATCTTGGGGTTGCTCTTCTCAAGGAGTATCTTAGCAGTGTTCTCTGTATTTCCTGAATTTGAATGTTGGCCTGTCTTTGTAGGTTGGGGAGGTTCTCCTGGATAATATCCTGAAGTGTGTTTTCCAACTTGGTTCCATTCTCTCCTGCACTTTCAGGTACATCAATCAAACGTCCGTTTGGTCTTTTCACATAGTTCCATATTTCTTGGAGGCTTTGTTCATTACTTTTCATTATTTTTTCTCTAATCTTGTCTTCATGCTTTATTTCATTAAGTTGATCTTCAGTCTCTGATATCTTTTCTTCAGCTTTATCAATTTGGCTATTGATACTTGTGAATGCTTCACAAAGTTCTCTTGCTGTGTTTTTCAGCTCCATAAGGTCATTTATGTTCTTCTCTAAACCGGTTATTCTAGTTAGCAATTCCTCTAACCTTTTTTCAAGGTTCTTAGCTTCCTTGCATTAGGTTAGAACATGCTCCTTTAGCTCGGAGGAGTTTGTTATTACCCAGCTTCTGACGCCTACTTCTGTCAGTTCGTCAAACTTATTCTTTGTCCAGTTTTGTTCCCTTGCTGGCGAGGAGTTGTGATCCTTTGGAAGAGAAGAGGCATTCTGGTTTTTGGAATTTTCAGCCATTTTGCACTGGTTTTTCCTCATTCTTCATGGATTTATCTACCTTCAGTCTTTGCTGTTGGTGAACTTCGGATGGAGTTTTTGCATGGTCATCCTTTTTGTGGATGTTGATGCTATTGCTTTCTGTTTGTTAGTTTTCTTCTAACAGGCCCCTCTTCTGAAGATCTGCTGGAGTTTGCTGGGGTTTTCCGCCAGACTCTGTTTGCCTGGGTATCACCAGCGGAGGCTTCAGAACAGCAAAGATTGCTGCCCGTTCCTTCCTCTGGAAGCTTCGTCCCAGAAGGGCACCCGCCAGATTCCAGCTGGAGCTCTCCTGTATGAGGTGTCTGTCAACTCCTGCTGGGAGGTGTCAGGGACCCACTTGAGGAGGCAGTCTGTCCCTTAGCAGAGCTCTAACGCTGTGCTGGGAGATCCACTGCTCTCTTCAGAGCCTGCAGGCAGGAACGTTTAAGTCTGCTGAAGCTGCGCCCACAGCTGCCCCTTCTCCCAGTTGCTCTGTCCCAGGGAGATGGGAGTTTTATATATAAACCCCTGATTGGGGCTTTTGCCTTTCTTTTAGAGATCCCCTGCCCAGAGAGGAGGAATGTAAATAGGCAGTCTGACTATACCGGCTTTGTGGTGCTATGGTGGGCTCTGCCCAGTCCAAACTTTGTGGTGGCTTTGTTTACACTGTGAGAGGAAAACTGCCTACTCAGTCCTCAGTAATGGCATCCCAGGTCGACTTCAGACTGCTGTGCTGGGGCAGTGAGAATTTCAAGCCAGTGGATCTTAGCTTGCTGAGATCCATGGGGGTGGGATCCACTGAGCAAGACCACTTGGCTCCCTGGCTTCAGCCTTCTTTCCAGGGGAGTGAATGGTTCTGTCTCGCTGGCATTCCAGGTGCCACTGGGATATGAAGAAAAAGCTCCTGCAGCTAGCTCGGTGTCTGCCCAGATGGCCACCCAGTTTTGTGCTTGAAACCCAGGGCCCTTGTGGTGTAGGCACCCGAGGGAATCTCCTGGTCTGTGGGTTGCAAAGACCATGGGAAAAGCATAGTATCTGGGCTGGATAGCACCGCCCCTCACAGCTTCCTTTAGTTAGGGGAGGGAGTTCCCTGACCCCTTGCACTTCCAGGATGAGGCGACGCCCCATCCTGCTTCTGCTCGCCATCCTTGGGCTGCACCCACTGTCTAACCAGTCCCAATGAGATGAACTGGGTACCTCAGTTGGAAATGCAGAAATCACCTGCCTTCTGCATTGGTCTCGCTGGGAGCTGCAGACCAGAGCTGTTCCTATTTGGACATCTTGCCTGGGGAGTCTTTAAGATCCTCAATCACATTTTTTCCATATAAAGTAATATAAGTTAATGTTCACAGATTCCAGGGATTTGACGTGGACATATCTTTTGGGAACCATTTTCTGATCTTCCACAAAGGATATCCAACCAATAAGTGACAGAGCTGAGATGATTAACTGAAATTTAGGTATCTTGATAGACAAGCCTGTGTTCTTCTAATCCTGTAGCAAACTACCCCTATCTCTGCTCTAGAATAAATTTGGAGACCAGTCAATGTTACGTCTACATTTTGGAAGTTAGGAACTGAGTCCCCAAAAGGAGAGATGTTTTGATATCTGGTTAAGAAATATTAATAACAAACAAAAAGACAAATCAGATTCACAGTTAATATAGCAGGATGGTTTTTCCCATTTCTCTTTAAGGAATTAAGGATTTTGCTTGGTATATTTTATTTTAAAGACTTCTGGATATTGTTTGGATTAAACTAAGCTAAAAATAATATTTTATTTTATTATGCATTTTAGTGAGCTTATTATCAGTAATATGTTTAGCATAAAATTTATTAGTGACATGCCCTTTAATTTAGCCTAATTGGTACTAATTTAGTTAGATTGCATTAAATTACACCATTTAATGTAGTTATACGTGGGTCAAGAAATTTATTTCAAGAACTTGGGTAATGTTTCATGAAACTGAACAGTAAAAAACGGCATCTAGGTGGCTGAAAAATGCAATGTTCCAAAATAATAGTTTTCCTGAAGTCTTGTTAGAAAGGCACACAGATCTTGTCTTCCATCTCTACTCATTTTCCCAATCTGTAAAAATTAGCTAAAGTATAAATCAGGAAAAGGGGACTGACGCTCATAAGGATACTGGAATCTTTACAGACGATCCTTGCTCCAGCCTTCATTTCTGATTCACTGTGTTAGGGAGCAAATAACATTGAAAAAGAGAAAGAGGCTGTTTTCTATCCTCAATCTTTATGTCTTCCTTTTTGGATTTTGTTGGTTAGGTGATGGAAGTATGATGCTATTGATATTTCCCCCTCGGTGGTATAAAGAAAAAAGCCAATTTATGTTCAGAAAACACATACACAAAAACAAAACACTTTGCCAATGTGAAGCCTGAGCCATTTTCTCAGACTCTGCTTTAACCACCATGAACCACCAAGAGGTTTGGGTGAGGTTTTATGAAGACATAAAGATCAAGGATGGGAAACAACCATTTTTTTTTTATTTTTTTGATGTTATTTGTTACTTAACATAGCAAATCAGAAATGAAGGCTGGGAAAAGGTTTATTTGTAAAGATTCCGGTACACTTACAAGTGTTAATCTCCTTTTCCTGACTTGTATTTTAGTTAGTTTTTACAGGTTGGGAAAATAAGCGGAGATTGTCTTTCAGGGGATCTTTCCTTGCCCACTTGTTCCTCTCATTTCTGTTAACTCTGTCAGTTCCAAACATCTCCTATAGACAACTAAATGGTTGCTGTAACACTACTGGAGCTCATTCTAGAACTTAATAACCATCCCAAGATATGATTTTTTTTTAGCTTGTCTCTAGAAGGAAGCATTGCCTTGGTCTTGAGGGGAGGTGGATCTGCAATAATCCTAATTTGACCCATAGGTGGCTTTTTCTGCAGTTTGCCTTCAGATAGCTAACAAATGAGGGCAGACTTGCAGAAGTATAGACAGATTTGACAGAGACAGAACACTTCTCTTAAGGGGACCTGTGAGAGTACAGGTGAACCAAGCATCAGATTCTACAGGCCTTTTGAACTAAGGGGGCATCACACAGTATTAGCAGTAGCCCTGGGTCTCTCCATGTGTTTGCAGCACAATTGAGCTGCTGCCTCTCCTCCTTAGCTTTCTATAGTTCTGGGAGCAAATGCCCCACAGCCCAACTGGTTTTGCCATTTTGCAAGTTAGAAACTCAAGCCTTCAGTGAATTTCCTCTCCAGTGGCTGAGGAGATACCAACATGGCTAGGGGGTGACAGGAGTTCAGAGTAGATTAAGGAAACTTCCCTAATGCCAGAGAACTTGGAAGGTGTGCCAGCCATTGCTGTCAATGTCCAACAATGCTGCCACCCCTAAGCAGACAGGCTGTGAGTACCACCTGGTTACTGCCACTGCCTTTTTGGGTCTCTTCCTTGCCAGAGGCAGCTGAGGTAATGTCTTTGTTCAGCCCCTAGTGCTGAGCTCTTGTGTTACTGAACCCACGACTCAAGAAAAATGGGACTTAATTAGGAAAAGCTGCAGGGAGCCATCAAAGTGTCAGCAGCATTTTGAAGGAGAGACAAGAGGAAGTTGGGGATACTCTGGAGTCGGAAAGGCCAAAGGATAGTGTACAGGCTGGCAGCATTATGGCAGGGGTGCCTGTGTTGGCAAAACCCCAGGGCTGAATACCTTGATGAGGTGAAGCGTTCCCCAGTACCTAATGCTACGGTGCATTAAGGATGAGATAGTTCTCACTGAGTACTGTTCCTTGTAATAATAAAATTAATTTGACCATTTGGAACAAGATTTATAATGGGCCTCATCCAAGCCTCTAAATATGCATATTCCACTTTGGAACTGTACATAATTGCTCAATTGCACCTGCAAATCATGTTGTTCGCTCACTAATTATTCAAATAGTGGGGGCAATTCCACAATTGTGTATGTAATTGTGTTAATTGTTAATGCAGTTAGGTACAGGTGCACCGTGACTAATTACACATGCAGAAGCGGCTCCCAAACGGCTCACTGTCTCCATGCACGGGCTGCCCCTCTCGGAGACAGACATAAGTGGGTGACACAAACAAAGCCATAGGCCATCAGTGGGGGTCCATCTGGCAAGCCTTTCACTTGGGAGCCGCATATACATTTGGGAAACAATCAGGTCTTTGACTGAATTCAGCTGTTTTTGCTTTCGCTTCTCTTGCTCCCCCCCTTCCCCCAAGGCAGTGAGAGGCTTGGGGCACCGGGCTCCTGAGCTTGTGTGAGTATGTGTGTACGCATGCGCATGCACATATACACAGAGTCACACAGAAACTAGTTTGTAGGGCTCGCTCTACTCATCTTTTTGCTGATAGTTCCCTTGCCTGATGAGATTAGCTTTTAGTCCTGGATTTTATTACTATCTTTCTCTGTCATCCATATGGTTTCAGGAATCAAGTTTATCTGTACCCAGTATCAGGATATTAATGCCATTTTCAGGGTAAGAGATGCAGCCTGGGAGGTGAAATTTAGGTGATTTCTGGGACATTCTTATGGCTTATGTCAATGGGACCAGAATAGGGACTGCTGCCACATTTATACTTTACCTATTTCCTCATTTCTTCACCCAGGTCGGCCTCATTTTGTGGCTTGGTGCACAGCATTAGTAACAGCCTTCCTGGCTACAAGACATGTCTGAAAACTGGTGAAGTAGCTCTTCTGTGTCTGTGGGTCAGGGGCTGGTTGCATATCTCATGCTGTGGAAGGTATGCTATAGATATGTTCCCCAAATTTTAAGACTGACTTCTAGCAGCCATCAACATGTACTTATTGTTTTGACTTTGTGCTCTGTAAGCCTAGCTCTGAGGAACTGGCTCTCTCATAAGAATACCCTCCCTGCTATAAGGAAGGCAGGTCAGCTGTAAAAAATTAATTAGCACTGGCTTGGAAGCTCAATGCCAAAAGGAAAATAAGCCACACTTAAGACAAATCAGTCTGTGACTAAAAAAGGAGAATATTTTGAGGGAGCACTGAAGTTACGAGTAAGGGAATCCACGCAAATTGGCCTCATACAGGTAGAAGCAATTCACTCTGCATCACTGTTGGACAAGGAACAGAATTGACTCACTTCGTACCCAGGTCTCTGTCCCAGCAAGGTGCCCAATGTAACATAGGGATAATGTAGAACTCACATCACAGGATCGTTGTGAATGTTAAATGAGATAATCTTTGTAGGGCACTTAGCACCATGCCTAGCCCATATTAAGTATTTAGTAAATGTGACTGTATCATTACTGTCATTATTGTTATTGCTGTAATTATTTCTACTGTTGTCCTTTTACTCAATAAATATGGAAAATTAACCCTGCACTGCTGTTGCCTCCCCACCCCACCCTGGCCAGTCATTAACTCTGCCCTCCTGCCATTGAGTATTGTTCATGCCTTCCTCTTCTCATTTTCTATAGTCTGCCTTGTAGTACAGGCATTCATGTATTTGTCTTCACCCACTAACTAGGCTATATGACTGAATTAATTTGCTAGGGCTGCCATAACAAAGTACCACAACTTGGGTGGCTTAAACAACAGAACTTCATTGCCTCACAGCCTGGAGGCTAGAATTCCAAGGTCAAGCTTTTGGCAGTGTTAGTATCTTCGGAGGACTGTGAGAGAAAATCAGATCCAGATCTCTCGTTGGCTTGTAGATCGCCATCTTATCCATTCTTGTGTCCGCATATCCCCTTCCCTCTATGCGTATCTTTGTATACATTTCTACATTTTATAAGGCCACCAGTTATATTGGATTAGGTCCCAGCCTAGTGAAATCATTTTAACTTTATTACCTCAGTAAAGGCCCTATAACTAAAGAAGGTCACACTGTGAGGTACTGGGGGTTAGGAATTCAACATGAACTTTGGGGGAACTCAACTGAACCCAAACAATCACCATCAACAATATAGTCTGCATTTTATTTGTGTTTGAAACTCCTACAATGATGTCCAGTACAGTGCCTGGACTATATTTGAAGAAGCAATGGGCCTGATGTGGTAGAAGTTGACAGGCCTGGGTTCTAATCTCTTTTCTCCCCACCCACGGACCAGTTAGCCAGTCTGAGTCTAATTCTCTATCTAAATGTGAGGCTCCTCATTCCTACCTTAATGGGAGTAATAAGCACTAATGATTATATACATGCAAAGTACCTGCACATATTAGATGCTCAGTAAAGTTAGTTATTACTCAAATTTTTGCTGAGTAAACTAACGAACAAATAATGTCTGTAGGAGTGATTGAAACCTACATATCTAGTCACAACTGTTGGCCAGAATTAAGTTTTTAACATCTTTCTTAAGTTGGCCTCTTTTTCATTTCCTTTCATGGTTTTTTACCTAGTCCGTGTGTAATGGAAAGAAATTAATGCACTGGTTTGGAATGGTGTGAGCAGCCAGCCAACTTTATGAACCAATTTTGTGAGGAACAATCAACATTGCGGCTGTGTGTGTGTGTGTGTGTATGTGTGTGTATACATACGTTTATTTGGACAGTCCAAGTTGCCTTTTTAGGTGTGATATTTAATTTGTGAATTGGAAAATCCAGTTTATCACTTCAAATTAAAATTTGTCTATTAAACTTCAGAAATGTATGTAATTTGTAAGAAAATATTCCCAATGACAACACTATATCTAAGGCCATGATGTCCAGTAGTTAGGAAACAGAAAATAGGCACTTGTCCAGAAACGAGGAGAATTCAAAGTTCACATTGACATTGTTCTTCATTATAGTTTCAGTTCAGTAACACAAGAGTGTCAAAATCAAATCCAATTTCCTTTTGCCTGCTCGTCTCAACATTGCAACAGTGGCTTAATGTGCATTATTTGCTACTTGGTTGACATAGATGGGAAAATCAGTAACACCAAACAGCCAACCTCATAATCACTGATTTTTTCACACTGTGTCAGTTGCAGTAAATCACAGAGATATAGATACGTATATTTGTCATGTTGAAGGTGATTAAAAGATGTTGAATCTGTAATCACTACAATGAAAGAGATTGTCATCAATAAAAAGACTCTAGAGCAAGGGAGTTATATTGATCTGAGCACAGGAATTTGCAAACTCTCTTTCTCAGTATCTTGCCCTTCCAGAACTGTAAAAGATACAGTAGCACATTTTGTGGAAGAAGGTTCATATTTTAGTTCAGAGCACTTTTTTCATTTTCAGCTTCCAGGTCCTAATGTGGACCTTCTCAGTGGATGGCTACATTGTCATTCATGTTATCTAAAAGTTGATCTATATCTCCCTACTAAGCTCAGCTTCCATGCATTTGGCTGCACATCCTAACTGGGTTAGGCATCATGGAAAAATCATTTGGAGGAGAGAGGGAGCTATAGAGACTGTTTATTTTCATTCAGAATTATCCACTGGCTGCAATTGGTTTCATACTAATTCTATAAAGCAGTATAGAATTGTGAGTAAAAATGCATACTAAACAACTTAATGCAATAAAAATGAAGCAAGAACACTGTACTTACATTAAGTTTTCTCTTTTCAGCAGTTACATAGAGCCACGTATCAAGAACATATGTCTGTGTGGGCCCCCATTAATATAAAATTTGCATTATTGCAGGTCAGAGGGTCCATCGCTATTTATATTGGGGCCTAAGCCAACATTATGTGTGCCAAGTCTGTGCACCTTCCCACTGTCCTGCCTCTGTTCTCACCACCCTCTTCTTTATGCTTGGGTGGTCATATTTTGAAATTTCCCCAGGACCAGTTTATCATGCAGTCACGTTTCTCATCACATCTGAAGGATGTTGTGCTTCGCATGGTAATGAGGCCCTCTTTGTTTCAGCTGCTGCACTGCTCTCAGTAACTCCCATCAGTTCCTGCAGTCTGAGGGCTAGTGCTGTGATGGTAGCGTGTGGAGGGTCTCTCAGGGAAAACAGCTTGCTTATTACTTGGTTGGGTTTTCTAAAACAGATTTAAATCAGTTTCAGGTTTTAAGCTGTTATGTTTACTCTGGTTTTTTAATGCATGAAAACAATTTATGAGCATCAGTTGCAAGCCTTGGGTGGTTATGTTTGTCCAGATTATTGTGCCCATGTATACAACTCACTGCATATTTTCAAAAGAGGCTGAACCAAGTTACCGACACTCACTTGAACATGTTCTAAATAAAGAAATGACACTCCTGGATGGCATTAATTTATTTACGGATCTATTAACTGTGATAGTGTATTTCTCACCAGAATTGCTGAAGAATATTATTTTCTGTCTTCTTTCAAAGTGATTATTATTTGGTTTCAAATTGCTTTAAATTGCATCCAAAGAACATGTTTCCTCCATAGAGATATAGTCTGTCAATTTTATAAAATATGTGCCCATGCCTTATCTCAGCTAATTAAGCATCTAGTCCTGCAATTCTTATCTAGACCCAAGGAAATTATGAGAATTTGATGCAGTAAAAGGATGACAGGATTGAGTTTGTTTTCCCATTAGCTGATTATACCACGATTCCAACAAAATCTATGTCCCCTGAATTTGGACAGAAATACTGCCTATTACCAAAGATAATGATTTCACTGAAAAACTCTCTGAGATCTTATGAATCACACTTGTAAACTCATATAACATAGAAGCCAGAATAGACCAAATACACTAGAGAGGGAATCAGGACCCTTCATTTCATAGTGAGGAGACTTTAGCCCAGAGAGCATAGGTGATTCACCAAAGGCACACAACTAGGTAAATTAAACTTGATTTAAAAAATGGACCCTAACTGCCAGAATAAATAGAGAGGTATGGTCCCTGTAATATATTTTGAGGCTGTCAAAGGTTGCCTTGACAGAATGGAGAATGCTTGACAGGCCAACATTTACCAAGTGTTCTTAATGAAGGAATACCATGTTCCCCTGAAAGGAATCATCAATTGTAGAGTATTATAAAATGACTTTCTCTTGGCATTGTTAATCGGTATAATCAATACATTTTATCTCAATTTACAGTCTTACACATCTGGGAGGGGTGCAAAACCTGGAATACCTGCTTTTCCAGCCTTTTCAATTCATAGGTGAAGAACCTGACAGAGATCTAAAGAGGGGGAAGTATAACCAGGATATTCTGACCTCAGCTGCTGGGCTCTTTATTATGGGTCACCCCTCTTCTTTCACAGTAAACCTCCCATTTAAAAAATGGCCCATTATGAGATTTACTTATTGTCCAACTTAGCACTCTGAAAACAGAGAGCTGTAAGAATAAGTCCATTGATATGTTGAATTGCCCAAACAGTGGTACTGGTTGTCAAATGGTTAGCTTGGCCTTGCTGGTCAGAACGGCAATTATTAAAAAGTCAAGAAATAACAGTTGCTGGTCAGGTTGTGGAGAAATTAGAACGCTTTAATACTGTTTAATACTGTTGGTGGGAATGTGTATTTTTTCAACCATTGTAGAAGACAGTGTGGTGATTCCTCAAAGATCTAGAACAAGAAATACCATTTGACCCAGCAATTCCATTACTGGGTATATAACCAAATGAATATAAATCATTCTATTACAAAGATACATGTACATGTATGTTCATTGCAGCACTATTCACAATAGCAAAGACATGGAATCAACCCAAATGCCCATCAATGATAGACTGGATAAAGAAAGTGTGGTATGTATACACCATGGAATACTATGTAGCCATAAAAAGAAATGAGATAATGTCCTTTGCAGGGACATGGATGGAGTTGGAAGCCATTATCCTCTGCAAAGTAACACAGGAACAGAAAACCAAACACTGCATGTTCTTACTTATAAATGGGAGCTGAACAATGAGAACATATGGACACAGGGAGGGGAACAACACTCACTGGGGCCTGTTGGGGGTGGGGTTGGGGGAGGGAGACCATTAGGAAAAATAGCTAATGCATGCTGAGTTTAATACCTAGGTGATGGGTTGATAGGTGCAAAAAATCACCATGGCACATGTTTACCTATGTAACAAACCTGCACATCCTGAACATGTACCCCAGAACTTAAAATAAAAATAAAAAGATTGAGGGAGCATTTTAAAGGAGACCAAATTGCAAGGTCTATGCACTTTGAAAGCTTTGGGAGATAATACTGGAAAGAGCAGGTTTTCTCTCATTAGAGCTAAATGGAACCAACCAACCAGTAGTTAGTCCATTAGACAGAACTCGTGAGAAATGCAGCTTTTGAAAAATTAAGCTTTAAAATTCCCATAAGGAGGACCCATTTTACCATTAAATTGTCAATTGCAGGTCAATACATATTATTCTATGTATACTCTCACATAGACTTTCACATATGCAGAGAGAAACACTAAAGTTGCTATATTAGTCTGTTCTCATGCTGCTAATAAAGACATACCCCAAACTGGGTAATTTATAAAGGAAAGAGGTTTAATTGACTCACAGCACCACATGGCTGGAGAGGCCTCACAATCATGATGGAAGGTGAATGAGGAGCAAAGTCACATCTAACATGGTGGCAGGCAAGAGCATGTACAGGGGAACTCCCCGTTATAAAACCATCAGATCTCATGAGACTTATTCACTGCCATGGGAACAGCACAGAAAAGACCTGTCCCCCATGATTAAATTAACTCCCACCAGGTCCCTCCCATGACATGTGGGAATTATGGGAGCTACAATTCAAGAAGAAATGTGGGTGGGCACACAGCCAAACCATATCAGTTGCAAATTCAGAAATCCATAGCAGGTCAATTAATTGTTTTAAAACTTCCGCTCTTGAATTACTTGTCTTTATTCAACAGCCTCAAGATAATCTTAGCTTCTCATTTGATTTAATCTGTTATGCAAAAAATAGCACGAAGTCCTCTTATGGCTGTTTTAATCAGTTGCTTTTTGAGATTTTATAAAATAGCCAATTGAGCTCCACATTGTATTTTTTGTATGATTAATTTGAAGTGATTGTATTGGCCATAGTGGTTATGAATGCAAGGAAATAATAATCTTATCTTGCTTATGTTACTGAGCCGGGTGTATATAACTTTATGCTCATCAGAGCAATGGACAAATTGGGCTCATCGAACTGCAACTTACATTTTCATGATCATTCCATTGTATTATATTGGTACAACAAAGGAATTTTGCAAAATAAAAATAATGAAACATCTTATATTTCAGTAGTGGCTACTAGATTTATATATACATATAAATATAAATTCCTATTTGATAATATAGTTGGGAACCAGTTTTTTTGTACAGTGATTAAGAACATGGGTTTGAAGTCTTACAGACATGGTTTTGTTTCTTGGCTTTATCACATATTAACTGTGGAACCTTGGGAAAATTACTGAGCCTCTATGAACCTCACTTTCATCATCTACACCATGGCGACAATAATGCCTGTAGCTTAGAGTTGTCATGTAGAATAAGCAAGTTAAAGGATAGGCCTGGTACACCTAAATGCTCAAAAAGCATGTCCTATAAAAATAACCATTTATATACAAAAATTAGCCGGGCATGGTGGCACATGCCTGTAATCCCAGATATTCAGGAGGCTGAGGCAGGAGAATTGCTTGAACTCAGGAGGCGGAGATTGCAGTGAGCCGAGAGCGTGCCACTGCACTCCAGCCTGGGCGATAAGAGCGAGACTCCGTCTCCAAAAAATAAAAATAATATATAACCATTCTTATGACTGTTTTAACACAAAAGTGATAACAAAGGGCCTTGCTGACACAAGTTATTTTCATTTTTGTACCTTACCTTTAACTCAGTATACTATTAATCATTCAGTTGGGAAAATAGTTATGTAAAATGGCAGTGCTAAGAGGGTCTTTATATAGAATTCTGTGTGCCCTGGAGGCATTTGTGAAAAAGTGTTTTCTCTAGGATGGACTAAGCCTGAAGGTTACTGTTAGGCTATGATTTGGCTGATGGCATATACCACAATGCCTAATTAGGGAACCCCATTGAAAGCGATCATTTTCTCTTTGATGTGGCCTTTCCATTTAAAGGTTGAATATTAGGGTTACATGAATGAAACTAGACAAAAAAAGAAAGAAAGAAGACAGGAAATTTCCTACACTTTCAGAAACACAGCTCACAGACAACCTTAGGAAGGAGGCATGCCTGGGTCCTTTACAGGAGTGGGGCATTTGCAGCTGCTCTAATGTATATCTCCCCAGAAATTAATAAGTACTATTATTTTCTGCACTTAAATCATAACTTACAAAATAGGTTTATTCATCCAACTTTCTCTTCTCAATACTTCCAAATTGCTAGCATTATATTTTCTCATCTCCTTGTTTTGAACATGGCTATGACCTCCTACACACTAGCTAACCTCACCTCTACAGCTAAAGATTCTAAGGAGGAGCTGCAGCCCTTTGCCTAACATAACATACCTGGCACTAGGCAAAGCTGTATTCTGACTTCTGGATGGTCCAGTCTTTGGCAGGGTGGGTGGGGGAGGGCAGGGCCTACACTGCTGGGTAACTGGAGAGCAAGTGCATCAAAAAGGTGCCCACAGACTTTGCCTCCCTTTTATGTAACTTCTGTTCTTGCTTTCACACTGCTTTTTTGGACATCTTTTTGTCACAGCTTTAACAATTACCCCATCATCACAGTATTTAGAATTTTTTGAAGAGATACTATGTTTTCAGAAGATACTGTTTTCAGAAGTAAGGTGGGGCACAACTCCTCTCCTCTCCTCCACCCCTGCTGCTTCCCAAGAGAATACAGAAGAGACTTTGTAGGACTTCCAATAGAAGAAGCTCGATTAGAGCTTCTTGAGTTGCTGAATTAAATCGTAATCAATTCAATGGAACCAAATGGAATCATGAAGTAACAAATCCCCTGTCATGAGAGTCATGTCAGCAGTACTTGTATGATATGATGACAGGACTTGGATTGATCAGATGGTTTAAGGTTAATCCCATACCTTCCATTCACATGGTTATGTGACCTTGGGCAAATCATTTCACCTCTGTGCACTGTATTTGTCCTCATCTTTAAAATGGGACAGAAGGTAGAAGGCTGGAGTATATAATCCCCGGGGCCTTTTCTCTGTCAGGAGCCTGTATAGGAGATGAGAGTATCCACTCATTTCTGGACAAGCAACTCAAAAGTATTCCATTGAGAATGAACAAGCAACATTAGCTTTGCATGTGAATGATGGCACATTTATTATCAGATTTATTTCATGTATTACCTGTCCTTCCCCTCCCTGTCTTCCAACAGATTTAGTAGATCTCAGTCAGTTTTAATGCTTTCGGCCTCTGCTGCACCTGTAGTAACTGTCTGCCAGAGGCAGCCCTTTTTCAAAGTCCCTATCTTACTGTAAGTAAACCAGAATTTCTAAAGATGGAAGGGTTGCCCCTGCCAACTCTATTTCACTGTTTCTCTATTTCTTGAAAGGAGCAATGAAAGGGAGATGGTATCCCATGTTGAATAAGCAAGTGTCTGCCTTCATTCCAGCCTTGTCATGGCTCCAGTAAGCTCATTTCATCACAAATTTATGACTCCTAAAATCAATATTGACTGTGGATGTTGGGGGGAGGACAATTTTGAGGGCACATCTGAATTACCAGTGAACCCATAGGAATTCCCTTCAGTTGGGTGAAAAATGATCAAGAAACAAAAGCTAAAGGAGGAGTCAAGGAGTACAGCATCAAGGTGCTGAACTCATTGTTAAACCTGAGTCCTTAGTGCTTAGCAACTCTGAAGTCCTGGATGGAGGAAAGACTTGGTCTGTTTGTGATAACAGCAGGTGCTTTCCAAGGTACAGACTGTCTGAGTCATTGTAGAGGCAACATTCTCTCAAGATCTTCTTCACTTTCAAGTTTTCAACATGCCATTTTGCAGGTTCCTTTTTAGACTATCAGTATTTTGCCTTTGATGTTGATGGTCAGCTTGGAATTTGTAATAACATTATTTACCATATAACAGGGATAAATAATCTTTCATCTTGCAGAGGCAGGGGTGGGGGGTTCATGGCAGTTTATCAAATTGTCTCCTGGATTGCTATGGCTCTAGTGGGAACTACATGGATAAATCTATGTTAAACAACAGCAGCATGAAATAGTGGAAGAAACACTGGATTGTTTAGCCAAAAACCCAGGGGCTAGTCTCCACCACCTCTGACTAGCCATAAAACTTCAGACAAATCATGCAACCTTTTGAAGCCTCGCTTCTTTTTCATCTTAAAAAATGAAACTCATTTTATCTTATTTGTCTACTTCAGAAGATTGTTGTAAGCAACAAATGATACTGGGAGGGGGATAACAGATGGAGACGATGTGAAAGGACTTTGTAACCTGGCAAGGACTCTAAATTTCCAAGGAATGATTTCTATTAGCGATGGTCTTAGTAGCAGTAATTGAAGATATTCTTTATATCATCCTCATATATAAATTCCCTCATTCCCCTTTGTTTTCATATGCCACCAGGGTTCTGTTCTTAAAGTTTTGAATTAAGGGGTAAATATCTTCACTTTAAGGATTTAGGAGATGTCTCTCATGGGGTTAGATTATCATTTATAAAGAACTGAAACTGAGGATCTGGAAAATGCTAATTGTAAAGCTTATCATTACAGAGTAGATGTTAGATGCTGCCCTGAAACTTTGTAGCATCCTGATAAGGTATAATGCTTTCCTTTTCAGCATAGATTGCAAAATGAAGGGTAAAACATTTAGAAATTAATAAAGCATATTTATAAAAAATATACCTGGCCATGCTCAGTAGATCATGCTTGTAATCCCAGCACTTTGGGAGGCTAAGGCTGGCAGATCACGAGGTCAGGAGATCAAGACCATGCTGGCTAACACGGTGAAACCCTGACTCTACTAATAATACAAAAAAATTAGCCAGGTGTGGTGACATGCGCCTGTAGTCCCAGCTACTCGGGAGGTTGAGGCAGGAGAACCGCTTGAACCCAGGTGGTGGAGGTTGCAGTGAGCCGAGATCCCGCCATTGCACTCCAACCTGGGCGACAGAGTGAGACTGTCTCAAAAAAAAAAAAAAAAAAAAAAAAAAAAAAAAATATATATATATATATATATATATATATATATATATATATACACACCTAAGTGTCAGACTAGATAATTTCAAGATTAGTGTGATCATAATAAATTTTTATTTACCAAATACCCTCAGCCTAGAGCTTTTCAGGTAACCAATTAAATGCACACTAAGTATTACTAATTGCATTATTTAAATTGGTATACTATTTTAGGTTTAGAAGGTCCCTCTTCTTCATGATAATGCATTTTCATGAAGAAAGACCTTAAAGCTGATTCTAAGATCTTCAAATAACACATCATAGTGTAGTATATGTTGGTGAGTTTATTTATCTTGAGTTGGGAGCTTTTATAGATTCCAGCTATATGTCTTCACCACAAATCTTGTTGTTGTTGTTGTTTTTGTGCTGATGGCATGAGTGAGAATAAATGGAATTTGTGGAGTCTGTGAAGGCCACTGGAGGGAAATTTCCCAATCTCCTAATATATCAGTGTCTCTTCCTGTCTGTTTCTGATGGGGTCCTACAGCAGGTCAACATCCTTAGGTAAAGAAAAGCTTCCTAAGAGTTAGCAGCAGTCATTGAAAGTAAATTAATGAAACCCTGCATCTGCTGATCTATTTGACAAGAAGAAATTCTGGCTGCCAACAGTTAGAAACCACTAGAAATAATCTCCATTGGAAACCGGGCTTCGACTTTCTGCCCTGGGCTGCCCAAAGTATTGCATTAGACAATGCGAAAGTAAGTTGAACTTTGAATTATAATTTCAATGACTGTCTAGCGAAATGGATTCATGCTCTGACACTG
This sequence comes from Homo sapiens, assembly GCF_000001405.40. Lineage (NCBI taxonomy): Eukaryota > Metazoa > Chordata > Mammalia > Primates > Hominidae > Homo > Homo sapiens. Next base: position 148,796,620 of record NC_000023.11, read on the forward strand.
CACCTTTGAGGCTGTGGGTTGGTTCACATAAGATAAAAATCTGTCTGGCCTGACAGTTGAAAAGGTCGCAAGAACGCTTGATGTCTGATGGTCTCAGTGTATTGCCAAATCTTGATTAAAATGGAAGACTTAGGAACAATTATGTTTTTTTCTTTCAAAATAATCTTTTCAAACAGAGCCATTTCTACATGTTTTGGCTTGAAATTTATTGACTTAGCAAAGTATCGATTATATTTTCACTACCATTTAGCAATAACCTCATACTTAACATGAAGCTCTCACATAGTTGAGATACTTTGGCCTTGGGGCAACAGGTTATTTTTGAAAATGACATCTAATTGTCATTGTAGTATGTTTGGTATTAAAAATTGAACTATCTACATTTTAATGCTTCCACTTTAGCTCTAAAGCACGTTGCCTGTCGTCTGTTTTCGTTATGAAAATACTTGCAGGAATGGCTTAACATTTTTACTTCTGTAGATCATGCAGGCTCTGTACCTGTGAAATGTGTAGCTTTTAATTTTAGATTAGAGACTTCTACTAGCTAGAGATTAACACAAGTTGAATCTTTCAAATTAATCTGCTTTTGGGCCACAGATTGACAGACTTAACAGACACGAGTCACCTTAAAGACTGGATTCTAAGCCAACCCGCTTGTTTTACATCTGGGAAAACTGTGACTTGCCCAAAGTCATACAGTTTGTCACTGAACCAATAGAGTTTCTTCAAGACAGTCAGTTCAAGTATATTAAACAGTATCTCATGAAGTGCTAAAGGAATCCTGAGGGCAGGGACAAAGTGTTACATATAGATGTCCACCATACTCAGAGGAACTCTGTTCAGATTAATCTACCACATTTTCTGTTCTTAGCCAATTACATTTCACTATGCCAAAAATAAAGTACTTTCAGGAAACTACTTTCTGTCTTTTCCAAATGCCAAAGTCACTCTCTATCTGAATTTTTTCTCTTATTCAAAGTTAAGGTCCTGTCTTACTTCCTTGCTTGACCACCAGATCCATGGACAGTTTTTCCTTTCGTGACTTTCTATTAAAGTTATTGTCAGAGCCATGAATCTGGCTTTTTAAAATATGATCACCACATAAACTGGATTTCCAGGATAGCCCTGATTTCAATTCATTCTCCCCATAAATTGGTATTCTAGAAATTCCCATATTTGGCCATGTAAATCACGTCATGCAAGCTGACTTTGGTACCCACTGAAAGAAAATTTTTTTTCTGCCAATGTGCCTCATTTAGGGATCAAAAAAAGATATCTGCTAACATGCACTGTAATTCCTCACTTTAGATATGCAGGTCTTGTCTACTCGTCTATAGTATACCCTCCCTGTCTTAGTCTGTCTTGTGCTTCTATAACAGAATACCTGAGACTGGGTAATTTATAATGAACAGAAATTTATTGGCTCACAGTTTTAGAAATTGAGAAGTCCAATATCAAGATGTCAGCATCTGGCACAGGCCTTCTTTCTGCATTATAACATGGTAGAAGGCATCACATGGAAGAAGTTGGAGGTTGGGGAGAGAGAGAGAGAGAGTGAGAGAGACAGAGAGAGAAGCAGAAACAAAAGAGTGCCAAACTTGTCATTTTATCAGGAACCCACTCCCATGATAATGACATTAATTTATTCATGAGGGCAGAGCCCCCATAGCCTAATCAACCCTAAGGGCCCCACCTCTGAATACTGTTACAGTGGCAATTAAATTTCAACATGACGTTTTGAAAGGACAAACATTCAAGCCATAGCACTCCCTGTGGACAGCCATTGTTTATCATGTACTGCATTTTACCTAATGCTTAGCTTAGTGCACTGTGCATACTGAGGGTGCAATGCATATTTGTCATTTGGGATTATTTCCTTTACATGAACAGATTTTCCAAACGCCAAATTTAGAAGTACTGCAACACATTAATTCTGGTCAAGAGTAGGTCTGGTTAGTTCATTAAGAGTTTATTTTATCAGTAATGTGTTGTGCTTGTACCTGAAATTATAAATGCCTGCCAGGTATCTGTTTATCCTACATACTTCCACAACTCAGAAATAATCAATACCTTGTTTTCTTGTGGATGCGAGAAAAGTTAGGATCACTGATGCTGGGTATATGCTGTCCACGTTAATTGGCATAGACCGTTAGGCTTCATAAACCATGGTACACCATGTATCACTCCTTCTTTGATCTTCAGCATAAAATTCAATGGGCTTGAGATGCTCCACAGAGCTGGCCCACATTTAATGTCACAGACCCTTTATGACACACACTATGTCTATTTCAGGGGTCAGTTTTTGCAGAGTGATTTTCTGGAAAAGTGCCATGCCCTTCCATGAGCCAAGAATTTCAGTGTCTCATAAATGGTGGACAGACAGGACCTTGGGGCCATCTCTCCAGCTAACAGAAGATACTAAGTAAGGCCCAGGGGAAGTTTAAGAAACAAACTTCTTGTGTTTGTTCTATTGATTTTCTTGCCAACAAGAAGTGTAACAAATTGTGATGTTTCCAAATAAAAAGCATCAGGAATAAGCTCCAATTTTATTGAGTGATTTCCTGGACACACATGCAGGTGCATTTTGGAAGAGGCTGGATATAGTCAGACACAGGTAACAAAGCCAGGTCACTTAACAAAGCAGGAAAGATAAGGGCCACGGTTGCAAATCATTATTTATAATCAAACAAAATGGTAATTTTGCCAACACTCCCTTCTCAAATATAAGACCATCATCATGGTAATCAAACTATTACTCTGACACAGTTTACTTATCAGGAGAACAATCTGAGATTGATGACCTGAAAATGGAGGTTGTCTTTCAATTCATTTGAAATGCAAACCGAGTGGACAACCTATACCTACTGTGGCATATTTTTAAAGCAAAATCAGGCACCTACATTGACCTCCTATTTACATTTCTTTGAGAAGAAAAGAAAATCACATAAAAGCTATCAAGAAACACATTTCACAGCAGGCAAATTAATTGGTTTTACAGTATTTGAATGGAGGGTTTGTCAAATAAAACATGCCATGACAGTTAATAGTGTCATTTAGAGCCAGAAAATTATTGGCTTATTTGTTATTGGATAAAAGGAAGGCAAACATTTTGTATTAGAAAGTTTTAATGTGTTTAAAATCCTCATTAGGGATTAATGGACATGCTTGCTTAGCATAGCGCCTCATTAATTTGAGGCTAAACAGTTACTTCTGTGTTTCAATCTCAGTGTTGTTTCTTAACATTTTTTTTTTACTTCTCTTTAATTAGATCTTGCATTTGAGTTTGGTCTCTACACCATTGGAGATGTAGATTTAATTAATGAGATTTATAAATCTAATGAAAGTGAGTTATTCTTAGCTATCGTTTCATTTTAGTGAGCAGTTAAACCACATGTAAGTGGGCGCAGATCTAAGAGATTTCAGAAGTACAGAAAAAATGTGAACTTCCCTGAATATATTTAGCTGTGTCACTTGGCATTAATAGATAAAAGTGTTTTAATTAGAGTCATAAATAATAGGGGAGCTGGCGAGGATTCAGTTCCCATGCACATGGCTTGTTCTTTAGGATCATCACTGTCAAAGAAGAGCAATTGTAACTCTGTTTCTGTGGAATTTCAGTGTCATCCACTGGCAATTAAGACAATCCTAAGTGCGGAGTATAGAGAGTCAATAAGGCGCCAAGTTCGTTAGAGGTTAGTACAAAAGTAGAGCCACTTTCTATCAAGTGTATTCTGTTGTCACTGTTTTATTGAGGGCATCTGTGGGTACGATTTATAAAGTCTATTCCATTTACATTGCTTTAAGAGGAATTTAGTTAAAGGAAAAACTGATATCTGAGTTTTTGGTTTTCAAAAAGACGTTTAAATCATTAGTTATTTATTTGTAAGAAGACCATTGTAGTTTCTTTAGGGCGAGGGATTGTGAATGTCAAGGTAAGTCCTTTTTTTTCTAAAAGATTTTCAAAAAATAAGAGCCAAAGGTACATATTTAAAAGCTTCTTTTTTAAACGGGGTTATGGAACTTAATTTAAGACCCCATAATATACCTGTGGCAATGCCTTCAGAAATTACCAGAAAAAACTGAACTCCCACTTTTTTTTTCCCATGAGGAAGTCCTTGTATCTTAGACACTGTAAATGATTTGAAGAACTTGTCAGTCCAAGACACATAAAAGATAATCGTATTTTAAAATACTACATGATAGCAATCACATATTAAATGTGTAAAATGCTTGCTTGAATACAAAATATTTCAATGATTAAAAATAGCTCTTCTTTAAACAATTCAGAAACTCCGTCTAATGTTCTAAAGGAATGATTTCTCTCAGGAGGATATGAGTTAATCGAGTTCTCTGTGCTCCCAAAGAGACAGAGTAGCATTCAGTTAGGCCCAGGGGAGATCCTCAAGCCTTGGGGCTTAAATTTGGCCCTGGGCTTAATTTCATCTGGCCTTCTGGATAATATTACAGGAGTCACTACGGTGGAGTCCTGGTCATTAGTCCTACTCCTGCGCTTTCTGCTTATTGCAGTCAGAATGAAGCCTCTTCTAGATTAGAGCATTTGGAGAACTGTGAACTATGGTTAATTAATCAGTGTTGGAAAAAGCAGAAGCTAACAGTGAGGAGCAGTGTCACCTTCTTCCAAATCATCAGAGCTACTTGGCCTCCAACTCCCTTCTTTCTCCCCGCCTCCTTATCCCTTCTATTATACTTCCCTAGCAAGTCTATGATCCATGTTTCTGTTTTCGAAGACAACTATTCCAACCTTTCTTTTCTCTTCCAATTTCCAGTAACCACACCCCACTCTCAGCTGATGATCTTGCCGCATACTTCATAGAGAAAAATAAGATACAATCAGACAAGTACCATGTCATCTTCTCATCTTTAATTTCTCCAACCCAGCTGCTTATGTACCTAGGCACTCTGCCTTCCCTCCTGTTACAATGGAAGAAGTGTACAGAAGTGTCCATGTTCCTATTTCAGGCCAACCTCTTCAGTTGTGTCTTGATCGACTCCCTCCTTATCAAGGACTTTGCTTTTACAATCATCCAGTTTCTCTTTTGCCACACTTTTTCCCTCTTCACTGAGTTCTACGCATCAAGTATATAAATATATCTTAATATCATCCCTCTTATAAAAACAAAACCAAACAAAAACCTTGACTCCACATCACCACTTTATATTATTTCATTTCTCCACCTCCTTTCACAGTAGGAATTGTTTATTCACTCTCTCCACCTCTGCCCCTTCCACTCTCTCCTCAATACACAATCAGGTTTACATCCCCACCATGCTGCTGAAACAGCTATGATCGAGGATACAAATCACCTAGATATTGCTAAAGCCAATGGCCTATTCTGCAGCCTCATCCTTATTTAATGACCAGTTTTTCCTGGAAGCACTTTTTCTTCTAGGCTATTGTGACCCCATGCTTGCTTCCATACACACTTTAAGAATTCATTTTTGGCTTTGGAATACATGACATGTCATAGATAATATGCTATGCTATGCGGAGTGTGGCCTCCTGGCAAAAGGACTACTACATATAGCAAAATACATAAAATAGGAAAGAATAAAGCAGAGTGTTAATAAAATCGTAGAATCCAAAAGATGTGTGAAAGATCGCATAACCCGGTGACCAGCCCAAAGTGAAAGTGTTGTTATTCTGTGGCAACATAAGAAAAGTAAGATAATGATGTGTGTGTGTGTGTGCCAGTATGTTTGATGTTAGCATAAATTTAACTGTTCTGTATTTTGAACAAACTGGCCTTTATTCTGAGATTATGCCTTATTAACCTTTTGGATGTTATAATGTTCTTTTACAAAATAATAGTGCCAATGGTGGATTTTGTTTTGTAATGCCCTTATTGATAAAAGAAAAAGTTAGTAATCTTATACATATCCCTCATTATTTTTGTACTGTTATGTGAAATACAAAACACTGGGTACTCGGAATATATTCTCATGCCTTCACTGTATAGGCTGTTTAGGCTGCAGGCTGGCGAGTGAAGAAGTGAATTGTCCCAAATTACACAGCTAATTAGTGGTGGAGCTTGGACACATAACTACTGTTTCCTGTCAGGTTTTTTCGCTACTTTATAAGATTTGTTACCTGAAAGTGAGATCACTGCTTTGTAATTGTTTACTTTCTCTATATTATGAGAGTGTGCTATGATCTTTGAAGAGGTCAAGAGCATACTACAACTTTAAAAACTCTAACATTTACTCTTTAATTGACAGAATTCAAAGGTGAACTTGCCTCCTGATATATCTTTTTTATATATTTAGATAATGTATTAGTTCAATCTAGTTTGTACATCTCTAGTTTTGCAGTCTTCTCTTTTATTATGAGAGATTATTATGCACCTGCACACAAGACAGTCATTACCATTAATGGCAGTACACTAAGTAGGGATTAAGTGGAATCTAGATTTTGATCCTAAATGGTCTTTGGTTGCAGTACTAGGACTTTGGGACAGAAGTGGGTATCCTGTAGGCCCTGAGGAGTTGGCTGCTTACCTAGGAATTTCAAAAGGAAAGGACCAGGGCCAGAAGATCTGAGGATTGTAGGGCAGGCACCAAAAGAAGAAAGAAGGTCAGGAAGAGCATAGGCAAGAGAGGGCAAGCAAGTGGGGTCAGAGTCACGGAGGCTGGCAAAGAGAAGTAGGAGACAGCTTGAGTCTGATCCCAGAATGATGGAATCATAGCAAGAAGCCTAGAGACTCTAAGTTGGAGATCTGTCCCTGTGGAACCGGGCTGGAAGACCCTACTCAGCTGGGGTATGAGTCTGGGTAGCTGCAGCAACAGTAACCAGAATGGCCTCACTGACTAGCCCAGGGGACTTGAGACAGGGCATCCTTGAGGGAATGTGAGCCAGGCAGCAAGGTGCTTCCAGATAGGTTCTTGATTTCTAACAGTAATATTTCTAGATGTTTACCTTGTTTTTGTCGAAGACTGTAATATACCCTCATTCCCCCCATCTCCTTTTATAGCTCACTTTTCTATCGAAACTAGTTATTAGACCAAATAAATGAACAGTGAGTTAATGGCTATTCAGAGCCCACTGAATTAAGTACTCTTCACTTGAAATTCCATCTGCCATTAGGTACTCTCAGCTGATGATGGGCCTTTCTGCATATGCATTCCACCGTTGCCCATACCTAATGTAATCACTGAAGAGATGTCCTCATAATGAAGCATGTCACCCACCCCTCCTCCACCCTTCTCATTCCCACTCTCCCTTATCTCTGTTGTCATATCCACTTAAGTCCCATCTCCAGCCTCCTTTTTCACCTTTAATGAGAGCCAGCAGATGGAAAAGCAGCCTGAGACTCTTTACACACTGGGACCCTGAATAGGATTCAGTAATTAGCAACATTCATAAGATGTCATGGGAGCCAGTTTACAAGGCAACCAAACTATCTCCTCAGTGGTTCCAAGGCTCAGAGTGCTGACACCCTTCTAAGGACTTTTGAGAGAACTTAGCATACAAAGTGCTGATGGAGACTTAACATGCACCCCCTACTAGGCTAAGGTACTTTTATAAACCTCACTTCATTTCAACATCACAAAAATCCTAGAAGTGGATTTTTAAAACTTTTTCTTACATAGGTAGGGATACAGAGGCTCAAACAAGTTCGAGTGGCTTGCCCAAGGTCATAAAGCAAGTTGAACTTCAGAAATAGGATTGAAATCCAGTTCTATGGAGCCTCAAAGACCAGGCTCTTTCCACTGCCCCTTGGAGCCCCCAGAAAACACAGTAAATTATCTCATTCATTTGCTCAAAGAAATAAAAGTTCATGGTTACCTTTTAGTTTTATGTTCATGTATGATTCCAAACAAAGGGTCATTTCCTGTATTTGGCTTAAAAAGACATGTGTTAAATTATTTTGATCTTCATGCTCTACTTTTTGTTCTTTTTGTACTTTTCTGGTGCATATTACCTTGTTTTACATGAAGTATTTTGACCAGGAGACTTACTTAAAAACTGGCCAGAAGCAGTATTTTAAAGTAAACACCAGCTCTTTGGATGCCCAGGATTTTTGCTGTATTGAAATGAAATTGGAAGATGAGCTGGTTAGCTGGACCATGTAACTGTTGTGAAATCGTTTTTGTTTTGATTAAAGTTATATTACCCGAGGACTTCTGTCTACAGCTTATGCAATATTAACTGTTCCCGTTTAATCATAGACTCATGAATACAAACTAGAATAGGGACGGTTAAGGTGAGGCAGGAAGCAAGGGACAGACAGATCCTAATGTGAACTGAGTTTGTAGTTTTCCAAATTCATTTTGGAAAACTGGGACTCCCTGGATAGAGACATAGGGGATTTCATAATGCATGCAAATAAGAACTTCAGAGGCTGCTGTCCTCTGTTTTTACAAATTACCAACGATGGGAATTACAAATTTTAAAAAGATTGAAAACTCATTTGGTAGTACAGTATCATAACCTGAGTTTTTATTTTATTAGTAATTCTGCATCAGGGGACTTCTGTGTACCATAAATCAATCATGGGGATAAATGGGGAAGTTTGTTAATGAAAGTACAAACGGAATTAGTTTGGAAGCCGCCATCAGTGTCTGTTGTGGATATTGGTTAACTGGGCCCAGTTATTTAATTTGCAATTAAACTTTTGATTTTTAAGTTTTACTTTGAGAAAGTGTTTGTCAAGGTGGAATATGCCTAGACTAGTGGACTATGATTGCCAGCTTTGTGGGACCGCCCTCAGGATGATTTTATGGGAAAAAATGACCTGTCTTCTCTCACAATCCCTTGGTAATAATATACTCAGAGGCATGCATTGAGCTCCTCTGGATTAACCATGTGTTGATCATTATTCTATTAATGTTTTACGTTAATCTCCATGTTTTCTATTAGTGATGGCTGCTGCTTATGTCTCTCAATGCCACTATCAGGGTGTTTTTGATATCTTGTATTACCCTAATCGCTAAGAAGTATGCTCCAAACTGATTAATTCCAGAATGATTAAAACATCCTATGCAATTCATTTATTGTTGCTGCAGTTAATTGAATATTTGATGATTTAAAGGTACCCTGATTATTTCATAAGATATGTATTTATCACCAGGCAGATAATTTGTGTGTGGTCTCTCTGTGGCTACATGGGGTGGCAGCCTGCACTGTCAGATGCAGAGAGGGTAGGCACTTGTGAGGGTTCTCAGTAAACTCACCACCTGCCTGATGTGCACCTCCCTTCCCTGGCCCTCAGAGGACCACATCCGTGCCCAGCACAAGAGGGTCGTCTGGGGCCAGGAGTGAGAGCACAGCCTCCCCTGTGTGTCGTGCAGCTTGCTTTCTGCTCCAGGAGGAGGGGGCGGAGAGGGGGAATGAGAAAGGACGCTGCAGCTCTGAGTGGCTAACTTGCGCTTTGTGGACTATCTGAATACTCAAGAGTGGATTTAAAGAGAGGAGAAGGTGCCTCGGGAATTAAGCAGCAGCTTGGCAACTCAACGGGCAGCAGTTCTAATCCCAGTGCCACCACTAGCTCTCTTTCTCAGTCTCTGTCTTTCACACCTGTCCGAGTAACTCCTCCAGAATTACTGCGAAGACGTGTGGGTGTGTGTGAGAGAGAAAGAGAAAGAGAGTGCAAGAGAATAGCATTTGGGGCCGAGCCCCAGCCTTAGCTCAGCTTTCTTCCAGTGTGCAGAGTGACCCTGGTGCATCTCCGCAGGGGGCTCAGTGACTGAAGTGGCCTCAGGTGGCCCCATCACTTCTCAGCCATGTCGAATCCTTGGCCTCTCACTCCCATATGGAGCGAGGACTACGGTGGGGACCTCAACGGCTGGGAGCTTCTGTCTGACATGGCAGTGTCGGTGAACCCGGTAGGTACCCTTTCCCTGGCACTTAAATCAGACCTCCTGTTTGGTCTTGTCTGTTTCCCCGTAAATGTTGTCTCCTCAATTTGCATGGAGTCTTGAAGGCAGAAATGATGCTGCCTCCAGTGTCTTTAAATCCTCCCTCTTGGCACCATCCTGAGCACAGTGTGAGCTCAATCAGGATTTGTTGTCTAAAGAAATAAATGGGAGAGCTGATGAATAGGCGGACAGGCGAATGAATGCGATCCTATTACCCTTGTCATGACTACCTTACAATGTATGTCCCAGTGGGTTTCTAATTGTTTGTTTTCCTATCCCATCTAGACATTTAACTCTGAGAGAAAGAACCTGAGACTCCGAGTGATTTGTATTACCAACTCTCCATGCTTTGCACTGTGCTAGGCACGTAGGAAATATTTGCTGGTTAATTAAAAAGCACTTGCAGGAAGGAAAAGCACTTGCGGTTCAAATGTGGTTGTCTTACGGAGAAAACAGCAGTGGGCCCGGGCTAGATGAATTTGCGGAACTAGTAACTTCATGAGAATGCTGGATTTTAGTGTTTTCTAAAGAAAAATATCTAATCACTGAGTGTGAATGCATATTTATTTGACTGCTCTTGCCTTTAGAGTTCTCTGTCTGTCCTGAGTGCTGCCGACTCCAATAGTCAGTCATTATTAGATGTGCTGCAAAGCTCCAGAGTCCACAACTCTTTCTCTTCTGACAGTATTTCCTCCCATAAAGAAGTGGATATTTATATTTCAAAGAGTAGAGATGATATTTTCAGTTGGCAAGAGTGAGTCAAATCTTAGTTTGAAAAGACGAGAAGACAGGACTTAAGAAAAGTAAGGAGAACAACAGGACAAGGGGTAATAACTTAATTCATTGTATTGGGCTTTGCGGATTACAAAGCACATTCACATCACTTATTTCACAGGATGCTCACAGAAACCCTGTGAGATTTAAAAAGGATGGGTATTACTATTATTCTTTCCTTTTCTTTTACATTTGGAAAAACTAGAACTCAGAAAGGTACAGTTATTAAGTCCTGTTCCCAAGTGGTAGGGCCAGGACTCCTTCCCAACCCTTTTGACTCATCAGCAGGTGCTCTTGCTGTGTCTGCATATCAGTGATATATTTTCACTGTGATTTAAAAATTAACACTGATGTGTTTGCGTGGGAAAAGGCGAACAAAGACCTTTTCATGAGACTGGGCCATACATTTTTAGCCTAGGCTGCCCACTCTAATACAATACAACAATGATATTGAAGATTTAAGCCTTTCTTATAATCCTTTGACCTTTGTATTTGGGGAATGTATTTGTTAGAAGTTCAAGAACTCTCTTGGAAAATACAGTTGCTGCAGCACTGAACAATGGAGTGGGATTGTATTTGCAGTTGAGAATTACCAGTTTAGTTGTATAATCATATAAACATGTTAGACCAGCATCTTCCAGTATATATTCTGCAAACATTCATTGTGTGGAATAACAGTAGTTATTAATTGGAAAATAAAACAAGCAAACAAACAATCAAACAACTAAAACTAAAAACCCAAGACTGAAGCCAAGGAAGTTGGGAATGTACTTTATTAAAAATTTTAGACAGGTGTCTCACAGCTTTTTATTTGCATCATGGATCTCCAAAGGGGGATACAATATGGGTTGCAGCATTTCCCATACTTCTTTGAACACAGAACCTTCCATTTTGCATAACTAGTGTCCATGGGATGGTCACCTTTTTGTACTTCCCCAGAGCTTATAGTTGTGCATTAACTATGTGATTCTTCATATTCACCTTCCTATTGAGCCTGTAAACTCCATGAGTGAGGAAACTGTGTCTCCTCTTGCTTCCCATTGTATCTCTGCCTAGCACCAAGTGGCACAGCCTTTGGCTCTCCAAAATTATTTGTTGAATGAATGAATGAATTGTGCTACACCAAATCACCAGTGGTTCTCTATATGAAACCTGTATTTTAGATTCTTTACAAGGTATGCCCAGCCAACTTAAGTCTTTTCTTCTACTGTTTCTTCTACCTAGTATTAGAGTATTATTGTTATCGGAAGGATGACTGTATAAATTTGTCATCCAAACTGGAGGACATTTTTGAGAGGGAAAGGGAATACTATCAATAATTACACAGATAAGAAGTGTAACCTGGGGCTATACTGGGCCATCTAGAATTGATAGCCCTTCATTATTGGTGACTGTCTCAGGCTGTCTCCCCTATTTGGGATTTTGGGCCTCTTGGAGCAGGGACTTTTCCATGTAGAAGGTCTTCAATAAATACTGGTTGTAATTAATGCATGTACAGAAGTGACCATAATGCTGTTTGAAGATTTGCTGTATTGTTTAACTTGTAGTTTTTACAGGTGAGGAAATCTAGTGCCGTATTCTGTTCTTCATTTACCCAAGTATAGTTGAGTCCATACTTAAGTCTGTTGGGGAGTTAATAATCGTCCTTGCAAGAGGCCTGGGCAATGTCGATGTAACGGCAGTGCTCTCTTAACAGGATTGGGCTTTCATCTTTCAAGGCAGTGAATGAGAGACCCACTGTTCTTACCAGAGCAGGCAGGAAGCAGATGTGATCGGATTGCAATCCTGGAGAGGGTGAAGGTGTGAAGGGGAGTTAGGAATGTTTGGGGGATGCCTAAAACCTGCACAGATAATGTAGTGATCAGCAGAGATTTTTCTAGATGGTTGCCTGACTCTCAAGTTCCTGATCATGCACTGTCTTACAGCTGGTTGCTTATTTTGTTATCTCGCTTCTTGCTTTCACTGACTATAAAGCACCTGCAGGAAAGGGCTATGGGCCTGACATGGAGTAAACCCTCAGTACATTTCTGCTAGTGACTTGAATCTTGATTCATTAGGAAGGTGTCACACTGGGAAAAATGCATCATGGGATTCACTGAGTATACTTCTGAGACTTTTTCTAACTGCCAAGGCAAGCATGCAATTTACACAGGCCGTTATCCTTAGTGTTTTGTAGGTGCCTAGTTGGACTCCCAAGTTCAAAAAGAACTCAATTTAATCACAAAAGTGTTTCGTATAGGCCTTATATTTTTAATGAATAATATACAAAAGTATGTCAGAGGGTCAAAGATGCCTTAAAGATCACGAGATCAAGCTCTCTTTGGATAGATGAGCAAAGAGAAGCCCCAGGGGATGGGGGATGGGTCAGTGCCTGAAAGCAAATCAGTGACAGAACAAGGAGTCACTTTATTTCTGCACCATGCACTGCGATCTTACCGCTTCATTAAAGTAAAACAAAATTAGTCATTTGCAGATATTCTTTTGTATTTAATAGGAAAAAAATGATAGCTAGATTTTCTTGCTTTACAGTTTGTCCTACAGAGTAAACTATTATACAAGAAGAAGAAGTAGATTGTGCCTAATGTTTTCTGTTTATTTTGTTTCAGGTAAGCCTTCCCAGTGATCCAAGCTGTGTTGAAGAAATCTTGCGGGTGAGTTTAAACCTTTATTTTTGTGCCTTTTAATAATGAAGCAATCTATCTGCTTAAGCTGTTTAAAGTAATTACTGTTCTGTTTCAAGGAGTTTCATGATGGGGAATCCTGATATTCTACTTCAAGACCCTTCTGCTTATTCCAGTGGCCTCATTTCTTGCCTGTCTTCTTTCCATTTTGTAATCAAGCTAGTCTTCTAATATCACTAAGCTTCTGCCCTATCCATTCCTACATCCTTCTCAGACAGAGACTTACCACCTTCTTTAGGAAACGTTCCCTGTTCAAGCACCATACCCTAAACCTTTGCCTTTTACCTTTCTGGGATCTCAGCTCAATCTCACTGCTGCCGCCCACTATGTGGAACATGGTTACCGAGATTGATTGTGGCCTATAATAAGGGGAAGAGATGTGGGAATGGGAGAGGAGGAGAAGATGAGAGACTTGAAAATGATGGCATGTTGTGGAAAGTGTTACTTATGGAAGTGAGTGTATGTGTGTGAATGCCTTGAGGGCAGAACAAAGTTGAAAGAATGGCTATAATCTCTTCTGAAGTAAACAATCAAACCAAAAGAAGAAACCAAAGTTAAGCAAGAAAAACATATCTGTCTGCTCTCTCTGGCCATTGGCATCATAAGGCAGTATGGAATCTCAAGAATAGGAGTCATGGTAATGAGCTCCTGAGCTCCTGTCCTGGCTCTACCATTTGTCACTTCTGTGACCTTGGACAGATGACTTTATCTCTCTGAATCTCCTTTCCTCGTCTGTAAAAGAGGACAATAATACCTGCCCTAACTCCCTTATAGGCTACCAAGTGGTATATAAATGCTGGCTATTGTGATAAATGATGACCAGTGTAGTCATGTAAAAACCATGAAGGCTTTCTATCTGGGAAAGAAAATAATCTATGTGCCAGTGAAAATTTGGCACCCCCTTTCCTCAGTTACCAAAGTCACTCCAACTCCCTCCTGATCCCCCTCTCCCAGTAAGTGCCTTCTCAGCAGCCCAGTGTTTGAAGCAAGCCCTGAGCAAATGCAGCCAAAGGAATAGTCAAGAGCCAAAAGCTGTTTACCATTGAAATGGCTTGCCACCCGGAGTATACCTGATGTACACATTCGTGCACCTGTTTCAGCCCAAGAACATTGTTCTTGACTATTAAAGAGATGAGCCAGTCATATCACTTTGATCAACGATGAGACTATATGGATTAGGGCAGGGGTTCCCAATCCCAAGTCAATGGACTGGTACCATGTGTTCCTCGTGAGAATGTAATGCCTTGATGATCTCAGGTGGAACAGTTTCATCCAAAACCAACTCCCCACCCCTACTCCCACTCCCTACCCCCTCATCTGCGGAAAAATTGTCTTCCATGAAACCAGTGCCTGGTGTTAAAAAGGTTGGGGACTGCTAGATTAGGACTATGCTGACTACTTTGGTAAGATAAGAACCCAGCAACCCCTCAGTCATCTGTCTCAGGGGCCCGACGTTTTGGGTGGAGACGAGGCAGCTGTTATGAGCACCACAAAAGGAATGCACACTGGGAACTCAGGCCTTTCCCATTGGGAAAATACATTCAGTCCTTGCTCACTTGTCAACAGCCTTCCTTAACAGAAGGTAATAACATTGAAAGAAATGTCTTACTCTGCTCTAGATAGTAACCTTGTTATTCCTTTCTTCTCCGAGTCACAAGCATAAATAAACTCAGTGGCCTTTTTATAAACTCCCAAAGGAATGCCAGGCATATCTCAAAATCTCACTAATTTGTCACAATCGAAATTACATACTTAAAAGCAACCCAGCCCTGGTGCCTAGGTGGTTATGTGACTAAATGCAGGAAGGAGGGTGAACACCTGGCTGAGGCTGGCGACACCAGTCTCCTAAAGGAGCCACTTAGAGAAACAACAGAATTTCACTTACACATGGAAAGAAAAGAAGCAGGTTGCCTTAATAGGCTCACAAAAGATAACATGCTTTGAGAAAGTAACAAAAGTCCTTCTGTTATTCTTGAAAGAGAATCTAGAGAAATGTCTCTTTTTTTTGAAGGGCTATAGATTGTATAGAATTCTTTTTTTTTTTTTCCAACAACGCTGTTAATGAGTGGGCCTTCCTTTATTAAAGAAAGAATGTTTCATTCCCCATGCTTCGAATAAAAATAAGCTTTCTGAAATTTGCGTCCCCAATTTTATGACTAATTGTTAAATTTTTATAGACCACCTTGCATGTCACAATAGAGCATGCTTGTTGGGCTTTTTGTCTTAATTACACATTCATGTTCCTTTTGGTTTGAGGGCCTTAGAGGCCTGTGACGGGTTCCGCAGTAAATTTGTCACCTCATTCCCCATAAACCCCTTTCTTAGGGAAAAGTACATTTTATCTTTCTCCCTACCTCTCCTGGCCATGCTCGCTGCTTTTCAAACTAAGCAGAGGCCCAAACAATGTCATCTCTCCTCACTGAGGGGAGCTATGCAGAGGAAGGAGCACTAGCCCCGGAGTGGAGGAGCTGGCTTCCAGTTGCTCATGAGATTCCCTTATTTCCTAGCTGTGTTGCTTTTCAGTTTCTTCATCTAGAAGCATGCGCTAGTTATTACCCCGCCCATCTCTCTACCCACCTCCAATGAAGGAATATTTAAATTATACACATTGTTTGCATCTGCACCATGAAAATCTGAGTCCATTTGCTCTCCCAACTTTCCCACCTCCCTGATCCCCCTTTTTTCCCTCCACAGCCTGGCAAGCAAACACATACAAACCCACTTCATCTCACATGGGGACAGACTTCTTTTATTAACCAAATGCAACACAACCAGCCTTTCCCCACTCTCAGCCCCTCAATCCTCCAGGCTATGGAAATACTTTTGCCTTATGTGTTTTGTTATGGCCCCCTTTCTCAAAATGCTGTCCAAATTCAAGCCAGTTGGTTTCTCTTGAAAGCCCCTCTCACCATTCATCTGGCAATGTTCTCAGCTCCCCTTCAAACCAGCAGGTCCACTTTTCTTTCTTTGCCCCCCTGGGCAAAGTGCTATAATATGCTGGAGCCCACCTTGTCTGGTCTTCCAGCAATTTTCTTCTTGCCCTCATGCTCTCACAGATGCAATCAGATTATAACAGGCTAACTTGACCTGATGTGTCAACCTTATTTTCCTATAGCAGGTGACAGATTGTCAAAGCACTTGAACCTCGTTGTCTTATTTGGTCATAAGGAGTAAGGTAGTTTCTTATTATTTCATGAAATCGAAGTCCAGAGAGGTTAAATGACCTGCAGTCCAGGGTGGGGCTGGTATGTGGCAGAAGTAAAATGGTATCTGGCCTTTGTTTTCTAAATCTAGTGATCTTTGCACTACACCCAACTCTCAATCACCCTCTCACAAATCTAGAGTGAGAATCTCTGGATGTTAAACAAACTTGCTTCAGACAGTAGCTGACATTTCCAGCAACTTTAAGAATACCAGCAAACCAACATAATTTGAACAGATCTTAGAAATTAATTCTTCTTTTTTGTCATTCTTTAATATTTTGAATCTCATTTCAAATAATAATAAAACAATAGCAAATTTTCTTCTAATAATAAAACAACTGATAATAGTAATGTGTTGTCTATTGCATGTCAGGCACAGTTCATAAGCACATTATGTCTTTGAACCTTTACAATAACCCTCAAAAATTGTATTATTAGTCATGCTTTACAGAATGGTAAAGAGTGAAAGTCAGAGAGGTGAAGTAATTTGCCTCAAGTCACAGTTCTCCAAGTCTCTGACAAGAGTCATACTATCCGTTCTTCTGGTCCTGTTGGCTTATCTGAATTCATTCTTATTTAACAGGCTCCAGTCTGCTTTATGATTAACATTATAGTGGATTCAACCACCAATTCATTTCAGCTTCTGTTGTTTCCTCAATTTGTACAAATTCAGTTATGCCAGAATAATTTAAGTAGTTTTTTGAACAAACTAGAATTCACTGGCCTACAACACCTTTTCACCAAACTGACCTTCTCCCACAAAATGAGCTGTACGAATTCAGGTGTCTTTGCTCCTTTTCAGGCATATTATCGCTTATTGTGAATTTTACAAATCAGAAACTTAAAGGCAGCAATCTGTGCAATGCATCCCAGCTTTTACACTTGCTTCCGTCAGCATGCTGTTTACTCTTTAGAGTCAAGCTACCCTCACGTGCAAACGGAAATGAAAAATAATAACAGCTCTGGCCACAGTGATGGCATTTTGCAGTTACAATTCATCAATCATCTGAGGGATTCCTAGGCAGCTCATCTGTAATAATATGGGTACCAGCAGCAGCTTCTTTTCTGAGCTCTACGGGGTTTTATGGATCCTAGAGTAATCATTTCTGGAAGAGTTAAGACAAGGAGAGCAGCATGCTCTAAATGCTACTAGCTAAGGATGGATGCTCAATGATTATTTGTTCTACAGTAGTATGATTTATTTGTTCATAGAAAGAATTTACTTTAAAAAATCAAGAAACTATGAAATCCTTTCTGGAATCAAAAATGCAGATAGAGCATTTCTTTTAGATTTGATGCTAAACAGATTGTCTCTCCTAGCAAAGCACCTTCTGTGGTTGATAATTTCATAGGCAAACATCTGTAAGGGTAATTCAGTGTTTATGAGGGATGCTGAATTTGCTAGCTAGGATTTAGGGAACTTGATTTGATAAACTGTATCTTCTTACAGATTTCTTCCTGCCATATGGATCAGGTTGGTAAACACCTACTTGGCCACCTCTTTTTGATTACAGTATGATCTGTGTTTACAGCATTCTAAATTATGGCAATTCTACTTATTAGGCTTGTGTTTTAGTTAACAGTTTTAGCATGGAAAAAAATTACCAAATATTTACAGGGCAGTGCTTGTTATTTTATTTTTATTTTTTAACAGGGAAATAAATGAAAAAGCCCATCTTGCAAGTAAGAAAAAAAATGGATCAGGGAACAAAATTGGTCGGACAATTATGTCTGAAAGGAAATTTGATTATATTATCATAACTATGCAGCATAATCAAGCACCTTTCAGTAGAATTTCTTTTATAAATTTAACCAATAATTAGGCAATTGATTTTATATCCTGTCAAATTAATGTATAAATAATGTTCAACTTGGATTCATGCAAACGATTTTCTATATAGCTGTCTTAAATAGGAATCCTTCTGGAATGTTTCAGAAAGCATGTATCTTATTTGGATGTGGACTTTTAAAATTATAGTTTCTTGAAATAGTAATATAGTGTTCCGCCCAAGAAAGACAATTCCTAAATATAATTTAGACTATAATTAATGTTAACATTGATGGAGTCAAATGAATGAACTAACTAATGATAGTGCCCTTTGCTAATCTGATGACTAGTTCTTACCTAATGGCACTGGGAAATATGTAAATTTGTCAGCAGGTGAAAATGCCCTTGACTGGGTAAATTATGTGCAGTATTCCCTTTTCTGAAGCTAATTCAAAGCACTAATGGACTTAATACGTAGCATGCATATGTGAGGTGAGCTATTCATGGAACCAAATTAGCTCATAAGAGATATTATCCATTATATGCCTCCTAGTAATCATTTCCTCTTTTCTCAAACACAAACCAACCCAGAAGAAAGATGCTAAATTTAATTATAACAACTTTATGTGAACAATGCAGGTAAGCCATCCAGTGTGCTTCCAAATGCACTTAGAACCTGTCAAGCAGTTTAAATATTTTTATATGGAATCTAGGGGTTTGCAGCTAATATATGAGGTGAATTTTAAATGATTTTACAGATGTCATTGGGAAAGTGAGTAATATGAGTAATGAGGTGACTGGGCCAGTGAATCATGGGAACCTGTCAAACATGGGGAGATGTCAGGGAAGAGATGATATCAAATAGAAGTAACTTAGCAACCCAGCATTTAGCTGTCCAGAGAATGAGCAAGAGTAGCCCCTTTAAAATAGCTGAGTAAATTTATCAGTTCCTGTATATCTTAGGTATGCTATAAAAATAAGTCTGTTCTCTGTCAACCTGTTTCTTTTTGTGAATATGGTGATTTGTGATTTTCTATTGAATTGGATGAAAGCCGGTGAGAATTTAGGCCATGTGTAGAATTTACACCTGTTTTCTGTATCTTGGGTGTAAGGAGAGAGTAATGAAACAACACATTGTTTTGCCAAAAAGCATTCTAAGCTTATCTGAAAGAAGTAACAGCTTCCAACTGTTGTCTAAGAACCAGCATTTTTGTACTAGCTTTGCTAGTGGGATTGGGCTGGGGAAAGGAGAAGTAATGCAAGGAAGTTAACCATTCCACTTGCATCTGTGTAAAGGTGAAACTCGTGTCTCTGCAAAACACATTGAGGAAGTAGCCTCTTGGAATCCATTTGGTAGGCATCTCCCAGTTTTGAAATGAAAGAAAGAAGGAAAGAATAAAACAAGGCTTGTCCCTTCTCTCGTTTGTCATTAGAAGCATTCAGGAGAATGAGAAAAATAAACTGAAACTCCATGATTGATGTAACCAAAGGGTATCCATAAGCCTGACTCACAATTTATTTTGTGAAGGTCAAACAGGGAAGAAGCCAATAAGTGATTCCCATGGTCTTGGATTTGTGGCATAGTAGATGTAAGAAACACTGATTTTCAGAATAAGTGGAACATGGTGAAAAGCAATAACAGTATTAGAATAATGAGAATGGGCATTAAAGTTGGAGATGGGAGCTTCCATGGACCAAGTTTGGGACACAGTCTCGAGAAGTAGGGAAGGCAGGACTGAATGAGAAATTACATAAATGATCCATATTTGTGGAAGGCACTTTGTTAGTGAGGCAAGGTGGATGAATGAGATGCTGCTTTGCAAGTAGCCTGTAGGGCTGATGTTTATTGATAACAGAGAAGTAAAGCCTGAAAGCATTTGGGCACACAGCCTTGTATTCCGAAGAGAATTCCTGCTAGTCTGGAATTCAGCCACAGCCCTGACTGGTCCTGGAAGAACTCTTGACATGAAAAAAAAAATAGTAATAAAAAAGAATCACCACAAGATCTATGCAAAAAAAAAAAAATACACAAAAAAGCATGTGAGAAAAGTGTACCAGAAAAACAATATTTTTATGGAAAAATTAAAGCTGTGACCAACATAGTGGCATGAATTTGTTAAAACCATGAAGCAATTTTATCTGAAAAGACAAGAACAAAATCAGTGATACAGGAACTTAAAGATGCTATTTAAAAAATAGATAAATCAGGAGGTGTGAATTAATGAATTATGAACAGAAAATCATTATAATTAATTAATTCAAGATCCTTTTCCCAAATAAAACAATAATACAATAAAATAGATACTTGGTTACTTAACGCCATCAAGAAAAAAGGGAAAACACTAATACATAAAACAAGAACTAATAAACAGAAATAACCTCAGATACAGAGAAAACTAAGAGAATAATGAGTAGCAATTTTCTCAGCTCTGTACAAATAAATATAAACCGGTGGATGAAATGGATGGTTTTTCTAGTGAAATGTAATTGACAGAGATTAACTCCAGAAAACACAGAAAATCTAAACAGGCTTATAGCCATCAATGAAATGAAGACTCTCCCCACCCCTTAACAAAAGCGTCACTCCCAGATGGGATTTCGTGAGGAAATTAAACTAAACTTTCACAAAATATGACAGTATAACTTTTACACGACATAGAACAAAAAGAAAAATTTGCAAAGTACTTTTTAGAAAAGCCAATCTAGCTTTTATTTTGATACTAAAATCTGACAAAAATAGAACACAAAAAAGAAAATTGCATAATAGTATCATTTATGATTATTGTTGCAAAGCTCCTTAATGAAATACTAACAAACAGAATCAGACAGCACTTTAAAGGATATACAATATCACCAAGTGGGTTTTATTCCAGGAGTGTAAAACTGGTTCAGTGTTAAGAAATCCATTTGTATAATGCCTTTTACAAAGAGAATAAAAAAAGAAAAATTACACAGTCATCTTCATTTAGATGATAAAAGACACTTGACAAAACTGAATACACATTCTTGATAAAATAGAAATAAGTGGAAACATATTTAATGTGATAAAATATATCCACCTTAACCCAAAGGCTAGTATCACATTTCATGGAGAAACTCTCAAAGCATTCTCATTATAGTCAAGAAAAAGACTAGATGTTCTTTATACCACTATCATTTTATGTTTTTCTGGAGGTTAGCCAAGACAATTAAATATGTAAAGAATAAGAGGCATTAAAGTGAGAGATAATGCTTAAAATGGTTACTATTTGTACATTATACATATATTGTTTTCCTGGAAACCAGAAACAAATTAACTGAAAACACTATTATGAATAATACACAAATTCAGCCAAGTTGCTCTGTGCAAAATAAATGTATGGCAAAAAATAGTCTTTACATATAAAGCAAGCAACTATAAGATGTAATGGGCAAAAAAATCCTTTTACACCTTATGAATTGATGTAACAAGAATTGTGTCAGAGCTGTATAAACAAACTAAGTCACTATGAGAGATGCCAAAGAATACTTCAATAAAAAGGCATACAATTCCTGAAAAGGAAGACAATGTCACAGACGTTTGTGTTCTCCCTAAGTTAATCTTGGATCCTTACCTCACGCCATACAAAAACATTACTTCTAGATGTATTAAAGATTAAAAACAAAAACATAAAATATTAGAAGTATATATGGAAGATTTTAATTTATTTTTAATTTTCCGATCAAGTCTCATAATTAGATGGCAGGGATAAGAAGCAGTCAGGGGAAAGTTCAGAGGTTAGAGGAGACTGGAGAATGAAAGAGTAATTGAAAGAGAGAGAAGTCTCTCACTCTAAGGGAATATAGTAAGATTATGAGGCAACATCAAGGCTCCAGGTGATATTGAAGATATTATATTTATACAGGTTTCAATCTGTAGATTATATAATTTCCTCCAGCAGTGCTTATTTCATTACCCAGAGACCACAGGCTAATGGGTCGATGACAGCCTGGAGGCCTTAGAGAGGTTGAAAATTGCCCCGAATCATATATTCATATGGTTATGAAGCAGCTAACACAGAATTGGAACTCATGTTGGCCTGAACCCAAAGTACATACTAATAGTAGTACCACTTACCTAGCATTTTTTTGTACCTGGCACTGTTAGAAGAATTTCACATATAGTAACTCATATAATCACTATATCAATGCCGAGAAGCAAGTACTATTATCATCCCCTTGTTAGATAATGATGTGGAAGTACTCTGAGCTTAAGTGACTTTCTAAGTTTGACAGCTAACCAGTGGCAGAGCCAAAATTTCAAACCAAGCAGTTTTTGGTGATTATGAATAATGTGGGTATTAATAATTATATACAGATTTTTGCATGAACACATGTTTTCATTTATCTTTGGAATATACCTAGGAGTGGGATCGCAGAGTCATATGCTTAGAGTATGTTTAAATTTATAAAAACCATACTAAATTGCTTTTAGAGTGGCTGTACCATTTTGCACTTACACCAGCCAAGTATGAAAGACCACTTACTCAGCATGTACTTATTTCCCATTTGTATATCTTTTTTGATGAAGTGTCTGTTCAAATCATTTACTCATTTACTAAATCAGGTTGTCTATTACCTTATAAATGAATCTTGAGAGCTTTTATTGTTTCTGGACATAAGTCATTTGTCAGATATGTGATTTGCAAATATTTTCTCTCGGGCTGTGGCTTGTCTTTTCATTCTCTTGGTGATATCCTTCTAAGAGAAAAATTTCTTAATTTTGATAAAATCCAATTTATCTTTGTTTCATGTTATGGATTATTATTTTGCTGTCAAGTCGAAGAACTTTTGGGTTAATTCAAGGTCAAAAAAATTCTCCCATGTTTTATTCTAAGAGTTTTATTTAAGTCTTCATTTTGGATTAATTTTTATGTGTGATGTGAGGTATAGGTTGAGATTTACATTATGTTCCAGCACGATTTATTGAAAAGATTGTATTTAATCTTTCTCCATTGAATTGCTTTTGCATTTTTGTAAAAAGTCAATTGACCATATTTGTGTGGGTCTACTTCTTGACTCTCCAGTCTCTTCTACTTGTCTGTGTCCTTGACCTTTCACTAATACCATAATGTCTTAATTTCTGTAGATATTGTAAGTCTGAAAATAGCATAATGTGAATCTTCCAACTTTGTTCTTTTCCTAAAATGGTTTAGCTATCCTAGTTCCTTTTCCTTTCCATATGAATTTTAGATATATTATTTATATTTACAAAGAATTCTGCTTAAATGTTGGCTAGTATTGCATTACATCTATAAATCAATTTTGAGGGAATTAACACCTTTACTGTGTGCATCTTTCATCTCATGGATGTGGTCAATGTGCCTCTCCATTTATTTGGGTTGGCTACTCTATTTTTAGAGGGACACTGGTAATTTATAATCCCACTTTAGAAAATTCATGCTATGAGAAAAATCCAAGCTCCTAGAAAAACTATGTGAACAAAATTATTCATTACACAATTCTTTGTAATAGCAAAAAATGCTACTATATATTTAACAGTGGGAGAATAGTTAAGCAAACTCAGATTTATACATTCAGAATCATAACCAACCATTAAAAAGATGGCTTTGCCGGTGATGTAACAACATGAGGAAAAATTATGAGATAATGTTTACTGAAATAAGCAGAATATAACATTTTATGTACTTAAGTATTATATCTCTATAAAAAATGACTAAAAAGAAACTGAAGGAAAATATTTTGAAATGATAGTTCTTATTTTGTTAGAGTTAGAATTATGGGTGAGTTTCTTCTTTTTTATATTTTCTCAATTTCTATAATTTATATTACTTTCATAAAAATATTTAAGAGGCAATTTACTCATGTAACAAACATGCATGTTTACCCCCTGAACTTAAATAAAAATGAAAAAACAATTTAAGAGTTATATTGCTGAACTAAAATGCACTTAGCAAAGAGTAACCAGGATAGTGGGTAGTTTCCAAACTGGAACGTCTAAAGAGATAGACTAGATTAAACAGCAGAAAATTGAACTAGAAGAGGGAGCAGGCTGTGGCTGCCTGAGAGACTACCCTGTGGAAGCAAGAGACTCAGAGGCTGCATTTGGGATAGAAGGCCTCAAATGGTGGAATCCAACTTTTGAGGGGCACTTATAGAGGGATAAGTATTAGGGCAATACAAGCAAGAATGTTCTGGGGGGTGGGGCATCATGGTTAAGACAGTAGAGCTCAGCTCTTCTCCCTTGCTGAATGTTTTTGGGTAAATTAACCTTTTCGTACCTCATTTACAAAAGTGAGATAATATGCCCTAATTCTCAGAATTATAGGGACAATTAAATGAGATGATGCATATGAAACCTCTGGAATAGTGCTTGGAGCACTCAATTAGATCCTTCCTTTCTCCCCTGTTCTAATTGGTAGATCTGTCCAAGGGTAGAAGGAGGTGAGGTCTTTGTCACTGAAAGTGTTCAATAGAGGCACTGTGCTCCCCCAGTACCTAGAGGATAAACTTCCAAACCCAGATCTTGGCAGTCAAAGTCCTTCCTTTATGTCACCACTCATGCCTACCTCACATATTGCCAATTCTCCCAACTGTGTGCCCTTTTCCACATCCACTGCAGACTTCTCCCCCTTTATCAAATGTGCCATCTCCTCCTCTGCCTCTGTGTGCTGCCCCCTCCCTCTGCCTGTGATCTCATCCACTCCTGTCTTTGTCTGGTGACCTCCTATCTACACCATGTAAGATCCACCACAGAGATCACAGATATTAATGAATTAATTTCTCTATCTGTCTTCTAGGTCCCCATAGCAATTTTTATATATCTACACTTGGCCTTTGTATGTGTGTATGTTGGGGAGTTGCCTCTTATGGTAGAATGTGAGGTCCATTAGGTCATAGTCTGTGTGGAAATCCTTATTCTGTCTCTTTGGCCAATTCCAGAAGGCCCCCCCACATACATGCACACAAAGGTGACAAGTGTAGGTGCATAAAAAGTGCATAGATTAGATGTAATGTGTTTATTAAATGACTTAAATTTTTAGAGGAATGGTTAGAGAAAATGACCTCATAGTGTTATTTCCACCCAAGGTACAATAATGATTTGATTTTCCATGAAAATATTACAAGTTAATAAGCAGATAATAGTGCTTATTGAGTAGAATAATTATACAAATATTAGGCATTTTAATGACTCCATTTCTTATTTCTCCAAATGATATATTATCACCATTTGTGTGCTTTTTCCATTGCCAATTTCTTTTTAAGAAGGGCAAAATGCCGCATGCAGCTCCAATCGTTTAGATGTGTCTGGATTCTTGGAAACTTGACTACCCTATGTTCTCCTAGAAATGGACCGTGAGAGCTTGCTTGGAGGTTGTAGCAGGGAAGCACAGCTGCTCCTATACCTTTGACCTAAGAAGGATTCAACTCTATAGATAAGCAGTGGTAAGAGCGAGAAATGACACCCATCTAGCCAGCCAGATCAGTTGAATCAAACCTGACGTTCAGTGGGGTAACAGATGTCGCAGCCAGATAGTCATCACATCCTCAATTGCAAATTATTATTTAATACCATTGTTATAGTCCATTTTTAATATTGTTCCTCAAAATACAATAATGCTAGCATTATCAGTGTAAACAAGGTACTGAATAAAGACAGGGCCCCATATGCTACTACAATGGGAGAGATTTTCAAATCTCTCAAATAATGTTTTGGCACTATTCACTGTGCTTATTATCACTGTGATCACAAGAAAAGAGCTTCCACAAGATGTGTTTTCTTCCCTAAAGTGATTCCTCCAGGGTGTGTGTGTGTGTGTGTGTGTGTGTGTGTGTGTGGCTGATAGCCTGTAAGTTGCTTCCATTAAACACTCCATTCCCCAAAGCCTTTCATTATTGGAATGAACACACTAACACGAACAGACTCATCCTGCTCTTTTCCTGGCAACATGTTAACTGGAAATTGCAGAATCATAAAATAAATAACTAAGGCCAATCTAAAACCAAGGTGTAAAAACAGCATCCTGGCTGTCTGGGCCTCTGATTATTTTCTATTGAACTCCCTTACTACTTCTCAGGACCTGTTGCGTTCAGAGGATACCCGAAAAGCTAGTCTATCCTCCAACTTTGCAGCCTCCTCACTGCTCTTTAATCCAGGAGCTCCCAGCACATCCTCACACCCCTAGTGCTTTTGATGCAAAAGTGAATAGCAGGTCTGACACCTGGAGAATCCACCCTGATGTTAGAGCCTGGTCTGCTCCTGTCCTGTGTTACAGAGTGGAGACCATGCAGCATCGGCCTTTGAAAGAACTGGGATTAAGATGAAAACAATGTGCCAGTGACACTGGACCAGACATCAAGAGACCTCAGAGCTAGTTCTGACCCTGCCACTACCTTATTCTGTGACCCTTGGCTAGTCTCTTAACCATTGTGTGCTTCAGGTTCTCCATCTGTAAAGTGTTGAATTTTTTGCACTCTCCAGTACAGAAACACCAACCACATGTGGCTGGCTATTTGAATTTAAATTAATTAAATTTTAACAAAATAAAAGTTCAGTTCCTCATCCATTTCAAGTTCTCATTAGTTACATGTGGCCAGTGTTTGCCATATTAGACAACACAAAACTCAGTATTTCCATCACTGTAGAAAGATACAGTGAACAGAACTGCCCCAGATATCTCTTCAGATTTGCTCTAGGTTTTTATTCTGAGTTTTATCATAAAATAAAATCAAATATTGTTTTACCTTCTAGACTGTGTATTCTAGACTGTGTTTAGAGTATATCTGATTAATTTATTTCCTCCTGAGTCTTATATACAATACATTGATCAAATTCAACTCTGGTTCTGAGCAGTGCCCCTACTATATAAGACAGAACAAAAAATAAGTCTGAGTAGGTAGAAAAAGATACAGCAAGTATTCCCACAAAAGAGAGAAGACCAGAGAAGTTTCAGGCATACGCCTGGTTTGTTGGGCAATGCAGGGACCCATGTACTCCTAACTCAGGCCTCAGACAAAGTGTCTTTCCCTATGTTCAATAACATTAATAATGCTTTCATCCCTAGGCTCTGGAAATAAGAGGGTACATCAGACCGTTGAATGGCCCTTTTAGGAGAGAAATGGTACTATAAAAACCCAGGAATTGATTCATATTTGCTTCCTCTCTCTCTCTCTCTCTCTCTCTTCCTCTCTCACTCTCTCTTCCCTGCACTCTTCAGCTTTTCCATCTCTTTAGACATCCACCTAAGGTGCATCATTAAAGGAAGTACCACAGCAGCACTTGGACAGCTCCAGTGGCTTTAATTGCCCCATTTCTTCATTAAGGGGAGTTGCTTACCTACACCTTGCACAGGGGCTTGAGATCTGGATTATTAACGTTAAAATGGACTGAGTCCTGAGAAAAGCCATTCATTGTACAAACTTTCAGTTATGTAGGGTAAATAAATTCTGAAGATGTACTGTATTATATACTCAAAATTTACTAAAAGAGTGGACCTTAAATATTCTCACAACATTTAAACAACAAATAAAGGTAGCTATGTGAGTTGGTGGACATATTAATTAGCTTGATTATGGCAATCATTTTACAATGTATACATACATCAGAAACTCACATTGTATACCATAAATATATATTAATAATTTATTTTGTCAGTTATACCTCCATAAAGTTCGAGAATAAAAAGCCATTACTTGGAATGCATTCTGGTGACAAGGGAAATTTAATAAATTCGTGCCTCTCCTTAGGGATCGGCTTATTTTTACTGACTTGCCATTTGGATTGTGTGACCCTCACACTTGCCATTGGGTTGCGTGTGGCATGAGTAAGGGCAGTGGTTTCAAAACAATTATAAGTTGGGTTCTGTGGTTCATGCCTGTAATCCCAGCACTTTGGGAGGCTGAGGTGAGAGGACTGCTTGAGACCAGGAGTTCAAGACCAGCCTGGGGCAACAAAAGGAGACCCACATGTCTATAAAAATAAGTTAATTGGCTGGGTGTGGTGGTGCACACCTGTAGTCTCAGCTACTCAGGGAGGCTGAGGTAGGAGGATTGCTTGAGCCCAGGAGTTGGAGGCTGCAGTGAGCCACGATCACACCATTGCACACTACTCACTCTGAGGTGACAGACAGAGTGAGACCTCATCTCTAAAACCACACACACACACATACACACACACACACAAAATGATGATAATGTACTTCTTATAACCACCAAATTATAATGGACTTCCAGAAAGGTGAGGGAGCTTTGTTCCTGCTACATGATTGGAGTTTTCCCTTTTGGAAAACCTGTCCTATGGAGTATGGTGGTGCCCAAAGCCTAGAGCTCAAAGCCAGACACCTGGGCAGAGGTCCTTGAGCTGCATGACATTGTCTCCAAAACTCAGTTATCTGACCTATGAAATGAGAACAAGAAAAACTACTTCTCTGTATTATTGAGTGGATTAAATATGGTAACATAAATGAAACAGTGAATTCTAACCCCCAAATACATACAAGCTCCTATTGGATTGTTATTGTGACTCTTCTTGTTATTCAGAAATTCCAAATATTTTCAAAGGGTCACTTTGAATTTCATATTTCGACCCTTCACAGACTCTCTATCTGATTTGGCCAAGGAGTTTAGATTGCCCCTGTGATTTTCTTGAATATTAAATATGTAAGCTCCTTTCATGTCTTTAATAGAGTAGTTTTTTTTTTTCATTTTTGACCACTCCATAGTTCATAAGGCACATTGCAGCTTTTCAAATTGTCAAATTTGTTTAATTAGCCCAGAGACCCTGCCCGGTTGGTTTTTGTCAGCTGTATAGCAGTCTCTGTGGGTGGCTTGCAAATCTCTGACCAGGGTTTTTTTTTTTTTTAAATCATTTTGCACATTTCTTTCCTTCTTTAATACAAATCAAGGAGAGACTAGATGAGCAGGAGGCAGTGGTGGGGGTGGGAGTAGGAAGGCAACGTGCTGTGGCACTGGTTGCCAACTGGCTTTTGGACAAGAGTTACAAATTGATTACAAGTAACAGTTGGAATCCCAGGCCTGAGAGATCCAGGTTTGTGAGTGTGTTGCGGGTGGGGTAGAGTTCTCCTTGAGCTATTTATTTACTTCAAGACCAATGTTTCATTTGCACACTGAAACCTTCCTAGGTAAGGGTTTGACATTGTTCCCTTTGAATCTTCTATTTGGTGCTTTGCTAAATTTATAGCCAGGAGTAAACGTATTGATCTGGTTACCCAAAAAGATGTTTTAGGCCAAAAAAAAGGTAGAGGTTTAAAGAGGATTTAGAGACATCCACTGGCAGTGGATTCTCAGAGGGTTATTAGGGAAGCTTGCAAGGGGCGGGGGGTGGGGGTAATTGGAATGCACCCCTTCCTTATGGTGAGTAAATGTTTTGAAGTACAAATGTGGATGCCCTAAAAGATGTCAATGGGAAACTATCAATAAAAGAAACTTTTATAATAGTCTTCTTGTGTGATTGTTACCTTTTAATTAAAAAAAAAAAGACTTGGTAGTGAAATCCAATAATCAGATTGGATTGATGTTTAACAAATACTTAGTATAAAATATCAGATATGAATCAATAGCTACTTGTAGCTTATGCTGGCAAGTGGCTGTTTATATCAAGGCAGAGAGGGACCTGCTTTCCTGGGTTTAAAATAGAATTGAAGCTTTATAGCGTGCCTGTGGGGCCACATTTTTGTACATACCACTGGCCCCCAGTGTTCATATTGAGTTTAGAAAGTTCTCCTTCTTCATCAGTCAAATATCCTTTTAGAAAAAGATATGCCTCTCACTTGTGCTGTGATTTTGCCACTGTTAATATGGAATACAGATGCTATTTATTTTCCGTTATTTGGGGAATTGTAGAGAAAAACGAATCTGGGGAGAGGAGTCCAGGCATTCAGAAATACTCAACCTATTAGGGGCTTGGAATACTTGGAGGGGGCTTTCTGAATCAATTTCACTGTGACTTAGTAGTGGTTTTGATGTTGTTAAATTCAGACTACTGCAAGGAATTTGATACCTCTGTTGGTTTATTTTTATTTTTATTGAGGGGTATCTGTGGATGGGGGGCGGGAGAGAGGGCCTGGTGTTCAGTAGTTAGACTGACATCTTGTGATAGATTTGTTAGTTAATTTCATGTGAATGGGACAAACCAGTTCTCTTTCCTGCCCCTGGCACTGTGATTCTAAGATTGAAATAGCTGTTTCAGAGGAAAGACAATTCCATGCAAATCATATTGGATGGAGTTTCAGCTGTATTAGCGGCCTGGTACCTTATTTTTACTGACCTCAGGAATAATGAGAGACCAAAGCTATAGCCAAGTTCTTAACTGGAGGCTTCTTTCCACGAAAATAGATATTACTTCTTTATTCCCCAGCAATTGAGCCTTTGTCCCTTCTAAAAGTAGTTGTCATGAACTCCTCATTACCATTTTTCTTAACGTGATAAGTGTAAACTACAAGAAAGCTATCATGTTTGAAAAGCTACAGCAGCCCTTAGAAATGGAATACTAACATGCCTTGTGTACTTCTTTGAAAGGACTTAGACTGAGGATTGTGTGAAATGTATCCTTCTGCCCCCCTTTGCCTGGAGTTGTCATTCTCTAGTACCTTTCACTTATAGCATAAGCTGGCTTTCTAAAGGACTGCTGTGTTGTTGCATTGACACCGTATCTCTCCAACAATGTGAAATCAACAAATCCCTTTGGCAATTTCTGAAACATATAACAAATTGTGCATTATTCTCTAAAAAAAATCAACTTTGATGGGCTTATTTTATTTCTACTTCGAATGGTAACTGGTAATTGTTATTACCTTACTCTCATTCCAATTATCAATACTCTAGCTACAGAGAGTACCACCAGACCCTGTACCGGGACCTAGTCTAGCCTCCTGGCTGTCAGATACCTTGCAAGGAGTAGACACTCAATAAATGTTTTCTGAATGAATGAAATTAAATATAGATTATTAGAAATGCTGCTGGAGGAGAAGCCAATGAAAGTGTGTGAGTTTTATCAAGTTGGTTTGCCTGAGCTGGTGCTAAAGGAGCAAATTGGAAGGTAACCATTAAGAAACATCTCATGCTGTGAGGATATAGCATGTCATTCCATCTTTTGAAGTGACTGTGAAAGGAAAAAAAAAACATGGCTGTAGTATTATGAAAGCCTCGCGAATTATCTCAAATCAGTATATTTTAAGTGATGGTCATTGGATGTAGTTGACGGCAAAATAATTTGAAACAGAAGAGCTGGAAATTCAACATTGCAATTAAAAATCACTTTTGAAAAGAGTTACAATGATCTGATGTCAAAATTAGCTTAAGAATGTAAGAAACAATTTCAAGGGTTAGAAATGTTAAGAACTGGCCCTGAAGAAACCCCAGAATCCTCACATACCTGAACTGGACCACTTAGAAAAAGCCCTCTACCTTGATTCCCTTTTTGATACTGCTCTTTGCAGAACACTTTCTCAGTGGCCAGTTCTTACATTTCTAAGCTTTGATATTGTGTTAATTTTGCCTGTACCAAACAAGGCAAACAATTCAGTGTTGTTCAATCTGATAACATTTCCTAGTGGGGTGTTCAGTCTTCTATTCTGACTGGTTCAACCTAATTTAGACAAAGACAAAGGTCTTAATAAAGATTAAAATTTACAAGGCAATCGTGTTTAGGGAATCAAATACCATTAGTTGGATGGGCCGTGGCCTGAGGTTGCTGCTGCTGAAACCTTTTGCTGAACTAAAAAGGTCTGGTTGAATTCTGCCCAGTATATCACTATAGTGTTCTGTTCCCTTGTATTTACCTTTGGAGACCTTTCTTTGCAGTGTTTGAATGTAGAATGCCCGAGGAGTAACTGGGCCAAAAAAAGTTGCATGAATAGGCCCTGCACATGGTCATATATGTTCCTGTTGTATTCAGTGGGTGAAATGGAATTGATTGCATCTGGCAATGGCAAGAAGATGGCTTGATTGATTGCCTGATTGAGTACACAGTGGAGATTCAGAATACTGATCACTATACTTCCCAATTGTACATTATAATTAGGGCTCTTTTTCAATGGAACCCTGGTTTGGGGGCTGCCAGGATGAAGGCAGCCAATGTGAGCTGAACTTTTTGCATGTACAGATTCTCCTCCTGGATCCGAAGGAGAATATTTCCAGATTCCCTTAAACAACTGCCAGCACTAAAGAGTTTGAATACAGAATTCCATTATTTATTTGAAGAAACATCGCCAGGGTTTTTATACCATGCCATTTAAATCATAAGTTAGTGTTAGAAACTTTTAAAAGAATTGCATTTTGCATTGACCCATTGTTATGCCATGGCCAAGAAGTTATGTTTAATGTAACCGTTGATTTTACACTTCCTCTCTATGAGCACTTGCATGGAAATCAGAGGAGCAATCTCAGGAGACTGTCTTAACAGCATTCCAAATAGAAGAATATTCATTCAATTGAATGGAACAGAGTTTTGACCACTAGAAAAGCTTGGCAGGAATGGCTAGTGATCAAGCCTAGGAAAGTCTATGGTTCCACTGTTGTTAGATTTTCTAAGAGTTCAGCAAACAATCAGACAAATTGGGCTGTTAGCTGTCTCACTGTGAGACAATAGGCTCCCCTCAGCATGTTTCCCCCACCCCATCCCTGGGAGAATGACAAATTTCCTTAGTCAATTTAGTCAGCCGTGTTTATATGTCATGCAAAACAACTGCTCCAGATTCAGTTTTGCATCTTCTCATATATATCTTTGACTTTACAGAAGTAAAGTGTATGATTATCTGATTAGGTAAAGCAGTACAGATGATTCACAACACCCACTCCGCCACCTTTTAGGAATCCCTTTTCACTGCTCTAGGCAGAGGACATTTCGCCTTCAGAGATGAACTGCTCACTGCCTTCTAAGACAGTAGGCTCCATGATTGGAAACCTCAAATGATTGGAAATTCTTTAGTAGTTTGAGCTAAAATTGGTCCCCTGATAACTTTACCCATACAGCCAGTCCTAAACTCTTGGTCCACAAAGCAGGTCTCAAATCTCTTTCATGTGAAAGACTTTCATGGATTTAAAGACACTCCTCACTCTCCCTTTTCTGTGGACTAAACTTTCCCTGTTTCTTTAATGTCTATGTATACATGAGATGAGCTTTCCAAGCTCTTACCATTCAGATAGCTGTCCCTTAGAGGTATTGCAGTATTCCCATGCCCCCACTGAGATGGGACATCCAGGAGAGCACTCTGAGAGGGCCCTGAGAGGAAAAAGATCAGTAGTTCTTCCCACATGCCCTACTTCCCTCTAAGGGAATTTCGTTTGGAACAGCCAAGCTCCCTGACCCTGAGCAAAGGGCCCCTGTCCTTCCGAAGCCTGCCTGAGGGGGCCTAGTAGGAGAAACAGGTAAGTTCCTGTGTCTGTAGAGGCTGCACAGCAGCCTGGCTACATTCTGGCACACCACACTGGGAGCAGCAGCCTGTGCAGATCACATCCAGCCCCCTGAATCCTTTTACAAATGGCTGTGTGGCTCCCTCCATGGGCCCATCTATTGGGGGAACCTGCCCCCAATAATTCATCATTATTTCACATAGGTTCTTTTCTATTTCCGTAAGTGTCGGCCTGTCTGAGAAATAAAGGGAAAGAGTACAAAGAGAGAAGTTTTTAAAGCTGGGTGTCTGGGGCAGACATCACATGTCGGCAGGTTCCGTGATGCCCCCCAAACTGCAAAACCAGCAAGTTTTTATTAGTTATTTTCAAAAGAGGAGGGAGTGTACAAATAGGGTGTGGGTCACAGAGATCACATGCTTCACAAGGTAATAAAATGTCACAAGGCAAATGGAGGCAGGGCGAGATCACAGGACCAGGGTGAAATTAAAATTACTATGAAGTTTCGGGCATGCATTGTCATTGATAACATCTTATCAGGTGACAGGGTTTGAGAGCAGACAACTGGTCTGACCAAAATTTATTAAGCGGGAATTTCCTCATCCTAATAAGCCTGGGAGCGCTATGGGAGACCCGGGCTTATTTCATTCCTTATCTACAACTGTAAAAAAAAAAGACAGACTTTCCCAAAGAGGCCATTTTAGAGGCCTCCCCTTGGGAATGCATTCTCCTTCTCAGGGATGTTCCTTGCTGAGAAAAAGAATTCAGTGATATTTTCCTATTTGCTTTTGAAAGAAGAGAAATATGGCTCTGTTGCACCCGGCCCACAGGTGGCCAGACTTTAAGGTTATCTCCCTTGTTCCTTGAACATCGCTGTTATCCTGTTCTTTTTTCAAGGTGCCCAGATTTCATATTGTTCAAACACACATGCTCTACAAACAATTTGCTCAGTTAACGCAATCATCACAGGGTCCTGAGGCGACATTCATCCTCAGCTTACGAAGATGACAGGATTAAGAGATTAAAGTAAAGACAGGCATAGGAAATCACAAGAGTATTGATTGGGGAAGTGATAAATGTCCATTAAATCTTCACAATTTACGTTCAGAGACTGCAGTAAAGACAGGCATAAGAAATTATAAAAGTATTAATTTGGGGAACTAATAAATGTCCATGAAATCTTCACAATTTATGTTCTTCTGCCATGGCTTCAGCTGGTCCCTCCATTTGGGGTCCCTGACTTCCCACAACACCCATCTTAACCCTACTCCTGCTATTGTTGTCCATTTCCTATTAACACCCCCACTGCTGCTGCAGATAAGGGTGCTAATGCCCTGCCTGGCTTTGCTCTCCTATCAGGGAGGAGCAGAGCATCCTACAGGCTGGTTAGCAATTGATAGCAGATTGAAGGTCAAGGAAGGATTTGTTTGCTGTTCTCCTGAACCCTAGCCCCAGGGCAGCCCTTTCTAGGCATCCTAAGGGCACTTGCGCCTTATTCCCTTGCATCCTGGTGCTTAGCTGCTTCATTCCCCCTTTTCTGGCTCCTCACAGAACTGTCAGGAACCATGGATACAAAGGGTCTAAATCATTCATTCAAACAAATTAGGTTTTTCTGGTAAGTCATTAACACCTCCTCTATACACACACACATACACACACACACATATGTGTTTTTGTAAATGCATAAGGACCTTTAGATAAAGAAACAGATTCAGCAGTCTAATAACAAGACCTCACTCACATAAATGTTTTCAGGTTTAATTTAGTTTTGGTGACGGAAAGATGCTGATGTTTCTTCATCCTTAGTCTGTGGTGATTTGTAAAGCTACTCAGTAGGATACCTTTTGGGAGTACACTATCTGTAAAGCAAAACTAAAAAATAAAAGAAGAAAGGAAAAGAAAAACTGAAGGAAGGAAGGAGGGAGGAAGGAAGGAAGCAAGGAAGGGAGGGCCCCTCCAATGGAAGTCAGACACCAAGGTTAGTTACCATGACTCAGTTACCATGACTTGTGAGTCATTTACTTCTGATTTCCTGTGAAAATATTGATAAACTTGAACCCGATTTTGCAGATGTATTCTTCTATTCAACCATATTTTTATTTGAGCCACTCAGCTATTCACGCTTATTCTTAATCACAAGAATTTGTGAATACTTCCAAAATTGCATTTATTACGTTCTTGGTATTTTAGTAGAGGGAAGGGAGAAAGGTGTATGCAAGCTCCATCTTGAGCCTTGGGCAGATCCCAAGCTGCCTGGTTGCTAAGCCAAGGCATGCAGGCTCATACTGACAATGCCATAGCCATACCTGTGGGGCTGGTAGCAATGAGCTTTGAATGTGTACAACACTATATGGTTTACAAAGCCCTTACACAATTATTCATTTGCTTCCCCTTATGCCAAGCCTGTGAGGTAGGCAGAACAGGTAGAATCAGAGATGAACGGTATTGCTAACTGGGAGAACTAGAAGCCATCCAAGTCAAAGCCCACATGTTGTAAGCAGGAAAGCTGAGGCCCAGAATGGACAAGCAACTTGACCAGGGCCACCCACATAGCTTTTGGCAGAGCTAGGCTTGAGTTAAGTTCTCCCTATCTTAATACTTAGTCCATGTTGCTTTTGGGGCTCTCTCTGACTATAACAACAACAATGAAATATGTGAACTATCATCATCATTTGCATTCATTAAGGTGGTCATTTGAAAAATCGCCCTAATCATCTCTTCAGTTTGAGCTCTTTTACAGTAAGTACCTTAATATTTATGCTTAACCTAAACACACTATTTGAGCAGCTACTATGTGCCAAGTATAATGATAGCCTGTAAAAGGGATACACACACACACTCGCACACACATAAACACACATGTGTGTTCAAAAACACTGCTCCTCTCACTTCAACTATTGAAGCCTTTTCCAAATGCCTAGCACAGTGACTTTCCCCACCACCTTATTCTCTGCACCTTTGCTCATTCCCCTCTCAAGGTGATTCGCATGTCAGGCAGTGAACGCTTCAAAAAGAGGTCCTTGACTTTATCATTTCCATGTCCTAGTGACTGGCTTATAATGGCTACACACGCCTGTAATCCCAGCACTTTGGGAGGCTGAGGCAGACTGATCACAAGGTCAGGAGTTTGAGACTAGCCTGGCCAATATGGTGAAACCCTGTCTCTACTAAAAAATACAAAAATTAGCCTAGCATGGTGGCACGCACCTGTAGTCCCAGCTACTTGGGAGGCTGAGGCAGGAGAATCGCTGGAACCTGGGAGGCACAGGTTGCAGTGAGCCAATATGGCGCCACTGCACTCCAGCCTGGGTGACAGAGTGAGACGCTGTCTCAAAAAAAAAAAAAATAAAAAATAAAAAATTAGTAGAACAAATGCAAAGAATCCACCAAACAGATCTGCCATTTGCTGTGTGACCTTGGACAAGTCACTTTACCTCTTTGTGCTTCAATTCCTTGTCTGTGAAAAGGGTGTGAGGCTAATCCCTGCCTGTTTAGTTTCTGGTACAAAAAGACCAACCAATTACTTACTACACACTAGGCAGGAGAGATACAAAGGTGAATAAGGTGAGGCTTGTGACAACATACTAGTTACTTGAGATAACAGCTATTCAGGTAGCTGTGTGTTAGATGAGTACAGGATCCATTTGAGATTAGCAAAGCCTGGAACACAGACTGTCTTCTGTCCTTCAGCCTGTGGCATACCCAGCTTTCGTGTCTAAATTGGGCAAAGCAAGGATACCTGCAAGTGGTTTTGGATTTGTTTTGAGTCCTAGCCATGAGCTATTGTTTGGATAATATGGTGGAAAATTGAGCCTTTTGTGATTTTGTGGGGTTTGACTTTGGAGTCTTCATATCACATTAATATAAGTGTCTTCCTATTATTAGAAGTTATGTAGAATGCTCTATCACTTATGAAATCCATTCTTTGCCAAATACTAAAAGATAAAACAGTATTCCTTAGTCTTTTCTTCATTATCCATGTTAGTCAGTCTTACAGAGGGAGACATATTTGTTATAGTGGAAAGTGTGCACTCTTGTACCAGTAATCAAACTTCACTTGCTACTAAATGTAAGGCTGTGTATAAGTGACCTCACCTCTTGGAACCCCCATTACCTCAGTTGCCCGTTGGGAATATGAATCCCTGCTTTCTGTCTCTCTCTGTCTCTCTCTCAAAGGATCAAAGGATCCCAAACATAAAGCAGTGCTTCCTTGTGGAAGTTCAGACCAGTCTCAGATGTGTGTGTGTGTGTGTGTGTGTGTGTGTGTGTGTGTGTGTGTATGTAACTTATTTTTGTTAAAAGAGAAGTGATTCTTGGTGTTGTGTACAGGTACTCATCATTGGATCCTGTTATAAAGCTGTGGCAACATTTTGGGAGCAGGGGCTCATCCCTACCTGATGACTGGGTGAAGGATTAGTAAAGTTGGGTAAGAATGCATAGGTGTCTTATCTTAGGAATAGCAAGAACATAAACTAGATTAATATCCTTCAAGTGTTAATGAAAAGGATAACAATGGAATATCTGCTGTGAGTGTGCCACACTTTACAAGTCTAATTCATTTTGAGAAGTGAAAGAGCTTGCTTGCTCCAAAGTCCTTTGAGGAAGATATTCTTTCAGGAAATTATATTCCTTTCAACTACATCCTGCCTACTGTAATCAAATGCATCAGTGGTAACATGGACTCAGTGTGCTGTTTCATGAAATTTCACATTTTCAAATACAGTTTGAAATCAGTTGTAATTGAAAATGTAGAAGTTTGTGCAGTTCCATGTGGATTAGCTAACAGGGCAGTGCACTCCACTGGTAATTCAAGATAATCAGATTCTGCCTCCGAGTAAATACAGAAAACCTAGGGGAAAAGGTACACTTTTGAGAAGTGACTTTATTCTTCCCGGTGTCTGAAACACCTTTTAATAAACCCAGAGGCACACCTCTAAAATCAGTGGTGAAAGGGGATAAAACTAAGCCTCTAATCAATTTAGGCATACCCAGTAGTTGCTGAAAACAGACAACACTCCTTTTTCTGGAAGAGACTTACCTGCTGTTTTATTGACTCTGGCTAAATATGAACTATATTTTATTTATTTTGAGAAAAAAATTATTTTAATTGACAAAAATTGTACATACTTATGGGGTAA
Organism: Homo sapiens; assembly: GCF_000001405.40. NCBI lineage: Eukaryota > Metazoa > Chordata > Mammalia > Primates > Hominidae > Homo > Homo sapiens. The sequence continues at coordinate 148,835,408 of NC_000023.11, forward strand.
AACATGATGTTTTGATATGTATATACATTGTGGAATGATTACATCAAGTTAATTTACATATCCATCACGTCACATACTTTTTTTTTTTTTTTTTTTGAGATGGAGTCTCGCTCTGTCACCAGGATGGAGTGCAGTGGCACAATCTTGACACACTGCAACCTCCACCTCCCAGGTTCAAGCGATTCTCCTGCCTCAGCCTCCCGAGTAGCTGGGACTATAGGCGCGCACCACCATGCCCAACTAATTTTTGTATTTTTAGTAGAGACGGGGTTTCACTATGTTGGCCAGGATGGTCTCGATCTCTTGACCTCGTGATCCACCCACCTCGGGCTCCCAAAGTGTTGGAATTACAGGCCACCATACCCAGTCCACCTCACATACTTTTTTTATGGTGAGAACATTCAAACTCTGTCTTAGCAATTTTCAAGTATACAGTACATTATTACTATTAATAACTATAGTCACCATGTTATGCAACCGATCTTCAGAACTTACTCCTTCAAACTGAAACTTTGTACTCTTATACCAACAGCTCCCCCATCCCAAGCTATATATTTTAAATGATCTGACTATTTTGGAGACCAGTCTTAATCAGGAAAAACCATCTAAATTGTAAAAGAGATCACTGAGTATTTTTAAAACTCAGAGTAATTAGAATTACTGTTGTCACATATATTTACTTTGCAGCCAGTTTTGATGAATACATGAGTAGGATTTGTCATGAATGTTATCAACTGGATACAAATGCACAACTCAAAAACACTTGGAAGTAGTCTATCTCTTAAGTAGGTTAAGCATCTCCTCTAAATTGTGTATGCATTTTTAATGTAGTTACCTCCTCCTTTTTAAATAGTGCTAGGTAAAATTCAATCTTTGTCAGAATAATACTTACAAATTCTGCTTCAGCAGTGCCACTGTGAATGAATCTGTGAAGTATCTCCTTGCATTACAGCTCTTCATACATCAAAGACTCTTTTTGAACTGAGTAATTATAGAAGGAAAAAAACCTTGTTTTAGTGCTACCTGAGAGTTCTTATTAATATTACCTTTGAAATGACTAATTATGTTACTTATAAAGACTGGAAAAAAACAAGTATTATGTAACTTACTCATTAAAAAAGACTTTCATAAATTTTGATCCCCTCCATCCTTCCCCAAATCCCTACTTTATTTCTATCATGACTTTTTTTTTAATGCTTAATGGTTCTATATGAAAATGATGACTCCAACACATGCTGACTCCCTCCTGCTTCACAAAACTTATCATCTTTCTGTTGCTGGGATTTTGAGCATGTGATTCAATTATCCTTGCTCTTAGCGTAAAGCATGTTGGCCACATGCCCTAAGACTCAAGTAAGATTTGAACAGCACCTCTTTCAAACTGAGTATTTGAAAGAGCTGAGAGGGTGTCCCTGCTGATAACACAGGGTGGGAGCCTAAGGGGCTTTTCCTGTTTTGAGACTTGAACTCACAGATACACTGTCTATGTGTATGGCTGTGTGGAACCGAGCTACCAATCACATAGTAACCTTCTCTATGAATGAGAAAGAATTCCCCTCAGCGGCTTCATCTTTGCATGGAAAAACCCACAGTATGTGCATCATGGGTCACTAACTGTTGGGCTGTATCAAGAGAAGATGAGTATCAGAAGGCAGCGACAGTACTGTCCTCCCTTGAGCTGACAGATCACACGTGGAACAGGATACCATGAGTTACAAGAGCCCCAGGCAATCTGGAGTTCCTCCTGGAAGCACCAACAATAGTGACAGTGTACAGAAATTGAGCATTAGAAGAAAAGTTGAAGGTTCCCAATAAATGAATGAACAAGCTGAGAATGTCTCAGCCTGGAGAAGAGACGATGCCAGGGGATAGGATTACTATCTTCCAACAACTGAAGGCTTGTCATTCAAAAGAAGGAGAAGATGCATTCTGTGCAGCTCCAAAGTACAGTCTATAAGTAGAAGTTCCTGGGGGACAAGTTTTTAACTCACAAAAAAGGAAGAATAGCCTGATGATGCTGTCTCAACATGGAGCAGGCTACTTCAAGCAGTAGCAAGCTCCCTGTCACTGGCAGTTTGCAAGCATCTGCTGGATGGTCCAAATGACTTTAAATTCACCTTAAGTATTAGGTCAGTTAAGTTAAGTTAGTATTTATAAAGGACCTACACTGTTTAGTGCTAAGAAAGGGCTTGATTTTTTAATTGCCCTGAAATAAAGTTTCTTTATTTTTCCTCATTAGGAGATGACCCATTCCTGGCCTACTCCTCTCACTTCCATGCATACTGCTGGACACTCTGAGCAGAGCACCTTTTCCATCCCAGGACAGGTCAGTTCTCTTCCTTCCTGCATTTTTGTTTGTCTTATTTTAATTATACCAATCTTCCAACTGGATTCTCAGTGGCAAAAATGGCCTTGGTCTTCTAGTGCCATAAAATCTAGACTCTCTTGCCCCTCAGAATAGCAATATAAAAATAATTTTTATTGAAAGTGAGTCTTTAAAACAAAATACACACAGATACCGGCATGCGTGTCTTACTCCATAGGGTGTTGCCACTGTCCAAGTCGCTGTGCCTAGAACAGATGAGACAGAGATTGAATAACTCATCCCTTAAGAAATATCAAATAGATGATGGAACAGCAACGTTCAAGATTTTAAAGTTACAAAACCTGTACTCTTTAATGAACTGATTTTCATTTTTATCACCTTCCAGTTCTTGCTCACAAGCAGACAGATCTTTACAAAACACCACATCACACTGACAGAGCTTTATCTTCTACAGTTCTATTGTCAAATGTTTAATATTATTTTTATTTACCTTCTCTCAGCAAGAGTTGCTTTATTGCCATCACTTTTTAAAATGTCTAGACATGGCTATTCTAACATACTTTAAAAATATATATAATGTCTTCCTTTCTTCCTCCATTCCTTTCTTCCTTCCATCCATTTATTCAGAAATCATTTACTGAGAAGATACAGTGGGCTTAAAGGTAGGGGTGAAGAAAAACCGTCTACATGCTATCACATAGATCACAAAACAATGTAGTAAATGTCTTCATAGAGAAGACAAGACTCAGAGTCGTATCTAACACTCCCCTGGGGAGTTGAGGAAGTGCTCACCACTGAGGTGGAAACATTTAGGGGATGATTAAGACTCTGACAGGTGAAGAAGGGGCCAAGAGAAGAATACCGCATGCATAAGACTAGTGTGAGCAAGGTCATGAGAGATGAGGGATCATGCTGTAGTGCATGGTGATATAAGGTCTCAAGTGGCAGGATTAAAGTTTGTGTGATGGGGAGTGGAAAGAGAGGAAACCTGGGCAAATAGGTGCATATTTGGAAAACGCCTTGGATACCACCTCAAGGAGTTTGGACTTTATTTGTAGAAGGAGAAACACCCAAAGGAGAAACCCTTAGATTTTAGGGTCATGATTTTGAAAGTAACACTGATCTAAACTTTGCTTAATGATCTTCCTTCACCTATGAAAGAGGTCAGAACTAAACGAACAGCTAATCTCACTGTCCCAGTATGGGTGTGTGCTATTCCTTTTTGCATTCACACCCACCCTTTTTAGGCTTCTGTTCTCCTTCCCCCTGGCATCTCCAGCAAAGGGAGTTATCCATCCAGTTCAGGTCCAACACTTGTACAGCAATTGCAGTGTTTTCAGGTGGGTTCTCCAGTTTTGAAGATAATTTGTGCAAGTTGCAATTTTGACATTTGCAAGTGTATACAATAGAACTGTTGTTTAAATGGGCTTTTATAGTTAAGTGCACACTTTGAAATCAGGCACAGTTTGCATTTTCTGCCAATTATCTGTGCTACCATCAACCCCATGACAAAGGTAGAAGCAAGTGGACTAAAATGGTGAAAGCAAGAAGTCTACACACCCACTCCTGTCTCATTTGATTCCTGCCAAAACGTTGGTTTGAAAGAAAAGTACACTTTAAATAACAACCAACACATACAATGGCACCATGTGCCTCACGTCATTCTAAGCACTTAATATATAGTAAATAATTTAATCCCCACTACAACCCAAAGAGATTGGTAATTTTACTACCCCAGTTTACAGAGGAGGAAACATGGTAGTTAAGTAATGTGCTCAGGATTATCCAGTTAATAAATAAGGGAACCAGTACTTAGATCCAGGTGTTCCTGGCACCAGCGGTCATACTGTCTCTCTGTATATCTTTTATCACACAGGCCCACTGATGCCCCAGTTCAAATTCTATCTTCCAAAACATGGCCATCCCTATATGTAACAAAGGTGATTTCCCTTTCCTCAGTGCTTCCACCAGAATTAGGTGACAGCATCCTTTCAGAAAGCATCAGTTTCTTACATCCATGACAGAGCTTGCCCAGAGGAAAGAGTGCTGTCTTAAGAGCTGCCTTCCCAGCTGCTTTTAATCCTGGCACTGCCATTTGCTTGCTGTGTGGTCCTGTTCAAGTTCCTCTAAACCTCTGTTTCCCCATCTGTGTTGGGGCATGGTGTGTGTGTGTGTGTGTGTGTGTGTGTGTGTGTGTGTGTGTATGTGTATACACTATATAATCCCAATGGATTTTCTAGGTAAAATAGTTGATGATTCTGTAAGCTTACTAAAACAAATACAGTTGAAAATTCTCAACTTACTTAAGCTTACTTATCAGTTTCAAATTGAAAATGCCATGTTTTCTCATAGACGATGAAAAACCTCACAAGGAAGGGAGTAAGTGCATGCCAAGTAGAATTGAGAGAATAATCATATCCTCAGGAGAAGTTTAATAAAGTTTTCCTGGAGGTAAACATCCTCTAGAACAGAGGTTGGCAAACTATGGCCCATAGGTTTTTACATCTTTAAAGGGTTAACATTTTCAAAAGAAAAATAACATGTTATTATGAATAATATTCACATGAGTGTGGAATTCAAATGTCAGTGTCTATAAATCAAGCTTTCTTGGAACCCAGTCACACCCACTTATTTACGCATTGTCCATGACTGCTTTCACACTACAATGGCAGAGTCCAGTTAATTATGACAAAGATGGTATGTCTCCCAATGCCTAAAACATCTACTGTCTGGCCCTTTGCAGGAAAAGTTAGCTGACCCTTGCTCTATAATCTAGATCCTTTAGGAACTTCTGATTTTAGGATTATTGTCAAGGCTATTGCTTAAAAGAACCTCATATAAGTTTGTGAAAAGAACTTGGCATCATTATATTCTACTGCAAAAATTACATATATGACATGTCTATGAAAGAAATGCATAAAGCAAAGTCAGGCATTTAAAATAAATTTGTATTATTTGTTGTGCATTAACAATTACTGTGAGAACTGTGCAGATTATTTCTACAACCAAGCTATTTCCAACTGGGGCTGGATATGTATGTAAAGTAACTTTGGTGATATACAAAGGAGTTTCATTTGTTTTGATTTGATTTGTAGTTTAAGAAATGTGAAATCCAATGCATAATGATCAAAACATCATATGTACCTCATAAACATTTACACCTACTATGTACCAAAAAATTAAAAATTAAAAAATAAAGTAAAAAGAAGTGTGAAATTCAGTTTAACATTAAAAATTGTATCAAGAATAAATATCAGTTACTCCAATTCAGTGAATAACACAATCTTCCAGTTTGCTGTATGCATTGTTGCACTGATGGTCTGGAAGAACTGATTGTTTAGGTGTAAAGTCCAAAACATTTGGAGGAAGGTTAAAAATTCAGGCATAAGACCAGTACAAAGACGGCCTGCATGTTTTACTCTCTGATCAGATATTTGGCTTAATTGACTTTGGAACTTGTCATTTAATTTCCTGGAGGTATACAAGCCCAAACTCATCCTGTACCTTTGTAATGAAATCCCTTAAATAGTAACAGATAAAAATACTTGTATATAGTTACAGAGATATACATGGTTAACAAGTCATTTATTTGACACTCTGGAAAATGAGATGTTCTGGATAATTAAAATTATTGGATAACTGAAGGTTATTATTCTATAGGAATCATGCAGTATAAATTATTTTGAAGTGTAATTAATATTTTCCTGACTTCTTTTAAAGATTATATCAAGCATGCTTTACTCTTTCTTGATAACTTATATATTATGATGAGTGTAAGTTATTGTAGTATGTGTAATATTATACTATGCTGCAATTATGTTCTCAGGGTCTATTAAGACAGGTGGGAATGCTTGCCTCTATATTAAATGACTGTAGATTCTTGTGCTTTTTAAGTTCAGACTTTTCTGTGTCATTTTTGTGGGCTCCTTTGCTATTGGTTTTCACCTGTCAATTTTCTCAGTGCCTGTGCCTCTAGAACTATTTCCCCTTCCTTGCCATCTGTGATTTGAAAATGAGTGGGAATCATTTGAGTCCTTTGTCAAAAGACAGTTCTCTACCAGGGAGAGCACAGAAGCCTCTGAGCAGCAAACTATATGGGCTTTGTGACAGACAGTTCTTTCTCTAAGAGGCCTTTTCTGCCTCTTGTTGAGTTTGTGGTAATCTTCTGGAGTGGTGATCTTGCCAGAAGACAAATCTCTTGAGCAACAGAATCATACTAAATAGATGGGAAATTTCACTTTTGATTAAAGCAAAGTGTTATAGTTCTTGCTTACTTTTTATAAAAGATAATGCTGTGAGCCTAGTTTTCATCTACAGAGGGTCAATATTAGGCTTAATAAATAGATTACTTGGAACAATGATTGATATAACTAATTCTTGTATTTACTTGAATTCATTGTCTCCAGTTTCTGGAATGCCTGTATTGCGGTTTGTACCATTTCTCTTCCATCCACACAGTGCCATGTGTGCCCTGAACGTTACTGTAATGCTTTTGCCTTCAAGTTTTGTCAGTATCCACACAGGTGTGCCACACTCCAAGCAAGGCAGCATGTGCAAATCTGGATTTCTCAAAACAGTGAATGAATTGTGTATAGTGTGACTTTCAAATCAAATTTAAATTCCTTTAAATAACACAGTCCACTAACATTTCACATTGCTTTCTATACTTCGACAGACTTGCAATGTAGTTTTAAGAACACTTCTTATATATAAAATGAGGTACATCTGTGCACATGTGTCATAGAAAGTTGGATCTGTTTCTATAAAAGGGAAAAACTGGGCAGATCTATTAATTATCATTTTGTTTACAGTTTTACAAAAAACATGATCATCTGTTTGAACCAAGTCCTCTTTATTCTTTTAGAGGCATCGTTTTCCAGCTAAGTGAGAAATTATACACTTCAATTTCACACATATGGGTCATTTGTTCCCATGTTACACACATTTCCAAATAGATACCAGTCTTACTTATAATTTTGATTAAATGGCAGTTATGATCATGTTGCATAATTTTGATTAAATGGCAGTTATGATCATGTTGCAGCAGGTTTGGCTGGCAAATGTTTATCCTTCAAATAGAGCTATAGACAAAAGCCTAATTAATGGAATTGTTAACAGCAGCTTCCTATTTGCAAACATTAGTCAACTATATCTTCAGCAATAATTAATATACCTCTTACTCTCCTTGTGTCATTTAACTAATGTTTGTGTCATATATATTATTCCTTATAGGAATCGCAGCATCTGACCCCAGGATTCACCTTACAAAGTAAGTGGTTTTGAAAATCCTTCTTAGTCCAAACATCCATGTCCTCTGCTCCCTCATTTTTTCCTTTTTCCTACTTAAAATCATTAAAACATGAAAGAACAACAATAACAAAAAGTTATTTTAATTGTTAATTTTTAGCTCTCAGAAATAAGTGAGAAGATGTAAAGTTTGTCTTTCTGTATCTGGCCTTTTTCACTTAACATAATGACTTCCAGTCCCGTGATATATCTAACTGGTTCCCCCCCTTTTTTTTTTTTAATCTGTTACTTATCTCAAGAAGGTAACTCGGGGGACTGCATGTTTGGAGATCAATTTAATTCAGAATAATCATTTGACAGTAGGAACATGAACAGTAATTGTTTATATCTTTTCTTTTCAGAGTGGAATGACCCAACCACCAGAGCTTCTACAAAGTCAGTGTCTTTCAAATCGTGAGTAGTTGGATCTCCAAATCAGGCCTTTTTGGGGATATTTGGCAAGGAAACAGTGCCTCAATGCTGATCTAATCTTGTTCTCTCCTCTGCTCCTTGAAACTATGAACCTTGACTCATAATAATATGTAGTTTGGTTGGGGTGGGGGGAGAATCAAATTTCCCATTGTCTTAGTCTACTTGGACTGCTATAACAAATACTATAAACAACATGGCTTATAAACAATAGAAATTTACTTCCCATAGTTTTGGAGCCTGAGAAGTTTGAGATCAATGCACCAGCATAAAGGGTATCTTGTGAGGGACCATTTCCTCATAGAAAGCTGTTTTCTTACTCTAATCCCACATGGTAGAAGGGGTGAGGGGTCTCTCTCAGGCCTCCTCTTATAAGGGCAGTAATCCCATTCATGAGGGCTCAACTCTCATGTCATGATCCCCTCCCCAAATACCCATGTCCTAATACTATCACCTTGGGGGTGAGGATTTTAGCATATTAATTTTGGAGTAATACAAACAGATTATAGGACCCATAATAAGTAAATAACAGTAAAAGTTAATGAGATCACCATTAAGTTCTCTAAGTTTGTAAATACAGACCAGGTCAATACCTGGGATACGAAAACAACTGTGATTTCAGTGAAAAAATAAATCTCTAGATGGCTTGTTTCCCACATTTTAACTAGTTCAAACACTGTATAGTATCAGCTAAAGACATTATTTTACACAATATTCAGTCACCACTGACTAGGATGGACGAGGGAATCTAAGCAGCCATGATTGGACATGAAATGTTGAGTGGATTGCTATGGCCAGTCAGCCCAAGACCTCACTATTTGCAGGTCATCAGGCACCTGTATATTAAAGACAAACAAGGGCATCCAGGAAGAGCCGGAATAAGATATTACATGATGGTAGTTTGAAGTTCAGAAGCCAGGGCCCTGCAATTCATTCAGCACTGTCTTCATTTTTTATTAATGCTAACTGAAGGAGGGGTTTGGAGAAACCAATTTCCTCATATTAACTATTGTAGATTTTCTAATATCCATTTGTCCAAGAGAGTATCAAGGGAGTATTATTTCTCTCACAACTTCTTTCATACCTAATAATAGAAAATGGAAGTCGATTTTTTTGTGTAATAGGCACATACTTGGAATTTTTCAAAATGAAATAATTTATGACATTCAAGTGGCCTAATGGCACACTTGAAGTGAATTGCTCACCTTTTGGAAGATCATGAATAATTGCATAAAAAAACTGGGAATGACTCCCAAATAGACTGAGGATTTGAGAAAGTAAGTGGCATTTCTACGTTCTTGGTGCAGTGCAGTAGCAAAGCCCCAAAGCCCTGACCCCATCACTGGTCCATTTATTTGCTTTTCTAGACTGATCTGTGCCTTCTAATTCAAAGTTCAATTTCAACAACCAAGAATTCTCAATTTTAAGAAGCAAGAAAAAACAAGAGAAGGGGATAATAAAACCATAATCCCGATTTAAGGACCGAATTATATGAAAACACAAAAATCAAAATCATCTTTGATGCTGTATGTTTTAGCTTTTCCATTAATCACATTTTGAATTGCCCTCCCCCTTGTTATTCTAGGAAACAATAGATCTAATCCTCCCTGCTTTCACTCCTGCCTCACTTCATCCCCATTAAAAAGTCAATAAGATTCACACACATACACATACACACACACACACACACACACACGCACACTCACATGCATTTAGGAAATCAACACAAGTTTCCAAACTTGAAAAAAATATAAAAATAGATTTTCCTATGTAAAATTATCTTACTCCTAAAGCAAGAGTATTAGGCTCCCACTGTGAAATATGCTGCTTTCCATATATACCATAGAATGCAATGTTTCAGTAGTTTGTAACTAACAGAAATAAACTCGTCAATTGTGGTTTATAGTTAGAGGCTGCATTTCCAGAGAACAGCACTTCGTAGCACAGTAATATATAGTGTAGCCAATACAACTAAAATACTCTATATGAAGCATCAGTAAAACTAGAAGACACTGAGTCCATTTTATGAATGAGCTCCTCTCTTTTTGTCTGTTTGATCTAAAGTCCAAGCACCATCCATCAGATTTTAGCTGCAATAAGTTCCCTTCTTACTGTAGGGTATGGGTTTAACATAGGACAGATCAGAATTGTAATAAAGTTATTTTTATTTTTAGCTTCCAACTTATCGGCTTAGCCATTACTATCATTCTCCCACATTTAACTACAGTGTGCTTTTTAAACCACCTCCTAGGATTTTCCATTTGGCAGGGTAATCCTCCAGGTGATTAAGATTATTCTGAGTGCAGACAGACTGCTAATGCCTGCGCCTTGGTGAGAAGCAGCCCGTAAGTCAGCCGTGATGCAGGAAAGACCCAAGGCCAGAAAGTGTCCCAAGCACACTCCTGACACTTAGTGCAGTAAAGAGAGATTAGAGTCTTGTAAAACAGAATCCCTTAATTACTGGGACACTTCATTACTTTTCCTCATCTTGGCCTGTTTTCCCTAGTTGACAAAATGCAGATCTTCCATTGGAGTATGCATTGTTTATAAGGACTATACACATGGGCACCAGGTCTGAAAACATTGGCCACAGTGTGCCTGAGTATAAACTTGCAACTAGCCAGTCTCCCTCTTTCTTTTTGACAATTACTGCTGTCTCTGAGCCTGACCCCAACAATATGACTGGCTTTTTGGAAAACTGGGTATTTTCCTTCTCAGTATAGTGCATTGGCATACAGTGCTTTTTATCAGTGTCCATTCATGCCATGACATCCTACCTGCTTCAGCTGGAACTCTGAATGCTTATGAGGCAAGAGTACTGAATTGGGGAAGTTTGGAGACCTAGGTTTAATCCCCTCCTTTGTGTCAGTTGTGTTATTGTGGGGGAAAGCACTGACCTAGTATCCAGAAGATATGAGGTTAAATCACAGGAGAATTTATTTTTATTTTAAACTATACAGACAGAGTCTGTTAAAGGGAATTAAACAAATTAATGAGTATATGTGTCTACACATGCAGGTACACCAACAAACACTTGTCAGTGTTCAAATTTAAGCAGTTATACTTTTTAGTAATTAAATCTAGCAACATAAAAATACATTTAACTTTAATCATTAATACTTTCTGGAGGAGAAAAGACCAGAAGTTGGTCTCCCACCCCTCAGCCTCTATGATTCTGTGCTATGTTACAGTCTTGGAACAGGCCCCACCTAGGTCTTCTTAATCAAACGGAGTTTCTAATCTCCCCCAAAAATGTCTCTGTCCCAAAAAAGAGGGTGAAGCGTGGGCATAAGAAGGTGAAATTGTAGTTCTCAGGGCTGTGGAGTTGTATGTTTACACAGTAATATCATGGCTGTCTATTCTGTCTCAAAGAGATCTTTTTATTTCAATGACAGGATTCAGACTGTGAATGGACTCACCAGACATTGTGTTGCTTTGTAGTTTCTCTTTCTTTTTCTTTGTTTTTCCCCAAGATAGAGTCTCGCTCTGTCCCCCAGGCTGGAGTGCAGTGGCAGGATCTCGGCTCACTGCAAGCTCCGCCTCCCGGGTTCACGCCATTCTCCTGCCTCAGCCTCCTGTGTAGCTGGGACTACAGGTGCCCGCCACCTGTAGTTTCTTAATGAAGTTATTAAAGAGCAGTGAGGGAGAAAACAGAAACCAAGGTGAAGAACTTGGATTTTCTTTGTTCAGTTGGATTGATTCATCTAGTGTATTATAAATCTTGCCACTTACCTGTCAGTTCAGTGGCCTTCCCAAATGCATGACCTTGTTGGTCTTTTATGGGACATCATACATAGGAATAGATAAGATGTTATTAAGTTGCCCCGAAAAGGACTTTCAGGCAGGTTCCATGAACTCAAGGGTGTACATCCAGTTAGTTCTTAACTTCAGTTTTGTGAGGACTGTTGAGGAGATGGCAGCTCCAAATATCAAGCTCCTTTGTAAAACTTGGTTGTTAGCATTTGGACTATGTCCAGGTGGAAACCATCCAGACCCCCATTTAACTGAGCAGCTCCTGTGTTTTAAACCATGCTGTCGAGAATGCCTGGATAGTTTCCATAAAATCTTAATATAGCCATAATGTTGGTTTTTTTTAATAAAACCAGTTTGCCAACTTATGGTATTAACTATATGTTTTAAAACATCCAAACTCTAGATCCAGAGAGTTGATGGAAGGTCTTATGGAGACAGATTGGTTGAGGCCAGCCTGAGTTTACATGTGGGTGGTTGTTATGCATGTCACATGAAGACATCCTTGATTGTAGCAATAGTTAGGAAGAGAGGGCACTATACTATCACAGGAATGACAGACACAAATAATAATTATTGTGCTGTTGAGAACAGGTGCCAGGTGCTTTTATGTACATTGCCTTATTAAACTTGCCAGGCATCGTGGAGGTGCTCCAAATTATTCCCATCTTACAGATGAGCAAAGTAAAGCTAGAATAACAGTCCTTCCTCCTGAAGTGTACACAGTCCAGTAGGAAGACAGACTGGCCATGCCCACTTATTTTGAATGGATATTTTGGCTACAAACATACAGAAGAGCCCTCTGAGTCATAATGCTCCTCAGTGAGAAAGTTTGAATGCAGGCTAAGGGCCCTGTGAGTTCAAAGCTGTCTCTCATCCTGCTGAGTTGCCTTTCCTCACGGGATTTGATAAGTTCAGGGATTTAGTATGCCAAAGTTTTCCTTTTGTACCTGGACACAACATTCCCACAACCTGGTGGGATGTAGTCCCACAAGAAATTATACCGCTCTGTTTTCGATGACACAAAACTGGGTCAAAATTGTTTTATGTAATGAAAATGTCATTATTTCTAAAGTTTTCTGTAAGTGCTATGAAAATTTCATTACCAAAGAGAATAGAAAGACTGTGAGGATGTTTTCCAGATTGCTATAACCAATACAGGAATTACATTATTTTTAGATCAATTTTGAAAATATTTTTGCTAAAAAACAATTGATATTCATTACAACCCTGGCCATCCTTTTACCAAAGCCTTCATCACTGGAAATGTTTCCTTCGAGATTTTGATTTGAAATTTAAGAACTGCAATGCATTATTGCAGAGCAATAACCCACTTTCTAGCAATTTCATATATTCTTCCCCATGTAGATGTTTGATCTGCTACTTGGATGCAATTTCGGTAGCAAATTGACTGTGTAATGGGGCAAGGAAGAAATGACTGTTATTTTCTTAATCAGATTAATTCTTAATCAGAATACATGATTTGGTACTTGGAATTTAAAAATACTGCTAATCAGTTTGAGGCTTATAAAAGCCAAACTAACTCTCCTGATAAACTGGTAATCTTGGTAACTTTACTAGTTGCAGACATTTTGGTTTTTAAATCAAGAAGTATACCAACTCTTGCTTTTAACTTGTCTTGTATGCCCTGCATCTCTGAGCTTGCCAAATTTTCCTAAGGACTTAATATATTTTTGGAAGTTCTCCACTGCATCAGGGGCAGCCACCTGGGAGCAGAGAAAACAAAATTTGGCAGCCTGTTCAAGCTGTGAATTAAAGGTAATTCACAGTTTGAAATGAATCAGCGTGTGGTCCTTGAGAAGAGTAATCAGACATCAAGAGGATTTTATGTTGAGGATTGTATATTGGCTAATGTGACAACAAGCAATATTGGCATTTGGAATGTTTGCATCAAGAAGCACTGAAGCTGCCGGGGCTTGATGGGTACCAAGATCTAAAATGGGGGCTCCCTTCAAAGAGAGCTGTAGATTTACATTTCTATCACAAAAGCTGAAAACAGAGATGGGTTGGCTCAGCCATCATAGTTGAAAGATTAGATCTGATTTTTGTGGTGGTGTTCATGGACCTAAGTCTATCATAAGATTTGTGTATCTCAGATGGCTTTTGAGACACCTCTGTAATGGAAAGCAAATGTCTCTCTCTCTCCTCCCCCCCCCCCCCCCCCCCCGCTGACCACCCCTCTCTCTCCTTCTCTCTTTTCTGTCTGGGAAAAGGCAAACATCGCTTCCTTTCTACTAGATTTCATTTTTTTTTTCAACAAATATGCATTCAGTATCTACTACATGTAAGGTTCTGGGCTAAAACACTGGTAACTCAGGGTGAAACACTGCACATCATTGTCTCAAGGAATTCATGGTCTAGTGAAGATAAGACTAGCACCGACAATGCCAGCAACCCAACTAACTCATACTTATTGAGTGCCTACTATGTGCCAGGCACTTCCCATGCACTTTTTCTCCTTACAAGCAATCCCATGGGTTTCATCATCATTATAGTGTACAGAAGTAGAAACCCAGCTCAGAGACATTGAGTGAGTTGCTCAAAGTGGCACAGTAACAAAGAGGGAGGCAGAACAGGACTGACTCCAGAACATATGCTCTTAACTTACACTAAAGCCATCCCATGAGTCATTTGGAGGTGGCTTTACTGATTTGCAGTCAGGTGTGATCTTGCCCAGGCATTAGGCCAAAATGGACTAACCACAATGCAAGCCAAAATGGCAATGCCATTTTGGTTTAAATCAGGGGAAGTATTAGATCTAAATATTATAACTGAGTTAGGTCTTGCATATACTACACATGCTGACATGGACACTGAAGACAGATCTGTCCTCAACTCAGGGCCTGCATCCAGATTGTGTCACCAGGACTCTAGAATATTCCCTTCAGTGAGGCTGAAGGATCTATTCCTGCAAGAGACTTAGACCATCACAAAAATAAAATTCATATAAGATTGATTTTGGTGGCATATCCCTTCAGAAATGTCCATTGTGCCACATTAAAGTGAAGAGAAAACTAATATTTGGGTCTATTTTTATAAGAGACTCATCCATTGCCTTTCATGCTTACCAACTTGTTTGATAATTAGAAAGTGGCTTTATATCCTCATGGTGAAATAATTTTCAAAAATATCCCCATCTGTTATCAACCACAGCGGCATATTTCCAAATTCTTCTCAGCATTTTTAAACAGTAACTGGGAGTGAAGCAAATAATGCTGGTGGAAGGCACTGAAATTGATAAGCAAGGGACCAAAGTTAAAAAAAATTCACTTGTATAATTGAATGTAATGTTGTGATAACACACCCCCACACACACACACATGCATACATATGCTCTGTATCCCAGAACAGTAGGTCACTCTAATGTCTGATCTAATGAGATGCACACATAGACATATGCACACTCTTTTTTCAGTTATTACATTGTAAAGTGCTATGATCAGAGATACTTTTCATGTGCACAGTGAATGATAATTTTAACACACTTTCACACAATACATTAGCCCATGTGAGTGGCACAGCATTCCTGTTAGATAGCCAATTGAAAAGAAACCAGGCGTAGGGAGGGGAAGATATTTTCCTAAAGTCCTCCACCTAGGGAGTGGCAGGGCTGGGACTAGAAGCCAGGATTCTGCATTCTCAGAATATGCTGCCTTGTGCCCAGATTCCCCAGATGGCTGCAGGGCCAGAACTCATCAGAGTCCTGACAAGTCTTCCAGGCCCAGATGAAGAACATATAACAGCAGTGTAGACAAGCTCCATGGATTATGCTTAGAATTTATAAAGAAACAAACAAAATCCAACTGAGACTGGAGTAGAAGAGAAGAAATATCTACTTCTGAACTATTCATTTTGTTTTTCCCTCCTATCAAGCATCTCACAAACAGCCAGATCCTTTACCACAATTAGGTTACTGGGAATGTTAGGTTTAAATAGTCTGCTCTTGACACCTTCTCAGAGTTGCTTAAAGCCCCTCCATTTTACACTGACGAGTAGGGAGCAGTGTTGGTAGAATACTGCAGATGCACACAAAATTACAGCTGTAAAATCAGTTGAAGAATCTGACAAATGCCTTTCTTTGTGGTTCATCCACCCACTTTAACAATGTGGACCAAAAAAGGAAAAGGTCTCAAAGCTATTTGATTGACATCTACAAATATGCTGCCAAGACTGGAACAGAGTAGGTGGGATGGAGTAGATGGGGTTGGGGTAGGTCTTCTGAAAACCAAAAGAATAAAATTTATTTTCTTTGCTACCCTGTGGTTTTTTGACACTGAAGATCTACAGTACAACCCCATAGTATACTGCCTTGTCCTTGCCAAAGGTTCTAGGGTCCCTGAGAGAGCAATAAGTGAGAGAAAAGTATCCAGAGAAGAGTAGAAGCTAACGATTTAGCAACCTATAACTCTGACAGCTCCATTGCCTAATTTCTGGAGTTACTTGTTTTGGCATAAGAAGCCCACTTTATAAAAATTCCAGATGGAGATTTCAATTTTGTAACTACATAGAATATTTCTTCTTTTTTTCTTTTTTTTTAACTTTTATTTTAGGTTTGGGGGTGCATGTGACACGGGGGTTTGTTATACATATTGTTTCATCAACAAGTTATAAAGCCCAGTACTCAATAGTTATCTTTTCTGCTCCCCTCCCTCCTCACACCCTCTCCTCTCAAGTAGACCCCAGTATCTGCTGCTTGATTCTGTGTGTTCATAAGTTGTTAACATTTAGCTTCCACCTGTAAGTGAGAACATGCAGTATTTGGTTTTCTGTTCCTGTGCTAGTTTGCTAAGGATAATAGCCTCCAGCTCCATCCATGTTTCTGCAGAAGACATGATGTCCTTCTTTTATATGGCTGCATAGCATTCCATGGGATATATGTGCCACATTTTCTTTATACAATCTGTCTTTGATGGGCATTTAGGTTGATTCCATGACTTTGGTATTGTGAATAGTGCTGCAATGAACATACGTGTGCGTGTGTCTTTATGGTACAATGATTTATATTCCTCTGGGTATATAACCAGTAATGAGATTGCTAGGTCGAATGGTAGTTCTGCTTTTAGTTCTTTGAGGAATCACCATACTGCTTTCCACAATGGTTGAACTAATTTACACTCCCACCAGCAGTGTGTAAGTGTTCCCTTTTCTCCATAACCTCACCAGCAGCTGGTTTTTTTTTTTTTTTTTTTTACTTTTAAATAATAGCCATTCTAACTGGTGTGAGTACATAGAATATTTTTCTATTTTTCAAAAGAAAAATCTTTTAAAGTACCTATTCCTCATAATATATGGAAATTGTCTAGGCCATCTAAAAATTGAAAGGGTCATTCTAGGTTTCTCCAAAATAATTTTTGTATATCACATGGTACAGAAAGAAACGAAGAAAACAATCTGGATGTGAGCAGTATTCTTGGGTAATTGCAACCACCACTTTTGGAACCTACTATATACCTGGCACCATGAAATATTTTATAAGCATCAGCTATTTCATGCTCACAGCAACCTCGTGAGATAGATTTCGCTATCTCCATCGCCATCGTCACCACTATCATCGCTCCCAGGATTGTACTCTCAAGGGCTCAGAGAGAATGCCAAACACCTGTGGCTGCACAGCCAATGCTGGTAGTCATATTTGAAGTCAGGCCTGCTTGGTGCTCTTTCCACTGTGCAATTTCACTGGTTCACTTGTTTAATCACCTTCTAGGCTCATAATGTCTCTGAGAGGTTGATAAGATTAAACTGATTTTATGGAGAAGGAAATTTCGTCCCAGAACAGTTAAATGACTTGCTCAAGATCACACAGCTAGTTGTTGAGGGAGATGAAATTTCACTCCAGGATTCTTGGATTACAAAATTCAAACCTTTTTTAATACCCTGTTTGCCTCACCCACATAAAGTTTCAACTGAAATCTTATTAATTGTTAAATACGAAGGAAAAATAACAAAATAATCTTAATAATACTACTTTCTAGTTCTTTGGCATTATGTGTTTTCTACACATATTGTTATATAACACATAATATATATTGTTATATTGTTAAATCTTTTAGATTTGGTCTTCACTCAATTTCTGGAGCAAGGAGACAGGGGAGGGAGCCATTATTGTCCTAGAGAGGTCACAGATGTGGGGCATCCATTTCTGAGTGGCTTAAGTTCCAGCGCTCTCACTCCCCTGTCATGTGACTTGATGAATTTATTTGGTGCTTTTCTGAGCCTTTGTTTCTTCATATAATAAAACAGAGATGATATATTACTCAGACTCTGTAGCGAATTGTGTTGTCAACAGATGAGCTCATGAATGAGCTTTGCAGTCACCTGCTCTCATTGGTTCTCTTTCCATGTTAGAAGTGAGGAAAGTCATGCCCAGGTGACCTAAGTGAGGCGTCCCAGCTCACACAGGTAATAGTGTTGCCAAAGCTCAGTCCTGTTTCTTGACTCCTAGTTGAGTGCTATTTTTGCTAATCTTGGCCATTATTTTTCAAAAGTGTTCTGTCAATGCAGTTTAAATCAAAAGATCAACTGCCAATGCTGTCAGAGAGCGATAGACTTAAAATCAATAACTATGTGTGCCACTCCTCTCCTAATTAGATATCCCCAGCATGTTTCTGGATGTTTCATGCTGCTGAGAAGAGTGACGGCATTTTTCCACTCAATTATACCCAAGGAAACATTGTTCAATTTAGTAATAGTTTTAGCACTTGTAGAAGAATTTGAAAACTTTAGAAAAATCTCATACGTTTTACAATCTCACTGTCTTAGAGAATGGGATTTGGGACTAGGTCTACCCTTTATCTTCATGCTTTTATGCAGCGCTTTAAAATTTTGATATTGAAGAGGGCCTGAAACTGGGTGACCTGTGTTGCCCTTTACTACTGGATTAAAATTTCAGGTTGCTACTATGGTAACCGTACCTTGAAAATTAGATCCTGACAGAGTCACTAAGAAATGTAAAAGTGCACTGCTGCCATGAACTTTGAAGAAAGGTTGCATACAATTGTCAGCGACAGCCTCTTAATTGAAATAATCTGCCTTTCCCATCTGCTAGAAAGAGTTTGTGTGTCTTGGGGAGGAGGGACAAAAAGATTATATCTTGATGGATTTTTAACACAAAAATGGCTGTAGTTCGAAGCAGAGCTGTTTTCTGCATGAGATTTAAATCAACTTCAGCTCAATTTATGCTATTCAGAAAGAAATGTGATACTCAGTATTCACGGTGGCAAGAAGCCAAGATACACAGTAAAGATGTAACGATACTAAGAGAAGATACTGCTGGGGATCTATCCCAGAAAAACCCCAGTGGCCCCAGGGTCCAAATGGCAACCTTTTTCAAACCACAGATTTCTGTGCCCAGGCTTCTGGGAAGTTGGGGAATGCAGAGCAGCCGCATGACAGACTTTCAGATCAAGAGGGCCAGCAGTCACTGATTTGCTTAGTGGCATAAAAGCTGAGATCATATTGATGCTCCCAGAGCCAGGGAAATGAAACAAGCAACATAGGGTCTCTTGGCTTTCAGGAACATGAGGGTGAGTGGCACTTGCAATTTCAGGAATTCCTTTGTGCATGTCTTTCCCAAGGCAAGCACATCACGGTGTGTCTGGCTTTATAATTAGTTGTGGCTGTATCTGTGTTTCCATAACAGGACTTTTGTTGTTGTTGTTATTGGGCCTTTTTCTTTTCTTTATTTTTTTCGACATTCTTATAAAAGGATTTTGATTTGTGCTTCTAATGCCACACATAGAAAATGACTCTTTAACTCTCTGAAGGTCTCAAAAATTTCAGACCAAAAGTGATGTTCTCACTCTGAGAATGTTGGTATACTATTTTGCACAAAACAGATATCAAATATTAAATCTGTTGGACAATATCAAGTAGTTGGGACTGAGGGATGTGGAGCCATAGGAATTCTCACCACCTAGTGGTGGGACAGTACCTTGAGGGGTAGTTCTATCTAAAGACTTTGGGTAGAATCGCCTCTCACCTCATTTGCGAGTCTCTTCATTTTGGTTTGGTCAGCGTGGGTACTAAGGAGACTGTGATAGTGACGACTGAATTGTGATATACTTCCAAACCCAAGCAATGCCCATGAAAGCCCAACAAAGACATATCACCAGTCTTCTACCTGTGAGGACTGTGGAACCACAGGTAGCAGGATGTTTGACTCTCCTGAACATAATAGTTTCACAAATCTATTTACCTGAGTGGAAGGGGTGGTATCCACTCCCCTATTTCTTCAGCAGCCGGTACAGGAAGAACCTACTACACAACAGATAACCAGAAAATATTCTTGAGTGTAAAGTGAAAGAATGATCCAGAAGGTGTCACTTGCTCTGAAGTAACTTTTTTTTAAATATTGTATTCTTATATTTGTTAATCCATATTTTAAAAGTAGTATCGTAAGAAGAAATATAAATGCATGCATGTGTGCATATGTGTGCTCATATGTATGTGGCTGGAAAGCAAATACAATGCAGAACTTGAAGTGGACAGGCTCTGTGCTGGAATGGCTGGGTTCAAATCCCAGCTCCACCATCTTTTAGCCATGTGATCTTGGTCAAGTTACTTAACCTCTCTATCACTCAGTTTCCTCATCTGTAAAATGGTGAGTAGTAATAGCACCTACATGATACGATTAAATGATTGAAGTGCTTATCACAGTGCCTGGTACGTAGGAATTTTTTGATAAACACTTTTATTAATCATGTTCATGATTATTGCGGTCATGATCACTGAGTCTTTTGAGTGAGTGCTGTTTGTACTACATTCCAATCTTCAGTCACTTGGGAAGCCTTTCACTCTCTTCCCTGACTTGTCCCAGAGGTCTCCAGTTGGAGAAAGACCTCTCCAGAAAGAGCAAACCTGGACTACATTGAACATTTCCTTGGCTCACCTGCCTACCCCAGTCCCAGAGGATAAAAACAAAGAATGGCTAGAACGTCTTAAATGTATAGATATTTGGTACTAGGCACAGTCTTCTCGTTCTTGGAGCTCAACACAGCATCTTATCCCAGTCACAATTGTACTCTTAGTTTGTAGTTATTTCTAAAAATAAAAGCTAGGACTTATTAAGTGCCAAGCACTATGCTGAGTGTTTTATATCCACTAGCTAATTGACTATTTACAACCCAGTGAGATGTAGGCACTACCGTTACCCACATTTTACAAATGAAGAACTGGGTTTCATGACTTGAAGCTAAATTTTTATAGCCAGTAATGATGGATTCATTACTTGAACTTATGTCTGGTTGACTCCAGTAAGAGACCCCTTAACCCTGGCCCTCCTGCCTACCCATGGACTCTCCAATCTCAGAGTCCACCTGGACTTGATTGTCTTGGGAAATGGCACCACCTCCTCAGAGGTAGTGGAGCAAATACAAGAATACAAGAGGGAGAAAACAATGGAGGACAGGAATTTGGCCAGAGATATTCTCTGCTCCTGAGTCCCAAAACATCCTCTCACATTTTGTAAAATCACCACTGGTATAATTTGCTGAGTCATAATTTTTAATTCTGTGGTTCACATATATATGAAAAACTGCTTTTGAAATATATAACAAGCATGTTGTCAATTTTCTAATCAGGTGGAACAAATTCTTTTCTTTATTCCCAGTTTTTGCATGCATAAAGGAAGTCGTCTGAATAAGAAAACATGTCAATAAAATTTCATGGAATAGCCTCTGCCATTCTGTGAAATAAACATTCCATTCCCTTGCCTGGGCAAATTGTTCCTGTTGCTGCATATCTACTTCTGTTTCCTTGGTCTAAAAAGACACTTCAGACTCTGCCTTTAATTACGATAAGGCTTGACTATTAACCCTTGAGAATTAACCTTATTTTTGCTAGGAGGGAAGGTAAAATAACATTTAAATTGGTTTTAAGAGTAGGAATGGAATCTCAGAAGACACACTAATGTAGAATACACTGTATATCAAAATATATAAGTGCATAGTTGTAACAGTGGCTTAGTAAACATATTGCTGAGTGAACTATGAAAAATAATTCACCAAGGTACTGTTTCCCATACTCGTAAGCACTAAGTTAAGAGAGTAATGCCATAAAGTACATATGCACTGTTTAAAAATATTTGTGTGTTTTTTAAAGAATACTTTCTTCAGGCCCAATAGACGAATCATTTTTTCTTCCCTTGCTAAAATGTACACTGTAAGGAATTTAACTAAGTGGTATATTAAGTGAGGGTCTAAAATAGTTGTAGAAGATAACAATTCTGAGCAAAGAAATGTCTTTAGCAATTTGATTCTGAATGCAACATAAATTAACTTTATAAAATAGAATTAAAAGAAGTTCAGTTATAGCTTTCCAATTTTTCATATAATTTAGCATTTCATACTCATTGTGTTTGCTACTGGCACTTTTATTATAAAAGCCTGAAACTGCAGGTCAAATGAGTACTTATGTGGATATAAATACACTGATTTTTGTTTTTCAGAGAGAGATCTTTCTCTGAACAACATGATTTATCCAAGTTAAGAGACTACCTCTGTGGAAGAGCAACTCTCTTGAAAACCAAACTTCACATAAGTTTTATGCAAAACTCCTAGAAACCTGTTCAAAAATTATAGAATAATAGGAGGTGTTCCTAAGCTTTCAACCCTCCAATGCTCTTGCTTAAATTTTAGATCTCAACTAAAGTAACTTGACTTTTCAAATTATGTTTCAATTCAGGTTTGTTGTCTTTTAATTCCATATTAAAAAGTTTGATGAGATTAGGATGAGAAGAGAGGGGAGATGATAAGGCAGTTCATTATGCACATCAAAGCATTTCAAAACATATCTGGTTTAAAGCCATTAAATAATTTCCCAAATTTGAACCTGTGGTATAAAACTCTTTTTTTAGTCTAATTCCAATAACGTAAATGGGATACATGAGGAAAGATTTCAAAGCAACGTTTCTTATAAATAGAATTTCAATAGCTTCTCCTTTTAAAAGGAAAGCAAGGGGTAAAGTGGATGAATCATGTCAGTCTCCCATAATGAGAAAACAGAGAAAATGCACATTCACATGCCCACCCTATTATGGTGTAGTTTGGCTGCATGATGGTTATTACTGAATGATTATAATACACAATTTTACATGGGAGATAAAAAGAAAATCATATATAGATGTTTTCCCACTTGAAGCAAACCTCTCACAGAAATTCTAGCATATATTTCCATACAGATAAAAAGGTAGTTTTTCACCCTTAAAAAGAATCCTTCACTTTGAAAATGATTCACCATAGTTTCCCTCTAAATAGTAAGCTCATCTCATGCATTTACAATATGGTTTGATTTTCAAAACATCAATTTACATGCACTTTCCAGTAACAAATCTATTGTGCCATGTGATGCTTACTTGTATAGGATAAAAAAGCAAAAGTATTTTTTCTAATTAATACACAATATTATAATGTACAACATACAAATATCAATTCGTTTTGTTCAAACTAATAATAAGTACTTGGAAATGGAGATGCAAGAAAACCCCACTTCATTCACAACAGTTATATGGATTTACATTAAAAAACTATAAAATAACACCGAAGTACATAAACAAGGTTTGAAAGAACTAGAAAGGTATATATGTTCTCATAGCAGAAGTGTTATAGTGTTATTTCTCCCAAAATTAATTTATAATGCAATTCCAATTAGAATTCCTCAAAATGATTCTTTTTGGCATGAGACAAATTATTGTATAGTTCATATACTAAAAGGGTAAATGCTCAACCATAGTAAATGAAAAGAAAGAACAGTAGGAAAGATTTTCATTACTAGATATATGAAAAAACTACAATACGCTTTAACAAAATCAATACATTATTAGCATGAAAATAGATACTAGATCAACAGAAGAGACAATTCAATCTCTCTCCCTATATATGTATGTAATATGTAACAACAGCATTACATTGATTCAAAGAGAAAAAAATTGATATGTAATGATGATACTGGCACTACTAGATCTCCATTTAGAAGAAAACAAAGGTAGTTTCCTATCACATTTAAATATATTAAAGTAGGAAGAGAATGAGAAAAAATAACTAATGGTTACTGGGCTTAATATCTGGATGATTAAATAATCTGTACAATAAACCCCCATGACAGGAGTTTACCTACGTAACAAACCTGCACTTGTACCCCTGAAATTAAAATAAAAGTTAAAAAAGATACAAATATAAAATATAAAACAACAACAATGAAAATACCTTTAGTAAAAATGCTTGGAACTCTGTTTCTACAATCTAGGGGAGAGGGTCCTTCTTAATTAAGTCAGAAATCCAGAAGTTCTAAAAGATGAATAACTATAAACAACTGAAATATAACATTTGTATTGAAAAAGATGCCATGTTTCTATAAACAAATGGAATTTTCCTACATACAATGAAATGAAAGTTTGTATGAATAAAAATTAAGTTTTTATGAAGAATAAAATAAAAACAGAAAAACAAATGTAGACAAATATTTGTTTAAAAATTATTAAAATGTATAATTAAAAATTAAAATATTTAATTAAAAATTAAAAACACTATATAGCACATCTGACATGCCAAGCAGTATTCTAAGCTCTTTACCTGTTTTATGTCGTTTATTCTTTTTTAATTAATTGATTTATTTTTTTATTATACTCTAAGTTCTAGGGTACATGTGCACAATGTGCAGGTTTGATGCATAGGTATACATGTGCCATGTTGGTTTGCTGCACCCATCAGCTCATCATTTACAGTAGGTATTTCTCCTAATGCTATCCCATGCACTTTCCAGTAACAAATCTATGGTGCCAAGTGATGCTTACTTGTATAGGATAAAAAAGGAGAAGTATTTTTTTAAAAAATTTGAGTCGATAGTTTATAGTTTGCTTGTCTTTAATATTAACTATTTATAGTCCAGCAGATTTTGCTAACACAAGTTGAGATGGAGATGCCACTGGCTGCCTAAAAGCTAATTCTGTAAAGCTCATTCTTGATTATCAAAATGCCGTATTTCAGCAGCAGCCGATCAAATACGGCCTTGTTCTTGTTCTCATGGGAATCTAATCCTTGAGTCCCTTCTTTCCCCTTAAATTTGTCTGGTTCACAGACACATTCCATGAGCTGAAAATCTAACAATAAATTGAGAAAATTAGATCAGTTTGCATAACATTTGAAAAGGAATGTAGCCTTTGTTTGCACAGCCAAGGTAAAATGGACAGATCAGTAACTGGAAGTGTGGTGTAGCACCTCACAGAACATGAATTCTCTAAAGAACCCTGGCAACCCATGTGAAAATGTTACGTGGAATCATCATTTTGAATAGAGCAAAATGACGCTGGAAAAGAGCTAGGGCTGAGCTGTGCAGCGTCATTTGAGATCTGTGCATCCAGAAACTATAAGCACATCTTGAATACAGAAGACGCACCTCCCTGCTTTCACGGTAATATTTTAAATAGTGTGCTGGCTGGCTTTGCTTTTTAAAACAAATGTGTTTAATCTTTGTTAGGGTGAGGGTGAAACCACACAAGAACATTTACAGCAATATGTAAATTGACATTATATGGCTTTTCTACTCTCCTAAGAAACTTTATTAGGGGAAGTCACTTTTTTTCTGCATAGAAATAGCAGCCCCTAAAATATATCTAAGCAGTTAAGGCTTCACCCCAACAGCTTGAGTAAACACATTTTTTTAACTTTCCCATGGACTTCAACTTTGAAGGTTTTACATAAGGTAATTCTGAAGTGGTTGTACAGAGTTAATCCTGGGTCTTTTATTTATAAAGCATTAATTTCAGACTTTTTAAAAAATGTAATTTTCTCAGATAATGTCTGAGAACAAATTGAGCTTCTAAGATTTAAAAAGAAAAGATCCAATTGTGTTTATTTGTGGCCACCAAGCAGGTCAGTGGGAGAATCATGTATGTGTCACTAAGTGATTATTTTGAGAAATTGAGTATACTGACTCATCTTCTAATTGAAAATTGCGTTGCTGCTGTGCTTTTTTAAAAGTTACTTATTAATATCAGACAACTTTCCTTGGAAGCTTAGGCTA
This sequence comes from Homo sapiens, assembly GCF_000001405.40. Classification (NCBI taxonomy): domain Eukaryota; kingdom Metazoa; phylum Chordata; class Mammalia; order Primates; family Hominidae; genus Homo; species Homo sapiens. The sequence continues at coordinate 148,861,236 of NC_000023.11, forward strand.
TATGGTCTTATTTATGCCATGCAAATGATGTGAATAGTTGAGGCAAATAAAATCAGAGGAAAAGAAAATAACCTCATTTTTCTATCAATTATGTGTATGTGTGAGGCAAAATTATTTTAAGTGTGAAATATTTAGATTCTCTTTTTCTAAATCCTTTATCATGAAATAGTTACTATGAAATATTAATTGGTATTCAGCAAAAAAGGGAATTATATGATCCAACATATTTGGGAAACAGCGGGTTAAAAAAAACTAACAAGTCTTTTCATTGTAGGAATTCTTTGAGCCTTTAATATGCAAATGCTCACTGTGTTTCTACAAGAGGGGTGTAGAATATGAAGTGTTTTTCAAACTAACTTGGCTATAGAATTTTTTTTCCCAGAATCTCTACCAACATGATGTGGAATAATTTGGGCCTCTCCAATCTAGATAACTACACCATTATAGAGTTCTTTGTGCATAGGTAGACTCAGCTTCAATATCTACCTGGAGTATGGATGCTCATTATCTTTTATCTTGCCATCTTCACTCCACCTTTACTCCAGTTGCCCCGCCACATCTGAAAATACATTTTAAATCAAATATCCCTTATAGGCAGCTTAGTGAAATTACAGATAATTTGTATTTCAAAATTTTGGGGGCTTTATTTTTGTATTGATAATATGGAGGGTGTTCTGAAATTCCACCAACTTTCACCCAGATTTCTTTTGTGAGGAGCCTTTTGTCTGTTTTTTTTTCCCCCCTCAGACCACCTGCAACTGTAAGTTGTCTCCGGGGTGGCTGGCTGGGATCATCTTCCTTCACTGTGAAGAGAAAAGCTGGCTGAATAGAGACAAAAACACTGCATACTCACTGAACATTCTTGGGAGATAATTTGCTGCCATGTTTTATAAAACCAGGGACTGGATGTGCTTAAGAGCTTTTTATTAAATATTGCCAAGAGAGATAATAGTCCTATTATCCGGGTGACTTTTGAGACCATTCTGAATGCTAGTATTATTGAAAATGCAGTAATGAAGTCAACTCTCAAATCTAAGCATGTGGATCGTCCACTTCAGACTGTGTCTTCCCTAGCTGGCTTGTTGAGGCCACTCAGCCCAGCTCTGGGCTGCCTTCCCCTGCCCTCTGTGGGAATGTGTTTTGAGAATGCAAACACGCATAACATTAGACTGAGAAAAAATGCAATTAAGAAGATATTTTTTAAAAAATGATGGGAGGAGGTGATGCGTTATACACAATCCAGAGTCTAAAGGAAAGGACTTCCCATTATGCCCTCATTTTCTGTGCACTGCTTGGCTCTATTAACGCCAGTAATCCAGAGCTGATACAGTCCCTCTGAAACAGCCAAATTATATTTTCAACAAGGCCAAGAATGTGTCCTTTATTTAAGCACTTTCTTGATAACTGATCTATTATGAGAAGCATTTACTACATAGTTAAACTGGCAAGAACTAGAATTTCTGGTTTTCTGATCTACACACTTAAAGCAAATACGTTTCTGTGTGCACAGTACTTCATTTAATTATCATTTTAATTACTTTATTGACTTAAACATTAGTATTGAACACATTTTACAACAACAATGAATACACAAGCAATTTATAATTTTCATTATTTCTTATCTCATTCACATTATCTGAAGCTTGATAGCAGATAATTATTTGATTGAATATGAAAACACCCAAAATATTGTTGGGTAGCAGATATGAGCTCCAATTAGTTGACTCTTTCTTCCCTCACCAATTACATATTTTTTTATATTTATTTCTGGTATATACTTAATATTTATAATACGCATGTTTGGAATTTGTACACAGGGAGATGGCTCAGTGATTGTATTTGGACTATATTGTAACAGCTACCTTATCATATCTATGAAGACAAATATTGAAATTTTTATTTCTGGAATTAACATTTTACTTTAGAGTTTCTCATTAATCATTACTTTTGTTTATTTTATGTATGGTGTTAGAGACATGATTTGAAAATATTTTTTCTCAGCAAACTGGGTAGGGTTAAATTTAGAAACTTGACAATAGAAGAACTATCTACAGAAAATACCAAAGATGAAAATACAAAATGCTGAGAGGCTGGTACAAAAGTACAGTTTACAAGACTGTACTCTCCTTGAGGTTGGAAGTTGCTGGAGAAAAGTGGCTGATGGTCTCACACCTCATCTAGCTAAACTCACTTTCCATTATCTTGGTTACCTGCGCTATGAAGTGGCCATTCAACTTTATTTAATGTTTGCAAAATCTGGCTGATTGATTGCCTATTCACTGAGGTCTGGGGAACCTCAGATTGAAACATTATCCAGGCAGTAGCAACATGTACTTTTTCAAGGGCATTTAAAGGAATACTAGTAAACTTCTGGTGGGTATTCCTAGTCTAGATTTATGGTTATTCTTTGAGGAAATACCAAGAGTAGGTAGAGATACCTGGCTTATCTTGTAAAATTGAGGTAATCATTTTGCAGGGATGCTTTTCACTGTTAGTTGAGCCTTCTCTTGCTGTTGCAATTTTATTTGTCCACAGGGAGAAAATGGGTAGGGTGGGAACAATGCTAGGAATCCGGGTAGCAGTGTGTGAAGAAATGTATATTTTCATCTACAAAGAGAAGATAAATTAAATTCTTAGAAGTCAGAAGATTCTTATGTTTGCTGTAAGATAAAATTCTGCTGACAAATCCACCTCAGGTGGACCTGGCTTTGGGGAGGAAGGTCCTTAATTTGCTTTTCTCCCCAAATTCTGATGAAAGCCAAGAGAAAAATCAATTAACCAGTATCAAACTAGGGCTCAAAGATGCCCTGATGTGGCACTGCGTGTTCATTGGTAAGCCTCAGTGTACTGTGAGCAAGTCGTCATCATTTGGTGCGTGGCTGATGAGAGATATTTAACTCAAAGAGAAGTGGCATAATCGTTGAATTTGACTCTGCCAGTTGACTTACCCTGAAAGCCCAGAGTGTATTGGCTTCAAATGGTTAACTGACACAATTTTCAACAGAATATTCTCCTCCAACTGGTTGGAGATCCAACTCAGTGACTTGAGATTAGCTGAAAGGTGGAAAGGCTTCTCTGCCTCTGTAACTTCTGTTTTAGCAATGGATAACTAGGAGTTTTGTTGGTGGTATGGTTAATATAGATAACAGGCATTTCTTTTGGGCAGGAGAGCCTTGCTATTTGAGGTGAAGACCAATGGCTTGACTTTCCCCCAAATTCCACAAACACAACCATATAAACAGATTTTTTTCCCATGAACTCCATTCTAGTGTCCTAGAAACAGGTAGATTTATGCAGATTAATTTGGCATAGTACAGCAAATTGCTGCTGTGAGATATATCATAGAATTACTTCCTAGCTCAGGCTAGCTAATGGCTAGAATGAAATAAAACATAAAAATACATTTACATAGATTGTTTTATAAGTCTGATAAAGCTTTTTGTTACCTACCACTGGAACTGGACGTGTTTTTGCAAGCAGCATAAGGGTTGTTCATGTAATACTTTCATTATTTCCAGCAAGTGTAAAACAAAATAAAAACAAGAACATTGAATTTAGCCGCCATTAACTACCATTAACTGTAATTTTTCCTGACAAGCTCTCTCTCATCTGATGATGAGTGAAACGCTGGGAAAAGTCGACTGAAAAATTGTATAAACGTTGATGAAATATGCCCTTGTATTTTAAGCATGCCCAGTTCAGACATTTAAAATCGAGCAATTTATAATGTGTTAGCAGTCAGAACTCCATCATGTTTTAAATAAATTTATTTTTCTACTTCTTGTGAGACTCTAAGTCACTCTAAGAAGACTCATGACATTTCACTGTACAAGGCAGGTCACAAATTGAATAATGTGAAATAACTTTATTAGAGAACTGAAGAAAATGATATGGCAATAATGTGTTTTACAGTAAAATTTGATAGCCCTCTAAAGATCAATGAGTGTGTTTGTTTACTTTGAAGTGAAAGGACAAAGGCTTCATAATGGAATTCAGAGAAATGCCTGAATTAAAGGCATCATTGCCAGATAAAATGGCTTTCCTAGTCTGTGGTGAATTCAGAAAACCTACCACGTACTTTGCAGTAGAAAGAATAGCCTAGGTACTGTCTGTGATAATATGTCATTATAAAGCTGCCCTAGAATGAATGAAAGTCCTCTTGTGGCCACACAGAATAAAACAAGCTGCAAGTCACAAGGTTCTTGTCCTGTCCCAAACATTGATTGAAAGGGCACTTTATAAAGGGAGAAAGAAACAGCGGGGGCACCCTCATTTGCATCACCAAACCCTAATGATGGAGGCGCTTTTATGGACACACTGTGTACACAGAATAGGTTCAATTAAAAAGAAGCCATTTTACACTGGCCTTTACCCCACCAGGATTTTTTCTTAAAGACAAAACAAAGACCATTTATCTGGGTAACAATACATTACTTTAAAAAATGAGGCAGAGTGTAGAACATAGGGTAGGCAAGAGGCGTGGGTCTCCCATGGTTTTATCTTTGCCACTTCTTTTCTTAGCCAGTGCACTGTAGATGTCATGAAAGCATATCTTTGTCAAAATAAGGTAAATATGAATGACGATTGGAGTAGGCAGGAATCTTGTAGCTGACCCTGACTAGGAAGAGCAAGATTCAGAACTTCACTTGAGTTTAAAATGAAGTTCCATTAGCAGGGACCAAAATGAATTGCTGTCTGATAATTCTGGCCTCGATAAAACGAGTTGGGCATTTGAGTTCAATGCCTATGGACAGATGTTCCACAGACAAAAAACGAGGCTCTTAATTGGCACTAATTAGCACCCTTGTTGGCAGGGAGAGATTGACAAGGTTATTTCTATGGCACTTCCCCTGCTGACTCCCATAGCTGTTCTTTCCAGGATAAGGGGAGAGCAATGTAGGTAAACTTATGCTCTTAGCCTTCAAGGATTATTTGTGCCCCCAAACAAAGACAGTCTTCGCATTTCTAAGCTGTCAACTTAGTAAGATTCTTTGCCTAGGATATACATTGGCTTTTATTTTTAATTAAATAAAGTGTAATTAGTAGGAAACAATCAATACGGTAGAGTGACAAGCACTTTTATGTTGGTTTGTTTGTCCCTGCTTAAAGAAGCAGAAGCAAAAAGAAAAAAAGAAAGAAGCTGTATTAAGGATGAGAAAAACAATCTAAGCACATTATAGATGTTAACACTAGTAGCGAACAAAGAAGGTGTTTTATACTGGCACAAATTCCTGCAACCTGCTGTGCAATACATCTTTTCAATGCTTTGTTTATAATCACCTTCATCTGTAAAATGGCAAAATGCCACCAGCCTCCTGAGAGGGCTAAAGTCTGTAAAGAACCTGGATGTCCTGGGGCATAAAGGTGTCTTATAATTATAAGCTATCTCTAAAATGAGTAGCATGCTGAAGGAACTGTGGCTGCATTCTAATATACATTAAGCAGAGCTATATGGAAGTATGCTTTAAGTTTCTGCAAATGCTTCTCTCTCTATAATTGCAAAGTTGAGAATTATGCAAAAGTAGTTATTTTGCATTTATTCAATTTAGTGCTAATAAGGAATTCAAAGAATGGATTAAAGTCATTTTTAGTAACTTGACAGATTTTTGTATACTGTAGCATGATGGTGTACATTGCTGAAGAGCTGGAGAGGCTCTTAAATCTAGACTAAGCCCATTTATTTTTCTAGGAAAACCGAGGGATTCGATATCCAGAACTAGATTCAAAGAATGCTCATCAACAACGCACATGTGGTAGAAATCATGTGTGGGAATGGGGCAGCTGGATGGCAGGTTCCTGAGAAGCAGAGCCTGACATAGGCATTCCTGTGAATTAACTCTAAAGAAAAAGAAACCTGTAAGGAAGTGAAGAGAACAAGTGGGATGGTGGGCTTGGCTGCAGCTTGATCCCATGAGGAGTCCTAGAGCATGAACCAAATCACAGAGTTGTCCCACATTGAGGCAAGATGGGGCCAGCCGTTTGGCTGGATACTGGCTGAACGCATTCCCGTCATTTGGATAGGGGTTTCCCATCCAAGAGCAAAGTGGCTTTCCTTCTGCCAAGGGCAAGTATCTGGAGAAGGGCCCACCTGGAGGTCCCTGGAGAAGGACCCACAATAGCTAGAGCATCTGTGCACCAGTCTGGTAAAAGAGATGAGGGAAGGGCCATGCTACCAGCCTTCACTACAGGGCTAAGTTTGGTAGAGCCAGGTAGCTTCCTATCTAAGCAAGGCCTTTTGTTTCCTGAGCAACTTTCAGAAGAGCACAGTGTTGACTGAGCAGAATAAAGCCCATCCTTAGATAGTGAAATTTTTAAAAAGTATCCTTTGATAATTAGCAACAGTATGCACATAGATGAGCTAAGCAATATTTTCTTTGATGCGAACAGTCCTTCTTGAAGTACAAGAAGGCAACACAGATGTTCATTCGGCTTCTTATGTGTTCAGATACTGTGGAAACAGAATTCCCAGTTCCTCAAACAAAACATTTCATTCATACCTGTCCATACTTGCATGTGCCTCCTGTGTCATGCCTCTCTGCCTGTGGTACTCTGGAATCTTTGTCTTCTATTCACTTCTCAAGATTGCACACCAGCATAAATTCCTAGGTGAAGACTTCCTAGAACACAGGTCCACACAATGAAAAAGTCACTACAGAGGCTATGTAAATACTCCAAGTTCCAAAGACAAAGGGATTTCCAGTACTTCCTCAAGGCCATCTCTCATAGCTTAGATTTCCTGTCCACACCCTGGAACCTAAAGCCTAGGCTCCTCTCAGTTTACTCACACTCTTTGCCCCTGAAGGCATTTTCCTTGTCACCAAGCACCTACTACAATTGAAGAGGGTACAGTCAGTCCCAAGCAGCCCTACCAGGTTTCTCTTACCTCCTCACCATGGATGCCTGGTATCCCTTCCTCATCAGCATTCTCTGATGCTGACACTGGATCCCATCCAAGAGCCATACACTGTGCTGGTACATCACAATGCCAACCACCCTTTTTACATACTCTTAAAACAACCACCACCAGATTCCCCCAGCTCTTCTTCCCCCAAGGCCACAAAAATCTGCAGACTCCATGCATCCCAATAGTGATTTTCAGAGACTGTGACTTCTGTTGCCCTTGAAGAATCCTAATTAGGGGAATTGCCTGGCCGAAGTTATGCTTTAGAATGATTACTGAAGCCATAGTGAGAGATCTTGAAGGCTTGAAATAGGTAGGGATAGAGAAGAGAGGACAGACTGGAGAAAGGTATGATATCTGTGTTCCCATCAATGGATTTGAGTAACTGACAAGATGTGTGAAGTGGGAAAGAGAATAGAAGTGTTAAAATGATCAAGCTTGCTTGCTTGATAATTTGGATAGGTGGTAATACAATAGAGATATCTTAGTCAATTTGTACTGCTATAACAAAATACCTAAGACTGGGTAGTTTATAAAGAAGAGAAATTTTATTTCTTCACAGTTCTGGAGGCTGGAAGTCCAAGACCAAGACACCAGCAGGTTCAGTTGTCTGGTGAGCACGTGTTATCTGCTTCCAAGATAATGCCTTGTTGCTGCTTCCCTAGGAGGGATGAATGCTGTGTCCTTACATGCTAGATAGAACAAAATGGCAAAAACGGCTTAACAAGTTCCCTCCAGCCTTTTATAAGGCACTAACCCCATGTTTAAGGGCAGAGCCCTCATGGCCTAGTCACCTCCTAAAGGGTCCACCTTTTAATACTGTTGCACTGGGGATTAGGTTTCAACATGAATTTTGAAGGAGACACAAACATGCAAACCATGGCAGATGCAAAAGTAAAGCAGAGGAATTAACTTCTGACACATTCTACAACATGGATTACACTCAAAAACATTATGCTAAGTGAAATATAATATGCTAAAAGCCACATATTATATGAGTCCCTTCATAAGAAATATCTAGAATAGGCAAATCAATAGAGACAGAAAGCAGATTAGAGGTTGCCCAGGGATGGAGGGTGGAGGGGATAGAGGGATTGGGAGAATGATAGCTAAAAGTTACAGGGTTTCATTCTGGAGTGGTGAAAATGTTCCTGAACTAGATCATGGTGATGGCTGGACAACACTGCAAAGATACTAAAAAGCACAGAATAGTCCATTTTAAAAGATAAATGTTATATGTATTTTATTACAAAATAAGTAGATAGATTAAAAATAAAACAAAATAAATGAAGGAATGCATACATACATACATACTTAAACCAGTAGGAGGGACATGCCAGAGATGGTGAGCTCAGTTTTAGCTTTCTTAGGCTTGAGGCATTTGTGGAACATTGTGGTGGAACTGGATTTAGGTGCCAGGAGCTCAAAAGAGCGTTATAGCTGTCAGGGCTGTAAATACATTGCCTCAGCCCACCCATTTTGGAGAGCTGGGAAGGTAGGAACTGGGGCAAAGCCCTGTATTAGTTTCCTGGGGCTGCTATAACAGAGTACCACAAGTTGGAAGGCTTAAAGCAACAGGAATGTCCTGTCTTCCTAACTTCCAGATGTTAGAAGTCCAATAACAAGGAGTTGGTTCCTTCTTAGGATGTAAGAGAAGGATCTGTTCCAGGCCTCCCTCCTTGGCTTGTAGACATCTGTCTTCTCTCTCCCTGAGTCTCTTCACATACTCATCCTTCTATGGGTGACCGTATGCAAATTGCCCCTTTTTATAAGGACACCAGTCATATCGGATTAGGGATCACCGTAAGGACCTCAAGACCTTATCTCCAAATAAGACCACATTCTGAAATACTGGGGGTTAGGGCTTCAACGTATGAGTTTTAGGTAGGAACGCAATTCACCCCCTAACAAGCCCATTTCCTGAATTTCCCTTTTCTGAATGGCAGCAATTTTAACGATCCTCCAGTTGCAGTAGTAATCAGCTGCACAGTTCTGTCCCATCCTACGTAGAGGGAATTTAGGGGTACTTACCCCCAAAACCACTCTGGAGCTTCCGTCCATTCTTCTGCAATCTCTCAGAATAACATGGACTTAGGGAGCTGACTAAGAGTCATCTGCCTGCAGTCATTTTCAAATAACATTGTTATTGCAATTACCAAGTTGAGAAAAGCCTGCCCAACCACTACTTGGGCAATTGATAAGGTAATGAAAAAAACAAACAGATTTACTTTTTTATGTGAAGACAAAATGTTTGTAGGAAGCAGCTCTCACATTCTTTGTAAGCAGCTCTGCTCTGTGGATTTTCTCAGCATCTTTGACCAAGCCTGGCTTGTGACCATCTTGTTTTCCTATGGTAGTTCATTCTCTGTTTCTGTGGTGGGACACTGTGCCAAGAGAACTCGCTCAAGACCAAGAGACAGATCAGGCTGTTGTTCCACATTTTCTTTCCACTAAATCACAGTTTTCTTTCAAGGGAAGGTGGCTGTTGTGAAGCTGTCAAACTAGCTGTTAAATGGGTTGAAGTGAAGGCTCCTATTAACAACAGCAGCTATCTCTGTCACATTCAAGTTCTGCAGACAGTTACAAGGCAATTTGGTCCTGATAGGTGGGCTATTAAAAATAACAAAAGGCAAGAAGAATGAGAGAGGAACACCCTTTTTACTTCCTGGTTTCAAAACTAAGGGGGCAACTGAATATTTCACACATGGACCTAGCCTGCAGTTAGTGTGGCCTTCATAATCTCACAGGGACAAGGCATCCTCCCTCCCTGGGTGTTTTCCTTTAGCCAGGTCTGGGAATGGAAGGTGGCAGTGGGGGAGACAGCAACAAGGTCTCTATCAAGTTCAAGGTGGCCAAAGAGTTCTGAATGCTGATCATAATTGGAAACAGTGTCACTGGTGAGGGCAGTATGTGTGCTGTGTGTGTGTGGTTGTGGGGAGCGGGTGGGGGGCAGTGATGATGCCCTCTGCATGAGAAAAAGCAGTGTGGACAGTTTTACAGTGTCATATCCAAGACTGTGAAGGTTAGACGACAGACAACCGGAAGAGAATTAAAGGGAAATTATCTCTCAGCTTAAGGGAGCCCCAACTTAAATTGGATTTGTGAGTTAACATTTGCCTTACTGTGGGAGTTACATACCCGTACAGGGCCCTGATAGGAGCCTGGATACCTAACCCCTCGTGTCATGGTTTGGAAAATCAATTAGCCAGTGAAGGACCCGGCCTTGCGTAGACTCAGCAGAGGAGAAACTGCTGCAACCCAGGCAGTCTGCACCTCTGACCAGCAAGAATGGACACATTTTTCTTCTGTTGAAATAGATTCAGAGTCCCATTTTGCCTGTGCTTAATGAATTCATATATAACATGATCCTTACCCCAGCTTCTTCTGTAATCACTAAAATGTGAGCCTCCTTCCATCAGCCCTCACATCGTATTAGAGCAACTCATCCAAATTGGCAGCCCACATTAACCACATGCCTGCCTGTGGGTTTTATTGCGAATGGGGGCAGGTGATTTGTACTGTTGCGAGGAACATTGCACAGACAGATTCCTTCTTTACTACCCTCAGGTTTGGAAATTCCAAAGTCAGGGAGGAGGAGAAGAGTCTTTGCCCACAGGATCTTGGCTTGGTCTCCACCCCATCCAGACAGCTGTCTCTTTAATATAATGCTTTGTCTCTCCTGGAAAAGACAAAGCTCTTTTCCCTTGGTGAGGCTTCTGCTGGTCATATCAATTGCAGTTTTAATGTAGGGAAAAAATACAGTGAGAAAGAGATTAGGCAGGAAAAAATAGCTCTTTTTCTCTGTGTTTTTCTTGGCAGATATGTCTAGGAATGCATTGGAGACCTTCTGCCGTACTTCGTTATGCAGGACAGTAAGCAGAGTGGTTAGGGACATGGGCTTTGGAATCAGGCCACTGTGGATTGCCAGACCAGCTCTCCGTTCTTCTCTTGTCCAGCTGTGAGACTTTTTTTTTTAAAAAAGACGGCTCTATTTAGATGCATATAACATAAAACTTACCATTGTAAAGTATACAATTCAGTGTTTTCTAGTATATTCACAGAGTTGTGAAACCATCACCACTGTCTAATTCTAGAATATTTTTATCACCCCGAAAGAATCTTCATAACATTAGCAGTCACTCCCCTTGCCCCATCCCCCCAAGCCCTGGCAACCAGTCTCTTTCAGTCTCTACAGATTTGCCTGTTTTAGACATTTCATATGAAAGGAATCATGTGATATGTGGCCTTTGGTGACTGGTTTATTGCACTTGGCATAATATTTTCAAGGCTTATTCATGTTGTACCATGTGTCAGTACTTTCTTCCTTTTTGTAGCTGAATAATCATTCATTTCATGGATCTATCACATCATGTTTATCCATTCCATCAGTTCATTGACATTTGTGCTGTTTCTACTTTATGTCTATTCCGCGATGGTTAATGATGTTGAGCATCTTTTCATCTGCTTATTGGCCATTTGTCTTTCTGTGTCTGTCAGTCTGGGCTGCTATAACAAGAATCCCATAGGCTGGGTGGCTTAAACAACAAACACTTGTTTCTCACGTAAGTGGTGGTTGGGAAGTCCATGATCAGGATGCCAGTATGGTTGGGTTCTCGTAAAAACCCTCATCCTGATATCCTCACATGGTAGAAAGAGAATGAAAGGAAGCAAGGTCTCTTGGGTCTCTTCTTAGAAGGTCTCTAATCCCATCATGAGTATTCAACCGTTATGACCCAGTCACCTCCCAAAGACTCCACCTCCTAATATCATCACATTGTGGATTAGAGTTTCAACTCTATATGACTTTGAGGGAGGGGGACACACAAACATTCAGTCCACAGTGGTATCTTCTGTGGAAAAATGTCTATTCAGATCCTTCAGCCCTCACATCGTATTAGAGCAACTCATCTAAATTGGCAGCCCACGTTAACCACATGCCTGCCTTCGGGTTTTATTGGGAATGGGGACAGGTGATTTATACTGTTGAGAGGGACATTGCACAGAGAGATTCCTTCTTTACTACCCTCAGGTTTGGAAATTCCAAAGTCAGGGAGGAGGAGAAGAGTCTTTGCCCACAGGATCTTGCCTTACTGCAGGAGTTACACACCAGTACAGGGCCCTGATAGGAGCCCGGCTATCTAACCTCTCGTGTCATGGTTTGGAAAATCAATTAGCCAGTGAAGGACTGGGCCTTGCATAGACTCAGCAGAGGAGAAACTGCTGCAACCCAGGCAGTCTGCAATCCAGGCAGTGTGCACCTCTGATCAGCAAGAATGGACACCTTTTTCTTCTGTTGAAATAGACTCAGACTCTTTAATTGGGTTACTTATCATTTTATTGCTGAGTTTCCAGGGTTCCTTATAAATTCTGGATACTAGATCCTTATCAGATATATGACCCACAGATATTTTCTCCCATTCTGTGTGTTTTCTTCTTAACTTTTTTAAACCTGAATTTCCTCACTTGAACAGAGAAAATACCAGTATAACCTCCCAAATTTCATGGAGAGAGTCAATGAAGTGATCCATTAGCGCACTTAGAGAAATGAATGTCTGGCACACATTAAGCTTACCTCAATAAGTCTTAGTTATTATTAGCTAGTATTGGCTGACTTGGATTTATTGTGAGACAGAGACAAGGTGTAAGCCCTCAAGTCATAATTGTACATCTGACAGGTGTGATGTGAAAGGTTCAAAGTGCTTTGATTGAACTAACATGTTATTCCTAGGATGATTGGAGCAATTTTATTTGAGGGACTACATTTTTATTCTGAATAGATTTCCTAGTTCTAGATATTAAATACTAAGTCTTGGCCAGTATTGGGGTCTGCTATTCTCCACGTATCTATATTTACAGTTCTTTCTGATTCTATCTAGACAGCTAGTTACCTATCTATCAAGAAGGTGAGTCTATGAATAATAGGATAGAAATAGCCAAGTTCTGGGGCAAGTACTCAGAATTGGCACCCTCTTACCTGAAGCCAAATCAGGAAAGAGTAGAGCTCCAATTTCACAAGATGTTCATCCACTATATGTAAAACCTACTCTCATGTCTCTCTGTTGTTGCTTAAACTGCTTTCTTCAACCAGAGACCTGGTGATTTCCTCTACAGTGATTCTTTTAAGGCTGCTTCTAAATACATTGATATAAGAACCAGGCTCCAGTTTGCCTTAATATCAGTAATAGTGGAAGCAGTGGCATTTATCAAGTGCTCACGACGAACTCTTTTCACATATTATTTCAGCTAATCTTTGCAACAACCGTCCAAAGTTGTTATAACTAGCCTTGTTTTAGAGACGAAAAAAAAAAATGGCGACTCAGAGAGGTCAATTAGTTTGCCCAGATTTGTACACTTGGTAAATGCAAGAGCACAGGCTGGACCTGTAGTCTATTCAGCTCCCAACCCTTTGCTATTTCCTTTACACATTGTTACCCCTAAGGAAATTGAATTACAGAGCCCTTGATTGTTAGACAACTGAGTTATCTCCGTGTTTCAGAATTAGAAAGCCAATCCTGTCTAATTCATTAGTATATGGTAATACAGAACAGTTTAGATAAGTGTGTCATTTGTTGACAGTGGCCCTCCCTTTTCTTGAGAATCCTCCTCTCCGGTTCAGTTTTTCTTTATGAGTCAGTGGCAGTGCTAAGATGATGGCCTTACATGTGTTCAGCAGGGTCACAGGAATAAGAAAGACTCATGGTATATTGGTGAGCTACAGAGAATTCATTTGCCGCAAGTTGAAATTTGGAGAGAGATGGCCAAAATGACTCAACATGGTTGGCTTTCCACATCAATGTAATTGTGCCATGTGCTATAATTTATAGTGTAAACAAGTTTCCTGCAAAAGCTAAATATATCATGCAACTCATTTAACATGCACAGAAGGAGCCATTAAATTATTTCAGTCCCGTTACTCAAAATGTTCAGAAAATTCCTCTGTATTAGAGCCAGTGCAGGATTGGCTCTGCAGCCAAGTGCATCAACATAAATGTTGAATTCTCAGAAGGAAATGCATGCCTCATACTGTTACTTAGGGAAAATATATGCCCAGACATTGTGGAGCCCCTTCTAAAACAATCCTCATTTTGTTAAAACAATACTATCAAATTTTCAATCAGGTTATAAAGCATCTCTGCATTTATAAAGCTTGCAGACAATTGTGAATATCAATAAAAAGGTGATGTGTTTTTAAAAGATTAATAATTTATGAACCATGGAAATGGAAACTGAGGCTTTTTATGTCATTTTCTAATTTTGTCTACCTACGTGGAGAGAATGCCTTGTGGAAGCCATATGTGATGCCTTAAAACTGTTTAAATTGGAGTAATTATCAGAACAAATGGTGTCATTGGATGATATTAGTCTGTTTGTGTTCCTTCTGTCTACCCAATGAATCAACATTAATACATATTTTTAAAAACATTTGAAACATGGTCATCTGTGGTTTCTTTTTTGTTTTAAAGTATATGTTTAAAAATTGATCTAACCTTCCATACATACTAAAATATACCTTAGATTGAGAGTTTGCAGTTACATATTCCTTATGCAAAAAGGGAGTATCCTTCTCTACTTAGCTGTTAAAGAGTTTGGGTGAGGGATGGATATAAAATTTTGTCAAGTATATTTTTGGCCTCTATTGAGGTGATCATCTGGTTTTCATCATTTTATTTGTTGATGATGTGCTTTGTTCTACAAATAGACATTTCATTATCAAAATGTTTCAGCACTCCTGGAATGATACTAGATTAATATTTGATGATATATAGTTCAGTTGCATTTTAGGTAGATTTGAATTTTCAAGATTTGAAAAAGTTGATATAGTAATATTAAAAAGGTTCTCATTATTAAAAACATGATCTACTTCTGTTTCTGGCATGCAAAAGCTATTTGTGGCAAATATACAGTTATTTTCCTTCTTTCGATTTTTACTTTAACATGAGAACACATTTCTCTAGTTTGCCTTGTTTCCAAATAAAATGACATCTGATGTGTCAGGATAATTCAAGCTCAACTATCTTGAGCCAATAATCACAGATGATAAAGATTGGGTGATTCCTACGTGCTAGGGGTTTGAAGTGAGATATTGCATTTAATAGTTATAGCAATTCTATAAGACACTCAGAAGTTCAAGGGATTTGATCTGAGGTGACACAGATAGTCAGAGTTTGAACTTGGGTCTATCTGACTGCAGTGCAAGCTCTATTGCTACACTGAGCTTTTCAGTGCACTCAGTAGCCACACACAAGTCAATTAGCTTTGCAAAGTGGAAAGTTACTGGTCTCTGAGGACTCTGAATATTGGCTAGTTCTTATGGATGTGTGTGCCCTTGGACCCAACATGTTACATGATGAGCTCTGGCTAGCTTAGCATGCATGCATCACCCCAGCAGAGAAACAAGTCCATTCGCTATTGTTCTGTTTATGGTAATGATACTACCAGCCTTTGTTAGAATTTAAATGTGGACAGCACATTCACAATGAGACCTTAGTAAATGAGAGTTATGTTCAGCAGGTCACCAGGATATGAAACTCAGGTCTTGTAAGGAGTAGTTATCAACTTACAGGGATGTCTGGTGGTGTAGGGGAGCACTTTTACCATGGCACCCTGGAGAACCTGCAGGTATCCAAATAGGCCACATAAGCAGAGGCTTGAACCACAGCTAATCTGAGCCTTGGTGGAACATCCATTGATCCTCCCAGAACAAGAGAGGACAAGAAGATTGTGAGATGTACTTTAAGGCCATCTCCCACTCACTTCCCTATCTCCTTTGGAATGCTATCATGAGACAGTTTCCCATCACCTCCCAGGTTCTGTTGAGGAGTTTTCTGTCCTGCCCTCCACTGAATAGAACTCTAGCCTATACAACTGCTAAGCCAAAGTCTAAAATTGACTCCTCAGCTACAGTGTGTCCTATAACTTGGTCTTCAGTCATCTGGCCTCTTTTGGTTGGTATCCTCCTTTTTGGTGTGTGGGACAAGAGTCGGGGGTCAGCTGGCACCTTTGGCAATTCTTCTTTTATTTTATTTCAAGCCTAGTTTAGTAAGTACTAAACTATCTGTATCTAAAAGTGGACCTGCATCTTTATTGGTTGAATTAGCCAGGCCTTGGCCTTGACCTTGCCCTGTCTTCTATGTGTGTGTTAACAGGAGGTACTCATACTCATCTGCTGGAATGCTCACAGGGGTCCTGGGCTACATGTGCCCAAGAAGGTCTATCCAGCTCTACAGAGTTAAAATACTGTCAATATGGGTTAGAAAGCAATCTACCTCTTCCCCTAAACCAGAGTGTGGAGAGTGATTTTGATGCAGCCAAAAGAGCTGAGCATACAAATCAGGTGGGATTTTTATAAATAACTGAGCAACAATGCTGTCAACATTTTAGTTGGGCCTACATTGTCAGTCCTGAATGTTTTGCTAAAATAATCTGAAATAAAATGTGAATTCTTTATGCATCAGCATAAGGGAAATCCTATTTCCTGTGTCAATTCAGGTAGACAGGCCTTCTTGACAACCTTTCTCTGGAAATGGGTTTGAGAAATGGTTTAAAGCACTCCAAGCTAAAGTGTTCTGTTATCAGCAGCTGAAAATTTGCCATGCATCACATAGGACTAAGAATTGGTCCTTGCCCCCATTGAGTTTAATGTAAGACACAATGGCTGTCAGCAGGTATGAGTTGTAGTGCACTTAACAGCGACTTAGTATTTCAGTTGTTTTGGACAGCTTCCTTAGATAGATATTAATGGACCAACTCCATAAAGGAGTTATTTCCTTAATCATTTGACAATTAGGAGCTGACGTGAAGAGATGAGTAATGAAGTACCCTCTGTGATTGTACTTTGGAGGTAGCCACAGGGGTTTTTTATATCTAATCTGCTGTAGTTGCTCTAAGAAGCTGAAGGGAGACTGAGAGGGGCAATTCCAAAAGGAATTCTGCCTTTCCTCATCACTTGAGAATGGAAGCTAACCAGTGACTGGGTTTGTCTCCAAAGAGAATGCTGAGTACTAGAGACACTCTTCTGCCTGATAGAGAAAGTCCTCACTTGGCATCTGAGCCTTATCAAAATGAAGAGACATTTGATAGACAGGCAGCCTAGTGTGAGGGAAGGCTTTGATGTCTGGTGGAATTCCTGATTTAAATTCAGTGTTCTTAGACAACCTTGAATGTTAGGATCATCAGTGTCCAAATTCAGTTGACTCCAATTCTGAAATGTCTCTAGAATCTGGTCTCCACTATTTTTACTGTCTGTGCCCTGACCCAGGCCACCAACCTGTGTTACCTGGAGTACTACGATGGCAGTCTAACTGGTTTCCTTGCTGCCTCCTTCTTTCAGTCAATCTATATTCTTTACTTCCTGAAATCTCACCGGCAAATACCAAGCCTCGTATATGGTCTTGAATGAATTCCTATTCCTCCACTTGAATGACTTTCCATATCACCCAGTATGACTCAAAGGAAATTCTTTCAAGATGACTTGTACCGCCCTACCAAAGAGCAGAACATCAGCTATCAGGGTCCATACTTGAAATTTTTTTTAAAGATAAAAGATTCTGTGTTCTCCTTTGGAATTATCCCCGCATTTGTTTTCAGGCCCAGGTTGATCTACTGAGTTATGGTCTTCTCTGGGGAAATTCACTCTTAGATGTTTTAACACACACACTTCTAAAAAATGATACAAGACTGTTTCGTTGTGAGTAACATTTTCTTGAAAGCCATCTGAATTCTATTAGGCACTTTGTCATTTGCATGATAACTTGAGTTCCCACATTGGGAGGACATTGTATAACCCAGAGAAATATACTAAGAAAATGAAAATCAAATCCAAAATAGTGACAGTAGAGCAGAAAATTGGTATTGTGATGAATGTATGTGACCAATTCTAAGGAATTCCAAGGTTGAAGAGGTGACAGTTGATTGATTCAAGTCATATACGTCAGGGTTCATACTATTAGATTTGGCTTGTGTATACAATATAGACATAGATTCATATGTATCACATATGCACCCAGACAAAAGGATAGTTACTCTACTATTCTCCTACTGTTGTTTGAGAACTCAGCACTGTAGGCTGTCAGGCTATGTGGCACTTTCTGAATCTCTGAGATACATATTATTTTTATTCCCATTGCATAGAAGAGAAAACTGAGGTTCAGAGAGGGTAGGTAAATTAAGCTCAAGTTCTCTTATTAAATCCTATGCAATATCCATGGAGCCACAACCATCTCCATAAAATGAGGAATCTTAACTAGATGAGTTGTTTTTAAGCTTTGTTCCTGCAAATCCCTGGGAGTTAACAAAACAAACTACTTTAATCTTATTTGAGGTTTCCTGTAAGGTTTCATTTGGCTACACAAGAAAAGATTTTTTGAGTTTAAGAGTTTGAAAATCATTGGCTTAAAGCAAGGGTCAGCAAACTCTATTTTGATAAAGACCTAGATGATAAATGTTTTAAGCCTTCGTTTGGTAGCAACTACTCAACCTGGCCATTGTAGCTCAAAAGCAGCCGTGGATGATATATAATGAATGGGAGTGGCTGTAGTCCAATAACACTTTATTTATGGATAATGAAATCTAAGTTCCATATAAATTTTTATGTGTCGTGAAATATTATTCTTCTTTTGATTTTTTTACACATTTAAAAATGAAAAAAAAAAAACTGTTCTAAAATCATAAGCAGTACAGAGACAGACGGAAGGCTGCTTTGGGCTGAGGCCTTCAGTTGGCCAATCCCTAGACTAGATGGCCCCTAAGGGAACTCCTAGTTCTCACACTAAGAAGCCCAATTAATCTTATGAAATACCTATTTTCTGAACCCCTTGGAAGGCCATCAGCTACAGAAGACAATCTTTATCAGGCCCACGTGCCCATGGCAGGATGCATGTTTAGACCTTGCCTGTGGGCACAGTGGTTGGCACTGGGCTAGGGGTCCACCCCTGATAGATCTTGGAGATTTGTTCCTATAGAGTATAATACAGATTTTCAAACTGGTTGTCACTGCCACAGCCCTCAGACAGGGATTCTGTAGGATTCCCAGTGAGGTGGTGGCCACTGAATCAAAGTTTTAAGTTAAAACCTTAGGAAAATTAAATGTAGCTCCTCCTAAGGGGAAAAAACAGCCTGAGCACCTTTACTGCAGGGAAGAAGAATGAATTCCCTGAAAAATATCACCTCCTCTTCCTTATCACCTGCCTTCCTACCAACAAATGATTCAATGCTGTGGAGACTACAAAGCACTAGATAGGAAAATATATAACTCTCTGAGTAATTCTAAACCAGTCATGTTTTATTTCTTTTAGGTTACTTTATGAAGAGGAAGTGCCCTTTAAGGAGTCAAGAGGGCTAAGTTACTATCCTAGAAGAGGGACCAGAGTAAGACTCTGCCTAATGAGAACATGCAAGCCCTCTCTAGGCTGTGTTATTATCCTCAAAGTCAATTGTGTCATTCATTTGGGCCATCAGAAACTTACTCTGATTGCCATGAACTCTGGGGTATTTAGAAAGACAATGATAATTTAAACCAGTAACCGGAAGACCCCAAACTCACTGGGCCAGAAGTTATAGCTCTATGTTTTAGTTAAGAGCTTAAAACCTGAGTGTAATAACCTCCTCCCTCTCCTATATGACAGAGGTAGCAACACTGGTTCTGTCTCCAACATCATTACAAGTCTAGTCTCTGAGTGTGGACTATAGAGAGCAAGACTCCAGCTGCAAGGTAGAAGGTACAGGAAAGCACGTGGCAACTCCTAACTGGCAGATCATTCTCACAATTAAAGGTATTGAACAATAGAAAGGTATTGTTAGCTACCTATCAGAAAAAAACATGTATGACCATATGTTAGGAATGTTGCAGTTCTCTCCACTAGGTGACACAGTGACATGGTGAAAGAGATAGCACTCTCAAGTACTTCCAACTGGAAGAGTACATCTGAGAATCAGTCACCAGCATTGCAGCTAGCACCATAGATACCTTGAAGCTGGAATCTAGCCAGTATCAAGTGCTGCTGTCTGCCAAGAGGAACACCATTTTGTAGTTCACAAAAAGGCACTGTGTAGGCTTGCAAGTCCTGAGAACAACTCAGTGTCCCAACGGTTGTTTCTGAGCAAGGATTCTGGATCAACTAGGAGCCTATTATGCCCAGTCTTACACGCAAACTTCAGAGACAGATGTGTGTTGGAACAGCTTCCTGAGAGTGACAGGCCTAAAGACACGGTGCTCAAGGTGAGCACAACTTCAACTGGGGGGTCGCCCTTGGTTCATTTCTCTGGATCAGCAGGTAGCTTCCCAGGTATAAAGGTCAGAACATCGGGACCACTCATTTTTTTCTGAACTCTCACTTGGTACGGTCTGGATGTTTCCTCTTGCAACTGTCTTTCAAATTTCTGGGATAACTTAAGCACTCCAAGAGGATCTAAGAAAACCCAAGACAGATCTGATGGATTTAGGCCATTTCTAGAAGAGTAAACCAAAGCTCCGAAACTTTCCAAACTCCTTTATAGTCTTTGAACCTCTCCTTATTTGGTCATGGTTTCCAATGATGTGTGGGGCCTGATTCCTCTGCCAGCCTCTAGGTTAACACATCAGCTTTTAAAAATTATTATTCCCACCTCTACAACAAAATTCCTTTGACAATAATAATAACAATATCAATAGTAACCAAGATGAAAGTGATAGCTGGTAGCTGTATTGGCTCCTAGGCAATTTGTATAAACTTTATTTTCTAATTCTAAAAATTGTCCAGAGTAGGTATTATTATTGCCCATTTTAACATATAGAAAATTGAGATTCAAAAGGTCTTATTTACTGTATTAAAAAAAAATCCGTTAGGAATTCCTGTATTTGAACTCAGGTCTGTTTGGCTCTCGAGACCTTGCTCTTAAGTCCATGCTGACTCAACCAAGGGCTTCTTCCTGCCAGCCTTCTATAATAATGTTTCAAGCCCTCTATTTTTCCCTCTTCAAAATCATCTAAGCATTCCACTATGTAAATTGGCAAGGTTTTGGGAGAGTGATCTTATGATTTTCTGGTTATCATTCACATGGGACCTGTCATGTCATAGTGCACTAGAATGTTTCAGTGCAAAGAGCCCTTGGAGGCCACTAGGTTCAGCTTGAAGCTCAGAAAATCAAGGACAAAGATCTTCTTTTGGTCCATTCCATCTCATCCAAATTTCACTATCTGAGCTTTTATAGGATCATCTCCTCAGGGCAAGAACTTGGTTTTTTGTTCACAGTTTTATAGATTATTCTATGTCTCAATACTACAAATTATAGGTCACAGTAAAACTAAAAACAGCATTTTTACACCAAGATGAACATTGTGGATGACTAGACCCTGAACAGACAACAGACTTCACTAAGGAGGTCTAATTGGTTCTGTTTTCACCTAATTGAAAAGTTGAAGAACAATGTCTGTTTTTTTTAAGATCACACACACAGGCATACATTTATATGAGCAATTTTTTTCACATTATGTGTCATGAATTTGTCTATGGAATTATAACCTCATGAAAAGAGATTACCATTTTTCTGCTGAGACGACCTTAACTGCATTGGGTGTGAATGGTGCTGCTATAATAATTAAATCTAATATCTTTCATAATCCTACGCTTTCCCTAGAGTAATGTTCAGCATTAGCCAAGGATGAAAATGCAAACAAGTACATGTATATTCAATAATAAAGCTTAATAGGTCAGGGAAGAAGTGGAATGAAATGAATGCCTAGTTCCTCCAGAGATAACTAATAGTAATTTGCTTCCTAGTTACTTCTTTGACTTGTGTTTACTGGGACTTAAATGTATGCATCAGATTTTCCTTTATTAACAGCCAAATCCATACCAAGCTTGTTGCATGGTGGGGATGTGGGGAGGTTGTTTAATGTGGATCGCTGTGTAGATTGGCTGCCTATTTCCAGAACTGTACATTGGAGTGCATTTCATCTCCATGTTAAAAATCATATAATGTTGATTGGAGAGTAAAATAACTGCTGAGTTCAGACCTCTGTGCTCTGACTCTGGATGTGCTACTTCTACCTGAAGGAGAGAAACCGGAAGACCACAAGCACATTTCTACATCTGGCCTTGAGATGCCCTTAGACATTTCCCAAGTCATCATGGATTACCTTCAGATTGTTCAGAAAATTAAAAGGAGAGGAGCAAAGGCACACAGAAACTTCTGCTTCTGATTACTTTTTAATAGTATTAATGAAGTCCGTTATTTCCAACTGAGATAGCTTTCCAAATTAATGGTGCCCCGCATTATTAGTTTTGTGCTTTCATAATGCACTTTCACATGCATTAGCTCCTGTTATGCTCACCACCACCCTCCTGTGATGGAACCAAAGTGTTATCCCATTGAACAGATGAGGGACACAGATGAACCTCAGAGCTGGTAAGTTACCCCAGATATCGGGGTTTATGATTAGCCAGCAATTGAGTCCCAGTATCTTGACTCCATGCTAATGTTTTCTGAGGTTTTTGTTATTGCTGTCAATTTTATTGAATATACCATCTTTTATAAGTTGTACACTCTAGGAAAACCTTGTATACTCCCAATTCTAGCTGGAGATGATCTAGGTTCCATGTTTGTCTCCGTGATTTCTAGCTGTGTGTTCACAAGCAAGCTCCTTAACCTGTCTAAACCTCAGAGTCTCCATCTGAAAAATGCAGCTGTAACATCATCTCCTTCATAGAAGTATTGTGAGGACCAAATTCCGTGCTGCTGGTCAAATACTTAGGACTTTCTCTGTCTCTGAAAATTGACCCTCTAAATGCAGGAATTATTTACCATTTCTTTTGCTGAATACTTGAATATAAATTAACACATAGACATTCCCTAGATGTATTGAGATACACACACACACACACACACACACACGGAAAGTAAAGCCATTTATAATAACAAGCATAGGTAGTTTGTAAATATTTGAGTTCTATAGCTTATGAGAATGATACAGTCTTCATTTCCCACAATGTGTTGTAAAGAATTATTTGTTCAGAGTCAGAAGTCTGCAACTGCAAAAGAAATACCAAGATACATTTTTTCTCCTTCTCTAAGATCTTCAAAACATCCATTAGTCTCTTGAAGGACAGTCATAAATCCTGCAAATTTAGTTTATCCGAAAGCCACTCTAACAGTTGTCCTTCCCAGCAATCATCCTTTATATCAGTCTTTGGTTTGCCGACCTCAGTGTACACATTCTAGTGTTATGTGACTGAGCATGAAAGTGGGGGAGCTGTGCTTTTTTTGGAGAGTTATTGGATATCCGCTCTGCCCTGACTCTCCTTTCAATATTTGAACATAACCTCTGAAGTAACTTTCCCCCTATTTATCAAATTAGAAGCTTCCTTTTCCCTTCTGGCTTCTCTTCTGGAAAAACACCCAAGTGGGATTACAGAGATGGAAATTTTAGGAGTGGCTCCAGCACTAACTATTAATAGCTGGGTGAGCTTCAGCAAAGCAATTCACCTCTCTGAATCTTTCCTTCCTTGTCTGCAAAATGAGGCCAGTAGACTCTATCATTTGTGGGAAGATGCTGTGAAGCACAGTGAGGTGAAAATGCTGCACCCTCTGCCCTCATGGGAATTACGGACTAGTGGGGAGAGATTCAGTGGAAAGCTGTGCTGTGATCCAGCTGGAGCTGAGGGTTGGGTAGAGGAAAAAAATATTCTTCCTGAGATGAGAGTTCTTTCTAGAAAGCTTTTGTACAGAAAGTGGGATCACTGGGCTACAAAGGATAAATAGGATTTCCAGAGTTAAGAAAGAGATTTCTAGCCCTGGAGCTGAGCCTGATGCAGAGCCTAGATGCAAGAAAGAGCAATATATGCATAGGAAATGGTCATTGGTCCAGAGAGGCTGAGACTGTCCCTTCTTGAAGCCTAAGGATGAGGTATAAAGTTATATATAATAAATAAAAATATGAACACCAATAGGTCTTTAAAGACAGTGTAGCTGGAATTTTAAGATAATAAGCTATTCGTCCTGCTGTAGCTCACACTTGGAGAGGATGCCACTGGAATTAATATCCCTATAGAAACAAAAGGCTTTGTGGCTCCATAAACAATCTTGAAAGTGCTAGTTCATCACCAAAATCCAGACCACTCATTTTTCAGGTGCCTTGCCTTAGGAGAGAAAGATTTCTTATCCACATCATGGGCTTACATCTCTCAGATCAAATTTTACAGGAAGAGATCGGTCATATATCAGAAGGTTAATGACTAGCCATTTCTCTCCCAGCTCTTTTGCGGCCACCCAGCTACCCAGCAGCAGAGGGCACTGAAAGGCAGTGCAGGTTCACTGTGCCTTTTACCTCCGTCATCCAGAGAGACCCAGCAGGCTTTGACAACAGCCTCCAGAGCTAGGGATGGTTATCATGCCCCTCTTCTTTCATGGGAAACTCTGAGCACCTTGTCCTGTAGAGATCCAGTGCCACATCCCACATACACAGTGATTGATCAGTACATTTATTGCACTTTTAGTAGTAAAAATGTATAGAATCCAGTCATCTCTGGAGATGCTGAAATAGTATTTTCCCCTTGATTTAGGGGAAGGTAGAGAGGGAAGATATGTGCAAATATGATATAAATATAAGAGCTCAAATATCTAATTAGCTGAAACAATCTTGGTTCCCTCTACACCTTTGAAGGATTTGCAGCTGTCAGATTGTAGCTCCAATACTTTATTCTCATTGCAAGATGTATCCGAGGATGATTTAGAAAATATGCCTTCTAACTCAAACACCACTCTGATCTCTTTGTAGGATGCTTGAGGATGACCTGAAGCTGAGCAGTGATGAAG
This sequence comes from Homo sapiens, assembly GCF_000001405.40. NCBI lineage: Eukaryota > Metazoa > Chordata > Mammalia > Primates > Hominidae > Homo > Homo sapiens. The sequence goes on from NC_000023.11 coordinate 148,885,927, forward strand.
ATGACCTTGAGCCTGTGAAGACCTTGACCACTCAGTGCACTGCCACTGAGCTCTACCAGGTTAGAAGAGCTTAGGGCTTTGTTTTGGGATGAAGGGGGGAGCAGGAGGAACTGGAATGGCTTTGACATGCTTTGACATGCGCAAACTTCCCCATGCTTTATCTCTGGGCTTTGGAGAGAGGGAAAGAAGCAAAGATGAGCATAGTGTTCTGGAACAGGTCAAATCAGTTCAAACTTTCATTAAAGCTATAGTAAGGAGATGCAGAGCTCTTTAAAACTGCTTTCAACCCCCTCCCATCTCTCTCTCTGTTCCATACACAAATGCTGGTCAGTGGTAAGCAATAGAGATTGTCTTGCCCTCTCTTGGACTACTTATTGTCTTGGGTGAGGTATAATTTTCATTTGGTGACTCTGGTGTGAGGCTTGGAACCCATACTCATTAATTTAGATATAAATGTGATGCTTCATTCACCTTTCCCAGATGCACCATTTCAGAATGCAGCTGAGAATCAATACGCAACATCTTGCCATTAAATGAACCTTTAGGCAGAAGACATTTGGCAAAAACTTGTGGCTGCCCTTGTATCCTTCTATCCCACATTTTAAGCATTTACAGTATTTTACCACCAAATGAGATGGCAGGAATGTGTGTTTTCAGCATTTCAATGAGACTGGACTTTATGATTTGAAAAGGCCAAGTATCATGTATGACTCATGAGAACGGCAACCTAGTGTGTGGTGTCAATGATGCTTGCACATTTTCTCCTTGAGAGAGAACTGTCTCGAATGTGGGGTCCTTCTGGGTGTGCTTATCACCTCAAGTGAGGAATGCAGAAGGATTGCCTTTCTTTAAATCCAGTACCTGACCAAGATCTTCCTACAGTGAAGTCTGCTACATTATAAAACAGACTGTTTAAAGGAATGCTCATGCACTCGTATTTCAAGAGAGTTAACAAATATGGAATTCCATGTTCATTGAACATTTCATGAGGAAGAGCCTACAAAGAAAAGCTTAGGAAAAATTATCAAGGCTCAGCTACTCTATTCTCATCTACAGCTGTTTACCACACTAGAACTCCTACCATTCTGGTATACTTTAAAAATAAAATCCATCTTCAACGTTATGTGGCCAAAACTTTTGTCTACTTTACTTTCTCCACTTTCTTGTGCTTGAATTTTAATAATATGTAAAAAATAATTGCATCTTTGCAAGTTTAGTGCTTTATCAAGAACAACCACAGGGTAAGTGCAGACTACATAGTGCTGGCCTAAGCCAATTTCACAACTGTTCCCCAAGGGCTTGCTGTACATTTACTGGATGCAAGCTGTCTCCCTCCTGCTTGAGTTGGGCTTCATAGCAAATGTAAAATGTACACTTCATTTCCAAAAATTGTCATTTCTCCTTCACACATTTAATACGCCAATAGCAGGAGCATCATATTTGTAAGTAAAACAAAAGCAAAAATGAAAACATTCTAGATCATTGATTTTGACAGATAAAAAGTTGCCTTTTAATGGAAATGTTTAAAGTAGAATTCAATAATAATTGAAAGTAGATTTTGCACATTGACTTCCTCTTTATGTAATTATATGAATGTAATCTACTTTTTAACTTATAAAGTTATTTTCTGTATTTATCTCAAAATTGGCAAAGGGTCTGTTAGCCTGAATCATCTGAGTTTTAGGGTATATTCACTGACTTTTTGTAAGTGCTGAGACTCTCAGATGATCAGGATTGGTGGGTTGGAACCTTTTTATGACATGTTGCCGCTAGTCATGATGTCTTCCTCAAAAAGGCTTAGGTTCTCAGTGAAAATTTGATGGGGAGATTGAACTAGGGGCTCTAAGGTGAGGCAAAATGACAACTTATTCCCTCTAGCTGAGTCCTAGGAGCAAGATGTAGGCACAAGGTTATAAACATTTGCAAATGAACCCTCCTTGTAGAGTTTGAAGATGAGTTACAAGGCCTGGAAGGCTATAGACCAAAAGAGAATGCTTGTGCAGTAGTGGCAGCAGTAATACTAGCAATGTTTGCAGAGCTCTGCTTTTAGGATGCATAATGTCTTTTTGTAAAAGTAAATGGGTTGAAATAATTTTCTTTTTTTATTGCGGCAAAATTCGCATAACATAAAATTAACCATTTTAAAGTGTTCAATTCTGTGACACTTAATACAATCACAAGACTGTGCATCCATCCCAGTTCCAGAATTTTTCATCACTCCAAGTGGAAACTCCATACCCATTAAACAGTTCCTCCCCATTTCCCCCTCCCCCTAACCCCGACAACTGCTAATCTACTTTTTGTCTGTATGGATTTGTCTGTTTCATGTAACTGGAATCCTATAATATGTGACCTTTTTTGTCTGGCTTCTTTCACTTACCATAATATTTTCTTGGTTGTTCGATGTCATGTATCAGTACTTCATTTTGTTTTATGGCTAAGTAGCATTCCATTGTATGAATAAACCACATTTTCTTTATCTACTCATCATTTGATGGACATTTTGGTTGTTTCCAACTTTTGGCTACTGTGAATAGTGCTACGGTGAAGATTTGTATATAAGTTTCACATGGACATGTTTTCTTTCTGGTGTGTACCTAGAAGTGGAATTGATGAGTCACATGGTAATTCTACAGTTAACTTATAGAGGAATCACCAAAATCATTTTGTTTTAGATAATATAGTGCCATGCATATAACATAGTACTGTTCACTCATCTTTGAATTGGGACAGTCATACCTCCAGCACCATCATAAGGAGGAGTACTGAGACTACCATTTTTGGAACCACTCTTGCTCTATGCCAGGCACAAGCTAGGTGTGGTGTCTCATTTGAACCTTACAGCAAACCTTAGCAGTAGGTTTGGGCCTCCTGGCTGAGCAAAAGAATTGCGGAGTCATTCCATTTGTGGCAGAATGATTGGGGAGAAAGCATACAGACAAATGAATTGGTCCATAAAACTGTGCTCAAGAGCCCAGACAACACTGCTGGTTTCAGCTGACATAATAGTTAGAAATGGCTCAGAACCCAGTGGCTGCATTCGTGCAGACATAGTCCAATAAAAAAGCCATTTACTTTCTGGAGACGTCCCCAAATCATCTCATCCATAATCATCACACCTTGACTCATTTGAAGAAACTCAAATTATCCAGGTGTAGTGAGTACACAGCAATCTTTTTCAAACAGTATCTAAGAGCTTATAATGTGGGCTTAGAGCATAAGCATCCCCAAGAGAATACATTTCAAATACATGTATGAAAATGAAACACAGGATCAAGTTGTGTCAGCCTCTAAACTGGCATTTGGGTACCGAGTATCTTACAATCAGAACAGCCTCCCCTTTTTCTGCTACTTCTACCTTCCACAGCAGTGTTAGCCATGCTGAGCCAGGTGACAGGTCATGTGCACAAACACAAGCAGAGCAAGTAGGGTATGTTTAAATGCTAAATATTATTCCCTCAAATGGGAAAATGGAACATGAGTCCAGAATGGGGGAATTATAATATATAAATTAAAGATGCCAAATGGTCAGCCATAGAGACTCATGATCATAAGAAAACATTTTTAACAGAAGATTTTACCTTCAAATGACTCTTTAAAGTCAGAGATATGTAATCACACATGTACATGGCTTCAATGAAGACACGATAGTGATTGCAGCCTGAAAATACCTGTTAAAACTTTGTGTTTTCTCTCCAGTCCTCTACTGCATTTGACTTTCTTGGTTGGGACTATTTGGGCAGCAGACATATGCATGCTGTTTTCTAAGGTGGTGGGACAATGCTGGGACAGTGTAGGAGAGCGTGTGAGAGTATAGCTGTATAGTTACACGGACATGGCTTTGAATTCTAGCTCTGCCACTCTGAAACTGGTTGACCTTGGGCAAAGACCTAAGTACCTATAAAATAGAGGTAAAAATAGCACCTTCTTCATTGGGTCATACTGGGGATTCAATGATTAGGTCAATCAATACAGGCAAAAGCACCTGATGCTATGCTTAGCACATAGTAAGTACTCACCACTTTACGTGATAATAATCATCATTGTTATGGGTGCTACTAATGATCTAAAAAGCTTCACATTCTTTGAGATGCTACATATATTTACTTTCCCTTTTCTTGTAAGGAATGGGATGTTAAAGACAGCTGCTGGGTTTTCTATCCTGTATATGGCAAACTTGAATGAAAATGTCTGTCATCCTAAAGTTTATTAGCTGTGTGCCTGGCCATGAGTAATTTTAAATGTAGATATTAAGAACATAGTTTTTGGAATAAAGAAGCCTGGGGTTTAATCCCAGGCCTCAAATACTAGCTGTATACTAGCTGTATGGCATTGGGAAAGTTGTTTAACATCTCTAAGTCTCAGATCTCTTACCAGTAGACTGGAATAAACCAGCCTTGTCTAACTCATGGAGTACTGTAAGGATCAAGTGAAGACAGTGTATAAGAAAATGCCTTGAACTACAAAATAGGTGGTTACTCTTCCTTGTGGTCCTTTTAAACATTAACTGGCAGCCCTCTCTTTAGGATCCATAGGGAAATAGACATAGCCCTTCATTTTGGCCTAGGTATCCATAGGGATCTGTTAGGAACTGCATTGCATGTCTTAACTGGCCCCCAAAGGCAGCCATCAGATATGAATGACCTTAACTTTCCTTTAAGCCCTGACAACTTTTAAACTAGAGATCCCAGAAAGAAAGGCTAGGTTGCCAATGATCTGCACCAAGTCCTCCAGGAAATTATGTGTCTCCAAAAGAGTTTTTCTTCCAAGGATTGGCGTGGGTGGAGAGTTGATTCATACCCTTCTATTGCAGTTCTTACCTTCTCTTTCTGAGCTCATGCTGTCCCCTAGAGAAAGGCTTGAAGGCTCTTCTAGGATGCTATACTCACCTTGGCTGTCTCTCAGGAGCTGTCCCTGAATGGGAGATAAATAACTATTTGAAGTTGACATTAGACATTGCAAACATCCAGAACAGTGTTGGAATTAGACATAGTGCTATGTACTTAGTGTCTGAATAAACATATGTGCTGCAATGTATTTTTTAAGTTTGATATCAATGGCATGGTTGAGATTTGGGGGCCACATGATGTCTATTACCTGGCTGACTGCATTTTTTGCTTCTCAGCTGCCACTGTTGGCATCATAGATATAAAATCCAGCCCTGGCCTTCCCCATGAAACACTTATTGAATTTCCATTTTCAAGCCAGTCCTCCAGGGTAGGCAGAGATGGCCACTGGGGTTTGGCTAGGGAGTGGCCTGACCCAGGAGGACAGACGTTTTGGGAGTGGGAATATGTTATGTTCTCTGTATGCCCTGCCTCATACCACTAAACCTCTGGTTTTTCTTTTTGTCAGTTTTTCTTTTCATTTTTCTCGGGGTTAAAGGAACCCCTGAAAATCAGGAGTTAAACCTGGAATCAATTTTCATTTACAGCTGAGAAGCAGTTATTGATGCTATGCTTGCAGTTCAATAAAAGATCTAAAGATATAGACCTTGTGCTTCTCTTTCAATATAAGCAGCCTAATCAGTCTCAAAGGTTTTTTTAACAAAGAAATTGTATGGACAGGTTTATTAAAATTGCTGTCTTTAAAGTTTTAAACTATCCGCAATTTGACTTATTCCAAAGGCTTCTAGAATGTGTGGCGGGCAAACTCCAAAGCTCCCTCCAGCACATGTTCTTAGAGCCAGGTAAACATCTGCTTAATGTCTAATTGAGTGATATTATGATGTCTGATTTCCACAGCCCTAAACATGTAGTCTGGTGTCCACAGGTAGCGGGATGGCTTGTGATGCCTGGGTTCTGAAGCCTAGTTAGATCTGGCCATGGCTGTCTCATGCCCCAGTTAGCTCACATTGGCATTAGAAGCAGCAGACTTTAGAAATCTAAAAGCCATAAAAGAGATGGGTCTTGTTAGAAACTTCCTTTAGGGCATTATAACATTAGTAACATCTTATTAATATGAATTAGATTGAAATATTAGATGACTTCATTTAGCACAGTTAGAAGTTCAGAAAACATTTGATATGACTGAAAATGTTCAATTAGTGACCAGGTTCACTAAAAGACCCTACTTAAAGCTTGGAGTAGTATGCTAGTGCTTTAAAAACAGAACTGAACCATTAAAATTTTCTTTGAACACAAAACATTCTAATGTGTTGTGTCTGGGCATGTGATTGTGAGTAGCTCCAGTGTACCCAATTTTATTTAACCCCATCTTATTTCTTTTTCTGCCAAAGAAGTATGCTGGTATTCTGTGAAATGTTCACTTAATTGAAAGCATATTAATTACTGGAGATGTATGGACTTTCCAACTAGACACTAGTAGCAGAGTCGCACCTTAAGCATATGAGCATTTACAGAAAACAATAATCTTCTTAGATCTTCCCCTCCACTTCATAGTTTTGTTTTTTCTTTTTTTAAATCTTCAGATTACTAATTACCGAACACAAAAAAGTTGCTTTTAATCCAGTTTCTTTAATCCAGGTCTTATATTTGATCCATTTTGATTTGTTTGTTGTTTGGTGGTGGTCATGGTCATGGTTGTTGTTCTTGTTGAGCGAGCTTACTGGCCTGGTTGCTATTTGAGAATTTCAAATGAAATAATTACATAGCCACCGAAGACCCAAACATTCTGTCAGCTTTGGGATGTGTTCCTGATACCTGTGATGCACACTGAACTTTCAGAACCTAGTAGCCACATTAAATTGAAAGCCCGCATTTATATTTTAAGTTTGCTAATGAAAAAGATGCAATGAATTTTACTCCTGCTATCAGCTGGCTCTTTTGAAGTTGGTGTGCTGTATAGAATACATTAGTTGTGACAACAGATACTCTTCCCTGCTGTAATCGGTCCTATTTTGTAGCCACAGTTCTCCCTCGTCATACTGAACAAGTTGTTACCTCCCCAAGGTTTCTCTGCATTTCTATTTACTTTGTTATCAGCAGAAAGGCTGGGGAAAGCCTCTTCAGTAATGACATCGATACGACACACACAGCAAGAGAGGTCAGCCTGTCAGAGCTCTAGAAACAGCAGATGGATTAGGATGAAACTGGGTGCAAAATAACTTTGATAGAGTCTTTTAATGTAAACAGTTTATCTGTCATTGCCTTTCATTGAAATCCCTCACAGAATGATAGCATTTGGGCCGTTAAGGTTACAGAATGTAGCTGAATAAAACCCATACATTGTCATGCTCAAACTCTCCACCAATTAGAGAATGAGAGGACATTTTAATTTATTCATTAAAGACAGGAGAGTAAATAGGATAACATATAAGGTTAATAGAATAACATTGGCCTTCATATTCCCAAGATTGTATTTCCCATTTGGCTATATTAGCACAGAGACTAGATTAATAAGAAACTGCTTAGGGCTTGTATGATGTGGTTTTTAATATGCTTGAGACAAGTCTGTGACTGTTTAGAAACCTGTGTGCTGAATTTTTTTATTACAATTAGGTCTTCTCCTTCAGTACCAATTTTTTTGACTTGTAATCTATATACAATAGAATGCTTTGAGCATACAGAGATGCATAGAAGTGTAATGTTTTTATGTATTGTGCTTATCTCATGGTCAGTAATGACCAAATACTGGCTAGTGTTTAATAAACTTTATGAATTATCCAACTATGAGCATTTCAGTTGCAAAGCCAATAGCTCTTTTGCTTAGCTTAGCACTTTTCCACAATGACCTTAAGTCAGACACTGGTGAGGGTATGTTGTTTGCCCCAAGATCCAAACAGAAACAAAAATGGATATGATCTGTCATTTCAAAATAGATAATGCTCATATGTGACAGGGATGACCACAGCCTTTTCACCCACAAAGAGCACACAGCACATATATGGTTCTGTAAAGAGTGTGGCAGTGAGAGAGCAGCCACCTCTGGAAAGCTGGGGACCACTAAGTACAGACTTCAGTTGAAGTGCCTGGAGAAAAGAGTCCTCATCATGTTGCCCTTTCTGGGCTGGAGGAAGTGACTGGACATCACTGGTCCTTTCTTCACTCAAACCCCACCCTCTGTTTGGTCCAAGCACATTCTTTTCCTTAAGTCTCTTCATCATCCCAATTAGGGTCCTAATCCATTCTTGCAGCCTGGAAGTTTCACTCTGGAGTCATCCATAAGTAAGTCCCAGGAAATGCACCATGTGTGCCTAACTTCATTGGTAGTTTCCAAGCCTTGAGTTTAATCAGGGTTCTAGAATATACCTAGAACAGTATGCACATCTCAAGCAAAAGTTATATAATGAAACACTTTGCCACTTTGAAAAAGTAAGATTTTGAAATTTATATTCTGTCTTGAACAATTTACTGGGGCTTTGGTTTAGGGCTCAAGAATGCTTAACTCTACCCCCTCCCCCCCAGATATCTGCCATCTGCTAAAAAAGTCACCAGGCAGGCTGAAAACACCAAGGACCTTGTTCTGCCTGGAAAACTGAATTGATATTTTCTTAAGCAGCTATATTTACTTTTATCTTTATTTATCAAGAGCAAAGAGCATAAGCATTGTAAGTGCACAGAAGAGTTTCCAAATTTGAGATTAACCAATCCAACATTAACCATTCAAAATACAGGTGGATGGGCGGAAAAAAGAAACAAAACTTTCCAAAATGTATGGGGCCACATAACTCGTATTTCACACAGCAAAAATTTCATAGGAGTCTTTGGAACATTTTACTAAAAATGTATAAACTTGCTAAAGCTAGTTTATTGTTAATGGAGGTCGACTAAAGCTTCATATTTAACCCTGAATCATATATATGTGTGTGTTTCTCAAAAAACTAAAAATAGAACTACTATATGACCCAACAATCTCACTACTGGGTAGTTTTCCAAAGTAAAGAAAATCAGTATATTAAAGGAATACTTGCACCACCATGTTTATTGCTGCACAAGTCACAATAGCTAAGATATGGAATCAATCTAAATGTTCATCAACAGACAAATGGTTAAAATGTGAGATAGATAGATATATATATATATACACAAAATTGATTACTATTTAGCCATAAAAGAGTATAAAATCCTGTCATTTCTGGCAACATTGCTGCAAAAGCAAGTAGGGCTTTAGTTCTTCCCCCTCCTGTGGAGTCTGCAGTCCGGATTCATGCCCTTCCCCAAGTTCTGGCCAGGAGATTTCTCAATGGGTTCAAATTGTTACAAAGTTCAGCTGGAGGTTTCCTTCTCCCTGTAGCCTTTTCCGAGTGCCTCTAGCAGCCCTCCTAAAGGACCTCTGTGAGGCAAAGCTGAAATTGCTTACTGGGGGGGCCAGCAAGCCCACAGGGCTTTTCCCACTGCTTCCTCTACCCCTGTATTTTGCTAGCAGGGGTATTGTGCTTACAATAAAAATGGCTACATTTTTATTGTAGGGATACAGGGAACCAAGTTACAATTGGCAACATTAAATTCACACAGACAATGAGGGAAAGAGAGTAAAAGTGTACAGTCCAAGTGTGTTAATACCCATGTAATTTTATTTGAATATTGACATAAGTGACACCCACCCACCACCTTAAACACACACATATAAATGAAGTCTGCAATAACATCCTTTTGTCTTATTGACAACAAGTATGGCCATGCTACTATATGACTGTATTTGTGATGTTCTGGCTGTGAACAGTGTACTCTGTGAGTGAGTGAGTGTGTGTGTGTGTGTGTGTGTGTGTGTAAGAGAGGGAGGGGGAGGGGAGAGAGAGAGAGAGATACAGAGATACCGAAACAAATAGAAATTCTGTGCATTACTGATTGGCACACCACTGCCCTCACCTATGGATGTGTCTGTTCCAATCCCATATGCTCTGTTGTGTTCCTCTGTGAAGAGTAGTGCAGTGGTACTTGTGATAATTCCTCAGAAAAGTGGAAGAACCTGGCCTCTTATATCCTCATTTTCCCTCTTCTTCTCCCCTCTGTATCTTCTCACCTCTCCTGCCCAACCATTCTTACCTCTCTAATATTTCTTCTCCCAGCCCTCACTTGGAGCAGAATCACAGCATGAGCTCAGGTTCTTAAAGACAGCGATTAGGTTCACCTTCAAGCCTCTGAGCCACGAGCCTGCCTGGTAAAGTGGAGAAAACTTTATAGTGAGTGAGAGCATCCCTATGACCAGGCATGTCCCAGAATCCCCAAGCCTAGCCTTCAGAATCCTCTGGGCATAAACATGGACTCGAGGGTCATTAAGTCTTAGTAAGTCTTTATTCCTCTTTACTGCATCTGCAGAGAAACAACGTGCTAGATACAACTCCTTAGCTCAGGGGAGCAGGTGTGTTATGAAATGAGGGGAAGGGCACTATCCTGAAGAGGGAGGAATCTGTTTGGGGGATGATATTAATTCAGCTTCCCTCGGGAGCCATGAAAACATTGATTTTGTACCATTAAGTCTTCACAGTGTGACCATGAAACTGTTCTCAGCAACTTTTCTGTTTTAATATATTTGTGTAAATCCTGACGTAGTTTCACAACTGTTACAATTGAGGCTTCAAAAGATGAAGGAGAAGACATCTAAAATAGACACATTAGACTCTGTGGCACAACTCTGTTTATTGGCAGTGTGCATGCCTGCAGATAATGGCAGCAACTATCTTCCAACCCAGCAAGATTCTCCTTCTCAGTCTATAACTAATGGTGAACAGATACAGTATTTGGAGAGAGGTTTGCATGTGTTTCAGCTCTTTTGGCAGAAAGTGAAGAAAATTCCACATTTTTTTTCTGATAAAACATATTATATTGTCCCTTCCAGCCAGAGCAGAAGTAGTGTTTCCTGAGAGGCTCCCTTCCTGAATGATGATAGGGTGGACCTGATAGTACTACCAGGACATGCTACAGAGCCTGGTTTTCCTGACTAGAGTTAAAAATAGACTGAGGGAAAATTTAGTACATTAGACAATTAGATGGTATTTTTTGCCTCCTAGTTCAGACTATTTTGAGTTGTTAGCACAGAAATAGTAATGCTGTCTGTGGTCCAAGAGACATTCTGCTTTGATCTGCCATGTTCTCGTGTTCATTACTTCTCTTTTGATTAATGAGAAAGTAACTCCCTAGCTTCCTGTTTCTCCCTCATTGTGTCCATCTTCCTTATTGTATCCACATTTATCTTCCCACATCAAGTCTGACTCTATCCAGTTTCTGCTTAAAATTCCTTCCCTTGAACCCTACATTCTCCATTGCATACTACAGACTTTATGTAATAAAGGGCAAACACCATTGTTGCCAAGGACATTGTTGCCAAGTCCTTCACTCAATATTCAATCACACATATATATGATTCAGGGCTAAATATGAAGCCTTAGTCCACTATATATATATATATATATATATATATATATATATATATATATATATATATGTATATGAAAAATATATATATCCATATGTGTGTATATATATAAATACATATATATATCCATATGTATATAATCCTTTTAGATATATGTGAAATACTCCTGTGTGTGTATTAAAATATAGAATACCAGACCTTAAAATGACCATAGAGAGTTTTTACTCTAGCTTTCTAATTTTCTCAATAAGGAAACTGAGATACAAAGCAGTCAGTTAGTATTTAGTATATAAATAAAAATGTAGTCTCATTACCCACAGTATAATGTGTTCCAAAGGGATAGGAAGCCTTATCACACTAGCAGGTTAATGATAAAGATATTTTATCAGTATTTCCTGCCAATTAGGTTTTTGAATATGTAACTGAGTACCTACTATGTACTAATAATACACTTCCCATTTCTTCTGGTTATGAATGGTAGGGAGAAAACCTCTATTAGGCATTGATTGTCTCTCACTAAAAGATACATGTCATTTTATGAGGTGTGCCCCCTTAGCATCAGGGGCAAGAGGGCTCAGATTGGTTAGGGGGAAGAAAATTGAATTTTCAAACCCACAAACCCCAGGGGAACAGAGTGACCAAGTGCCACTTACATTGGGCCTCCTGACTGGGAAAAAATAAACACCTCAATGCAATACTGAAGTGCTTGGCTGGCATCTGCATATTTACTCCACTTAGAGAATGATTAGTGTCAACAGATGACTTTGTGGGTGAAACATGCTTCTTCACCAAAGACAGTACATTTTTCATTAAGTTACAATAAACCAAACCTTAGTTATAAAGGAAATTTCCAATTGACAAATGGATCTTGCCAAAGGATTTTCTATCCAGCAACATAGCCAGAGTGAAGGGAGCAAGTCTTTATGGAGTGCAGGCACTTCTGAATGCTGTTATCACGTCATCTTTGGGCTGGATGCTCACAAAACTCTGGCTTCCATGGTAGTGAAATGCACATGCAGGTACAAGTAGTACCTGCTATTCAGTGGCTGTTCAACTGGCTGTGGCAGGGTCTAGAATGGCAGTGTGAGTGAAATTGATATTTACTCAATGAGCAATGGGAAGCCATGAAGGATTATGACAATGAGAGCAATGTGATCAAAGTGGAGCCTTAGGAGGATTCATCTTGAAGTAGAACATAAAATAGATTTAGAATAGGGAGACCAGTAGAGAAGTGAGGTGGCAGTGGCCATAGTCCTGGTGAGAGGCAATAGAAATCAAGTTAGCAGTAGTTGCAGGAAGAGTGAGGAAGGCACAGGTAGCTACAAGCCTTCTTCCAGAAAGTGGGATGGGAAATTCACCCTGTGAATGCTGCTCCAGACTCCCTCCTCTTCGGAGTGTAAACAAGAGCCTTACATTCAGTTGCAGGATGAATTGAGATGCACATCAGCCTGGAGCTCAGCTCTTCCTCCAGAGGCTTATTTTTTCCCTCCATACAGAGCTTACTGTCCTCTGGCACATTTTCATGCCCAGAGCATAATGTCCAGGCCTATGAGTTTGCCTAGTCATTCTTGATTCATTTATCTCATCAATGTTTAAGTGACTATTAAGTGCAAGACATAGTTCTATCCACTGAGAACAAATTTTCCCCAACCTCTGCCTGTCAAAAGTATGTTCCTGCCCCTGTTACGTATAGCAAAGACCTATTTCATTGATTATTAGAAAAGAATGAATAAAGTTAAAATGTGGAAAGCCCAGTGATCTAAAGATAGGTAACATGTTTTTGCTTCCTAGAGGTTCAAGGTTCAAATACAGAATGTTTCCATGCACGTTTTCAGGCATCCATAATAATGGTTAGTGTTTTCCTGAAGATTATAATCCCCGTATGACAAGTCAGAAATTCAGGCATCCAGGTGTTGCAAAATCTTGAGTGACATTTTGTCCTCTTAATCTGCCACCCTTGGCTGTGTGTGCTTAATGCCAGCTGGGGTTTAGCCTACAGGATACATTGTCTTTTGCCATTTTACTCATTCCAGTGAAATCTATTTAAATGCTGTAATTAAGCGATTCATTTTTATATTTAAGCAAGTGCTGTCAGTATATGTCTCTTCAATTGTTTTAGCCAATTCTGTTGGTATTGATTTTAGGCCATCTGAATACCCTAATGATGAGTTCATTTGTTAATGGAAGAGTTTCTCTTCTGAACTTAAGCAATCGATGCAATTTACCAATACATGCTGCTAGGTTAGGGTATAGCTGTGCCCCACAGAACAATCATGTGAAAAAAAATTAAATCCAAAACAAAACAAAGAAACACAAAACCAATGCAATTAATTGTTTTTCTGTCTTTTTCCATGTTGTTGAATACCCAGTTATTTGAAATTATCTGAATGATTGGATTTTCCCTTTTGATTAAGAAATGTAAAAACCCAGTTTGGATGTATCTGCTAGTAGAATGAAAGGAAAATGCATATGAAATGGAAATGTAAAAGGCATATAGAGCAATACTAATAAAATCACATTTTATGCTTGACTGACAGTATTATTATTGATTATGGAAGAAATGAATACCTGAGTCCACTGCCACAATATCTCTAGGCCATCCAAATGTTCACTTTGACAGTCTCAACATACAGGAAACATATTGCATTAGATTTGTTTTCTGTAAAAGGAGGGGGATAATGTCATAAGTCTGACTGTTCAGAGCATGCTTCTTATAACCCCCAAAAGATTCTCACATTTTCTATAAATATATATATATATAACCCCCAAAAGATTCTCTACATTTTCTATAAATATGTATTTTTAGTCCAATAGACATGTCTATTTATACATGTCTATTGGACTAGAATAGCAATTAATTGAGTATAATCTCTGAGACAGAATTACCTTGCTAAAGAATTTTGAAGAAGTGTTATCATTATAAAGAAAATGGCTGGCAAGTTTTCTAAGCACCTTTTATGTCATATTTTATCCTTAAGGAAATGTGATACCATGTATGCCACGTGGATGGGACTCAAGAGACAGCAACTGTCTTTCCTTCCTTCCTTCTTTCTTTCTACCTATTTTTTTGTAATAGTGCTATATGATATGGTTTTTGTAATTCAACATGGTTCCTGGGTTACTTGAGCTTTAGTGCAGCACAAGGATTCTCTATATAAAAGAAAGACAAGCTTCTTATTTTCAGGAACATAGGTTTAGCGAGTGAGCAAATCTGAGCCTGTCTGTAGCCACATCATCCCTCCAAAGGAAATAAATGTGCTGATAATGAGAGAGGAGTCACCTCAGAAATGCTCCTTGGAATCAGAGAAGTTCCTTCTTCCTTGCATTTAATTTCTCAAGATACCCCATGACAGAGGTGGCCCATGTAGAATAGGAGCTTCAGGGCTTCCCCATCCTCAGGGTCCAATGTTAATAAAAAAGTAAAGAGCCCATCTGATGGAGTGAAGTGTGGAAGGAGGGGCTACTAAAGGAGAGATCAACTGGAAAATATGGAATCATCCTAGGCTTCCTTGGAAACACAGAGAAAGAGAGAGAAAAGAGAGAAAGAAAAGTAGAGAGAAAGAGAGGTCTGTAGAATCTAAACATATCAAAGTCTTCTGTGAATAGCACTTTCCAGACAGAAGCATTCTATTCACTCCAGAACCACTACTGATATGGAGAGTAGAAGATAGTGGTTCCTATAATCCTCATTGGAATAACTACGTAGGTTTCATACCACAATGTGGCCTCTACTCAGTAAGCCCATAGACTATCTGGCTGTAAAAATCTATGCATGAACAACTGTGTAGAAAGCAGTCACAATCAAGGTGCACTGCATTTGCATATCATGTTGCAGCTTCCAGAGCACTGTTGTCAATGTTGGCTACTCACAACCACCGTTGCTGTAGAAAAGGCAGGAATTATTATCTTCATTTTTAAAATGAAGAAACTGATGCTCAAAGGTGTTTAGTACTTGCCAATAGGGTAAGTGGCAAATCTGGGACTAGAACCCAGGTTTTTAACATTTCTGGCACAGCACTCTCTCCACTCTAGCCTATTACCTCTCATCACACCATACTGGAGTACATTCTCTAACATTTTAATTTCTTTTATTGTTTTTTTCTTATACTAGAGCTTCCTCAATTGTGAGATAAATATCATGATAGGGAACCATGGCACAAAATAAGGAGAATATAGGTTTTTAAAAGCATATAGACGTTATAAATTAAAGCAGCATAACTGTTAACTCTCCAGCCTCCATTTTCCAATCAGTTTAAATTACTTTAATGTATGTTTTTAAATTTAAAATTAGCTGCAATCCCAATATGTAACTGTCTTGATGTTTGGTGAATTGTGCTATGTCACTTCCTTTTAATTTTCCTCCTTTTGCAGTGTGTCTCACATTCTGGCAAGTGTATCTGGAACTTGGGATGGTCTTCTTATGTCCCATCATTTCAAAAGAGAAATTCTCTCTTTGTGTATCTTGTAGAATAATTCACATATCATTTGCACATAAATAATTCACTTAAAATTTTTTCCTCAAAGTCTCTTAATGTAATAATTCCTCATAGCATACCTAAAACAACATCAAATTACAGTGAAAGCATAGTAACACATTGCGAGCTTTTTCTCATATGGCAAGGTTCTCTGCCATCATTTACTCTACCATCATTTACTTGCCATCATTTACTTGAGAGATTCAAGGTGATGAGCACACAAGAGGATGACATGAGGACATCTGACTAGAGCTGTTGGGACATCAGAATGATCACAAGTTAATTTCCAAAGAAAAGAGAACCTCTCAGCATAGACATTTTCAATCAATAGCCAGGCAACCCAGAAAAAATAATTTGAAGGAAGTTATTTTCCTATGTTGGCTCTATAAAAAGATGTATGTTTCAAAGAAACTGGCCTCAAACATGATCACGTTCCTCCTGATCAGAGAAAAATAACTGGGTCTAATTGACAGTTCCAAAGCATAGAGCAGAGAGGGTATTTTCAAAAAACATGCCTCCGAATCAAAGGGAGGATAAGCAATGTCACTTTGATTTTTCCCTCTTCCTGTCTCCTGCCAGTGGCAAGCTCATCCTATCACATCCAGCATGCTTTAAAAGGAAACCACTTGAACACAGCACCCATTACTTTGTGATAACCTAAGTCTTCTAGAACAGACTTATCTGGATTCTAAGGGATTGAAAAAAGTGGATTCACATGATTTCCACAGTGACATGTCTTCAGCCTACTAGTATATCTTATTGCAAACCAGCCAGGCTTGGGAGAGAAAAGGGTTTTTTAAAAAAAAGGCAGATGTGAGTGTGCATGTATGTACAGACTGGGTCCTGCTGCTGTAGGAAAGCTGCATGGCAGTCCCCACTTCTTGCCAGCACCACTTCTCCCTTTGTTCTTCTGACATGGGAGAAT
Source organism: Homo sapiens (assembly GCF_000001405.40). NCBI lineage: Eukaryota > Metazoa > Chordata > Mammalia > Primates > Hominidae > Homo > Homo sapiens. The sequence continues at coordinate 148,902,604 of NC_000023.11, forward strand.
CTGCAGGATGAGTGAGGTTCACATCCTCTGTACATGGACTGCAAATGGACAGCAAATGGACAAGTTTTCATGTCCAAGATACATGTGACAGATGAGTTGGGCCAGCCAGACACATATTTCTTGTTTTCTCATTTTCACCTCTTACCTCATTCCTTAGCTTTTTTCCTATTCTAGCACTTGCCAAAATTCAACCTCAGGCACAGATGGTGAGAAAATGATTTTTGCCTACCAAGCCAAAGAAAGTGCCCAAATATTAATGGTTATTTATCTAGAAACAGAACCTGAGACTTAGTAAATGGAAGCATGGATTTCCAGCACTAACATCTAAAATTTGGAAGTGTTTTATTCAGTTGTTATGCATAGAGGTCTTCAGTATGTTGAATATCACTTGTCACCGAGAATGTCAAGTCCAGAGTTAGATTATATGTTGTCTCTGCTAAAAGTGGTTGCCTCTGTATTCTAATTTACAGCAGTATTCTCTTCTCTGTAGCCCTTACCCACCTCCAAGATTCACAAAGATCCCCAAACAGATACTTTTTTAAAGGATCTGAACAACCCTGAGGTTGTCAAATAGCTGCTTCAATGCTCTTTTTATCAAACATAACGTCTATAGCCTGAAAAAGTCTATGGGAGTACAAGTTTGGTTCTGATTACATAATTATGCTACAGAAATATGAAAAAAAAATCATCACTAAAACCCTCCAGGTGCTTAAACAGTTTGATAGACTGTAGCCATTCTGCCATCAGCACCCCCAGCTGTGTTGCTTAGCAACATTTTAATTCCAGAAGAATCGAAGGAGATGAAATCCCTGTGGAGAAGGAAACAGAAATAAGAGGGCTGTTGACAGATGATCTGAGTTGTTTCTTCTAATATACTGTGAAGATCACTAGCTCTTTTCATGAATGATAAATGGACTGTACACAGATCAATGGGTTCAGCACTAAACTGGAACCGGGCTCCATGTCTAAGGCAATGCAGGCCGAGAGGCCCAGAGATTTCCTCATTTCTATGATTTGGTGTATATTTTCTTAAAGGTTCCACAGGAGGAAATTGATCTGAGTATTCAGTCATTCCTTGCCCTTCTGTGGTGTCGGCTAATAAAAATGATTTTAGAAAGGGACACTCGACTTTCTATCATGGTGGAAGTATGGCCAGATGTCAGTAGTAGTGCTAGGGTGAGCAGTTCCCTACCACAAATCTAAAAATCCAGGATATGCCCATGACCATTCCGTCTGCATCTGTTTCCCTAACCTGTCGTTACAACCCAAGCAGGTCCAAACACGGTAAGATTAGAGTGAAAGGTGGGAAGAGAGGGACCCTAGTTATGCACCCAGAAGTCCACTTTTATGGTCCCTGATGAACTTTCTAGGCAGCCCTCACAATATCCACCTCACAATTTCCACCTGTATTGGAAAGCTGCACTTGGACAGGTAACCATGTTTCCCAGGAGAAGAAAATTGCTTTCTGAGTCTCCAGTCTGCTTATCTACAGCACCCTGTTTCGGTTAGCTCCTTATGTTTCTGAAGAGCATTTTATATTGCTTATTGTTTTGGTAGCTAGTTGCAATGATTATGCCTGCTAATATTGTCTAATTGCATTTTTTCTTCTGTTTACAGGCTGTTGAAAAGGCAAAACCTAGGAATAATCCTGTGAAGTAAGTTATTATTTTTATTAGTTGCAAATGTTAATTTTAACGGACTCGATGCATGTGAAAAAATAAGGTCATAAAAGAGACCTTGGATTTTGAGTTAATCTCTATTCATGACAATTTAAAGACAAAAACAAAACAAGCCAAAAAAATCCTCCAATGAGCAGGGACCAGCTTATATTTTTCCCTGTGCTCCTGATGAAGAAATGCCCCAAGTTGTACCCAGTTTACATAAATTAATATGTGCAATCCATGAATAGCTGCCAAATACGATTATAATCATATTCAATACATAGTACTTCAAGCCTTTGGGTTTTGCACATGCTAAAAAGATTACATTTTTAATTGCAAACCTTGGACCTATGACAGAGACATAAATGACTGAAAGTGTGCCAAGTGATTTCCAGCCACGTGGGGAGGTTTGGCACCTTGGCATCAAGGCCTCAATACTCTGTTAATGAAAAGCTCATAAAATATACTTAACTAAAGGCTTTTCTTTTTTGTTTTAGCTAACAGAAAGCAATTCCCAAGGCATTTTATGAGATACTCTTAAATCATAAACAAGCTACACAGACCTCCTTTAAATATAGTACATCTTAGACATCCTGTCTCTTCCAGAAGGGAGACTTTCAAATTAAGAAGGATGGCTGTCTTGTCATTTGGTTTGTAACATCTGATTGCAGTGTTACAATGCATGCTAGTCCTGCCAGCTCTGTGGCTGAGGGAGGACTTTCTCTATTTGCTGGGCTATTATAGGTCTGGTAATATCACATCTCGAGGAACTATGTGTTAATTTATTTTGGCTGACTTCCTTTATAGTTGGTACCAAATACAGAAATGGAGAGTACATAGATTTTTAAGTTTCTGGGAGAATGGATCAGCTAATGCCAACAAGAAATGTTTTTGTTTTGTATAATAAAATAACTAAATTTCCAGAGCACCAGGGTAGCATTTAGCATACCATTAAATCCAAGCCCTAGTACGTTTTTCCAAAAGGTGTTGTGTACTTTGCTTTTAAGTTTCATTTTTCTTAGGCCAAAGAATATTCCCTATCAGGCTCTGTAACATCTAGAGGGGCATCCGTAGTCTGGAGATATATTATGTTGTAGTCTTATGGAAGTATTTGTAGTAGCTGAGGTTTTGTCAGGTCGTGCAGCTGGGGGTTGAAATCTTCTCTGCAGCCTGATTTCTTTTCCGTCTGAATGCCCTAAAGGCTCCTCCACTGTGAGCCTGTGGCTGGCAAGCTCGGAGAATTAGAGGATGGTGCTAATGAGGCCAGGGTCAGGGCTTTTGTCCCTGGGTGGGCGATTAGTGATCTTCTTTCCTGCAGTTCAACTGCACTCCTCCCTTCAGTCCGCCTGCATGCAGATGTGTGCCCCAGGTCATAAGGAGTGGGGCTAGGGCTGGAGGAATGTAAATCAAGGCCCTCAATGGCAAATGTCTCCAAGCTCCAGCCCTCCCAATAGGAAGTGATTCCCAAGTTGCATTTTTGCATGCATGGAATAGCCCATTGGCAGTGTTTGGGGTTGCATTTAATTCTATTCTAATGGCCTAGAAGCAGGACCTGTTTTCTCTTTGCTCCTTGTGAGAATTTGACCCTACAGTAATTGTATTTTTATGAGTTCTTATTAATTCACAGTGCACACTCTATCTAATGTCTAGCGTTTTGAGGAATGTTATAAAAAGAAGGAACAGAAACTAGAAGAGTCAAAGGATTATTGAGCTTTGTGCTTTAAATATATTTGAAAATCTGCTTAGTAATAAACCTAAGTCATAACCAACTGGTAGGTGTTTAGAATTGTCTTCTAATTAAGTAAGATACTGTTCTCAGAATGAGTTTGGGTTCATGATACCAAACTCAGCACTTGAAGAAGGAGACTTCCTCAAGACCTCAGCTCAGAAACAAAAACTCCACAGCAGGGTTCAGTTGCTCTGCCTGACAGGAGAACAGAGTCAAAGTTTTTAAAAAGTTTTATACATAGTGGTCCTTTTGCCATTTCTGATGACATCAAAGGCATCCCTCTTGAGGAAATCTCGACTGCACAACCCTACTATGCCCCCAGTTCAGCAGGAAGCAGTTAGAGCAGTTGTTGGCCAACCTCCCCAACAGCACTTGGGTTTTCCCATTGAGAGGGGGACTGAGAGACAGGACTAGCTGGATTTCCCAGGCCGACTAAGAATTCCTAAGCCTAGCTGGGGAAGGTGACCACACCCTCCTTTAAACACAGAGCTTGTAACTCAGCTCACACCCGACCAATCAGGTAGTAAAGAGAGCTCACTAAAATACCAATTAGGCTAAAAACAGGAGGTAAAGAAATAATCAAATCATCTATCGCCTGAGAGCACAGGGGGAGGGACAATGATCGGGATATAAACCCAGGCATTTGAGCCAGATCAGGTAACCCTCTTTGGGTCCCCTCACACTGTATGGGAGCTCTGTTTTCACTCTATTAAATCTTGCAACTGCACACTCTTCTGGTCCATGTTTGTTCCGGCTCAAGCTGAGCTTTTGCTCGCCGTCCACCACTGCTGAATGCCGCCATTGCAGACCTGCCCTTGACTTCCACCCCTCCGGATCCGGCAGAGTGTCCGCTGCACTCCTGATCCAGCGAGGCACCCATTGCCACTCCCGATCAGGCTAAAGGCTTGCCATTGTTCCTGCACAGCTAAGTGCCTGGGTTCATCCTAATCAGGCTGAACACTGTTCGCTGGGTTCCACGGTTCTCTTCCATGACTCACAGCTTCTAATAGAGCTATAACACTCACCACATGGCCCAAGGTTCCATTCGTTGGAATCCATGAGGCCAAGAACCCCAGGTCAGAGAATAAAAGGCCCGCCCCATCTTGGGAGTGGCCACCACCATCTTGGGAGCTTGAAGAACAAAGATCCCCCCGGTAACACTAGAGAATTTCAGTTACACACAATGCACTGGAACTCCAAATAGAGTAAAGGTTCAATACAAGTTTACGGAATGAATAAGTAAACAAATTGGACATATCCCAGAAAACAGGGATTCTTCCAGGAAAATAGGTTTCTTCCAGGAACCTAGCCTGCAGGCTTGATAAGGCTGGTGGCTCTCTTCTAGTAGAGTGTCACCATCATGTTAAAAGAACATGTGTATTGTAACTAACCAAGTGGTCCAGTCCTGTCGGGCGAAATTCACCCCTGATATTTCACGTAGGTTCTTTTCTGTTTTCCCTAAGTGTCAGCTGGTCTGAGACATAAAGGGAAAGAGTACAAAAGAGAGAAGTTTTAAAGCTGGGTGTCCGGGGGGGACATCACATGTCAACAGGTTCTGTGATGCCCCCCAAGCCGCAAAACCAGCAAGTTTCTATTAGTGATTTTCAAAAGGGGAGGGAGTGTACGAATAGAGTGTGGGTGACAGAGATCACATGCTTCACAAGGTAATAGAATATCACAAGGCAAATGGAGGCAGGGCGAGATCACAGGACCACAGGACCGGGGCAAAATTAAAATTGCTAATGAAGTTTCGGGCACGCATTGTCATTGATAACATCTTATCAGGAGACAGGGTTTGAGAGCAGACAACCAGTCTGACCAAAATTTATTAGGCGGGAATTTCCTCGTCCTAATAAGCCTGGGAGCGCTATGGGAGACTGGGCCTTATTTCATCCCACAGCTGCAACCGTAAAAGATAGCCACCCCCAAAGCGACCATTTCAGAGGCCTCCCCTCAAGGACGCATTCTCTTTCTCGGGGATGTCCCTTGCTGAGAAAAAGAATTCAGCAATATTTCTCCCATTTGCTTTTGAAAGAAGAGAAATATGGCTCTGTTCCGCCCGGCTCACCAGCGGTCAGAGTTTAAGGTTATCTCTCTTGTTCCCTGAACATTGCTATTATCCTGTTCTTTTTTCAAGGTGCCCAGATTTCATATTGTTCAAACACACATGCTCTACAAGCAATTTGTGCAGTTAAGGCAATCATTACAGGGTCCTGAGGCGACATACATCCTCCTCAGCTTTCGAAGATGATGGGATTAAGAGATTAAAGTAAAGACAGGCATAGGAAATCATAAGGGTATTGATTGGGGAAGTGATAAGTGTCCATGAAGTCTTCACAATTTATATTCAGAGATTGCAGTAAAGACAGGCGTAAGAAATTATAAAAGTATTAATTTGGGGAACAAATAAATGTCCATGAAATCTTCACAATTTATGTTCTTCTACCATGGCTTCGGCCGGTCCCTCCATTCGGGGTCCCTGACTTCCCGCAACACAGTCCCTGTTATTCTTGACTCATGCCACATGTAAAAATGTTCCTCCATTGCTCTGGTTCTTTCTAGCTGTTCTTTTTCTGACCAGTTCCTTGTTTGATCTCATATCAAGAAATAACATTTGATTGTCTTTTTGAGCATACAATGAAAATTGTGTACAGTTTTACTGGAAAACAGAGGCCCAGCGGCATCATTTACAACTCAAGTATGAACACAAATTGGTAAATATGAACATGTGTGTGGTTTCATATAGCCCTTTGGTGTAGAATTTGGCAAATGGTTGAAAAAAATAAAAAGAAGAACATTTCTTGACATGTGAAAATTATATGAAATTCAAATTTCAGTAAGCATAAATAAAGTTTTATTGGAACACAGCCACACTCATTCATTTCCATATTGTCTGTGGCTGCTTTTGTGCTACAATGGCAGAGTTGAGTAGTTGTGACATAAAATGTATGTAGCCTACAAAGCTGTACATTTTTACCATCTGGCCCCTTATAGAAAGTTTGTGGACTCCTGCTCTAGTTGGTGAGGCAGAAAAAAGCATTAAGCTTTTTTGTGATGCTGAAGGTTAAACTATCAATCCTTTCTCCTTTGGCCTTTAAAACAGTGAGTTTTAATGAGCCCTTATTGTGTGTTTAGGACTTTCTAGGGTTGATGTGCCACTTAATTCTCATTCAGAGCAAACAGATTCGCTCTTCACTCACTACCTTTGAAAATCATATGGATATGAGATCCATTGACAGGGCATTGATGCCTCAGAAACAAATGAACACATAGAACACATATCTAGGGCATACTGCTAGCCTTCCAAATTGTGTGTAGATGGATTTATTGCAAAGGGCATATTAATTTTCTAAAATTCTGTCACTTCCACATCTAACTAAGGCTAAATTAGCTTTCAGTTATGGTGCTGGTAAATAAACTTATTAGTGTATGGCTAATAAGTTTCTAAAAGTTTTGCCTCCCTCCCCTATTTCTTAACCACTCTTTCAATTTATTTTTAATACTTTCATGGTTGTAAGCTGCTTCTTTCATTGCCATAGGGAGACTGTGATATACAGTAATTATGCTCCATATAAAAAAGAAATTAAGTATATGCCTAGTGAATGTAAGCACATAATGTACCTGGATACACTAATGCCATTTCCTTGAAACATTAAATATTACCTCTGAGGGTAAGACTCAAACATGAGTGTTCTTAAGATCACTGATCAGGACAAGGGAAACCTGGTCTATTTCTCACTATACTGGAACCATACTGTTATCAGAGCTTGATTAGTATGTTCAAATTATGGCTCTTTAATGTGTCAGAAAGACTTTCACTTGTATTTTAATGCTCTGCAGCAGTCATCTCCAAGATTTCATTGTGACAGCAAGGCCTGAGAGATGTACAGATTTCTTTCACCATATGTGACTTATCACATACATTTTTTTCAAAAACACATTTCTGTTATTAAGACATATGTGATAGTACATTTCTGAAAATGTGAATTGCTTTTGGCTAAAAGCCATGCACTAATAAGTTGAGTTGAATCTAACCAAGGTTGACATCTGTTACCAAAAGAGAGAGAGAAAGAAACAGAGAGAGAGAGAGAGCATGCACACACTGTTGTCAAGCATAAAATTCTTCCCTGCTTTTACACTTTAACAACATTAAACAATGTGATGATTGTCTTTCACAATTCAGGATCAGAATCCACTCTGCGTAGGAAATTACGTTTTTTTAGGACCTGATTCATCATAGATATGGTGCTTTCATTAGTGAAAATGACAAATAGCCACAAAAATTTTCCTGACTATGATATTTGCACATTATTCATTTATTCATCTGATGAATATTTATTTAGGTTCTACAACATTCTGGGAACTGTGATAGGTGCTGAGGAAATTAAAAGTAAATCTGACACAGGTCCTACCCTTGAGGAGTTTAGAGTCTAGCAGAAAAGATAAAATCGGTTTGTAAAAAATTAAATACAAGATATATGGGGAGAGAAATGTTTGTTAAGTGGGGAACAGATAAAGTACAGGGAGGCTCTAAGAACAAAAAATGCTTCTAGTTAACACTGTCAAAGATGGAAGGGACAATGGGGGAGGAGAAAACATTTGCACCAGGATTTTAAGGACTGCTGGTTTGCGACACTGGTGCTGAGGTATGGCAAGGGAAAGCAAGGAGCCCAGGATGCCTGATGGGGTGCAGGCAGTGAAATACCAGGTTGGAAACCAAGGCTGAGTAGAAATGGTAGCTTAGGGCCCTCAGAGCTCACCCAGATGAAAGAGATTCACATGGTAGAGTCAAATGGCATTAAAGAGCTCTTCACTTGGTACTGAATGTGAATTATCCATCAGTCCCCTAATTATTAAACACAAAGGGTTGATAGACCTGGGTTCTAGTCTTGAATCTGATATTAGTTTGTAGTATGAAATTGCATGCGTCAACTCCTTGTTATAGGCCTCAGCTAGATTATTTACATGGACATTCCACTTCTTTAAAAAAGTCAAAGCCTGGAAATCTGTTTTATGATTATACTCATTTTAGAACAATATTAACCCTGTTAGTTCGATGTAGATTCATGCATGCACATAAATTATATATATATATATATATGTGTATGTGTGTGTGTGTGTGTTTATGTGTGTATAATGCATCTGTATTTAACTCCACACACACACGTGCACACACATAATGCCTTTCCCCACCATTTTTACCTTTTACATTTGTGGAATAAAGGACAAGAAGACACATCATTAGAGTTTAAAAAAGATATCTTAGGTGGAAAATAAGTGTGGCTCCAAAGACACTTGGTAAAGCCTTTGAAATGGCCCCCGAGGACCAAAGGTAATTTTGCATTTGGAGTCCATATCTCTTGTGATGTTCTTGTATACATGCACATCACAGACATGCAGAATGTCAGTCAGTTAAGTCACCATTCTGAATAAGGCAGTGGAATCTGATTTGTGTTCTGCCAGACAAGTTTTGTGGGATTTTCTCCTTGAGAATAAAAGGCTCCAGCACCAAGAAGTTTTGGCATCTTCTATCATATCCCTTCCCTGGAGCATCACTGTGCACATTCACATAATGTAGGCTCAAAGAAGGAGTTCTGTTTAGCTTTGTCTTACCTAAGGATTCCCAAATGTGTTTGACCAGAGGATATCTTTGTCTGGCAGGGCAAATGTTTCATGAAACACAAAATCGAGTGTTGTTGCTAACAATAAAGTGGCTTCATTCCATTTAAAAATCTTTAATTCCACATTTGTTGGCAAGGTCACAGAGAAAAGGGACACTTGTACACCGCTGGTGGGAGTGTAAATTAGTTCAGCCGTTGTGGATAGTAATGTGGCAAATCCTCAAAGAACTTAAAACAGAATTACTATTCGGCCCAACAATCCCATTTTTGGATATGTACCCAAAGGAATATAAATCATTCTACCGTAGAGATATATGCACGTGTATGTTCATTGCAGCACTATTGACAATAGCAAATACATGGAATCAACCTAAATCCCCATCCATGGAAGACTGGGTAAAGAAAATATGGTGTATATACACCGTGGAATACTATGCAGCCATAAAAATGAATGAAATTATGTAGTTTGCAACAACATGGACAGAGCTGGAGGCCATTATCCTAAGCAAAGTAATGCAGGAACAGAAAACCAAATACTGCATTATTTTTTAAAATTTTACTTTAAGTTCTGGTATACATGTGCAGAACATGCAGGTTTGTTACATAGGTATACGTGTGCCGTGGTCATTTGCTGCGCATATTGACCCATCCTCTAGGTTCCCTCCCCTAGCCCTCCACCCCCCCATCAGGCCCTGGTGTGTGTGTTCCCCTCCCTGTGTCCACGTGTTCTCATTGTTCAACTCCCACTTATGAGTGAGAACATAAATACTGCATATTTTTAGTGGGAGCTAAACAATGAGAACAATGGACACTATGAAAGGAACAACAGACAACTGGGCCTATCTCAGGGTGGAGGGTGGGAAGAGGGAGAGGATTAGAAATAAATACCTACCAGATACTATGCTTATTACCTGAGTGATGAAATAATCTATAAATCCAACCCCCATTACATGCAGTTTACCTATATAACAAACCTACACATGTACCCCTGAACCTAAAATAAAAGTTTTCTAAAAAAAGAAAATGAATTGACTGTAAATGCTTAGATTTATTTCTGGATTCTCTATTCTGTGCCATTCTTCTGTGTGGCTCCTATGTCTCTTTTACAGTGTGACACTGTAAGTTGTTTTTATGGATTGTAAATGCCCTGAGACACAGTCCTCAATGAAGGTATAGGAAATTTTGGGGTGGGTCCCACCGAGTGAGATACATGAAGCTAAGTAGTCCCCAGTGAGCTTCATCAGATCAGTGGGCAAAATGCCCAGTCCACTCATTTCAAGATAATGAGGCACCCTCAACAATGTGCTTCCTACATCCTCCCCAAACCTCTAGTCAATCTCTAACTGGCTCTCGCCAATTTAAGGACAATTAATGGAGAGATACCAATAACATCTCTCTCTAAATAGCTGCATAAAATAAATTGGGCTCTTAATGTTGTTCAGATAGACACAGTTGGATGCAACAGGTTCCAGCAATCATCCTCACAGCTAATGAAATTTGCACAAATGTCTGAACACCTTCCTTTTCATTGGTATTTGGATTTGTACCATCTAGGCAATCTCAGATGAGAAAACTGAGACCCAAAGAGCAAACTGCCCAGAACCCCAAGTTTCCAGGAACTCTACAGTTTTTACCAACTCCCTCTCAGGACACACATGTCCACTTTCCATGCCTAGAAATGTGTTATTGGTTTTTTCAGTTGTATTATGTAACTTTATTTAACAATTTATTTTCTTAGAACATGACACCAAATGTGTCAAAAATTAATGAATCATCAGATTTGCAGGTTCTTTAACAATTATGCCAACTTCAATTATATTAAATTTATATCTGTAAGGATAAGTTTCTTCAAAACTTCAAACACGTTAGTTGCCAAATTACCATCACTCATCTTTCCAAAAGTTTTATGAGAACCTTTTCTCTTTAGGTGTTAAATTAATACCCTAATAACCATAGGGATAAAATAGAAACAAAAAGCACCCATTTATTGGTGAATCTGATGGACCTCAACTAAGCCAGCAAATGTGGAATTAAACCATTTTAAAGGGAACTAAACCATGTTATTTTTAGTATCAACATTCATAAAATACTGCCTGGTCCACGTGTTAGTTTCTAACTCTGTCCTTCTTAGTGTTTGCTGTTTAGACAAGAATGGACAACGCTGTTTAATCTGCCCACATAAGTCAGCTCAGTTTTGGGTACATAAGAGTTACACCTAGAATTTTATTTCAATATTGCCGTGTAGTGATCTTTCAGTAAACTGTCAAAAATGTAGAGTCACATAGCTAACCTGCTAGAATTCAAGCAAGCCACACATTTGCTCTTTTAACAAACAATAATGATGTCCCTACTATGTGCCAGACACAGTTAATAGAGAGATTAGTTAAATAAGATCTCTACTGTGAGAGTCCCCACACACTGGTAGGGAAAGACAAAGCCATTACACTACAGAATAGGTCGTTTGTATGATTGAAGCATGTGTAGCATTCTATGGGACAGAGATGAAGGAGGGAGTGACTGCTGAGAGTGAGCTCTCCCTATCTCAGCAGGAGTCCCCCAGTGAACAGTGGGGAGAGGCCTTTCAAGAGAGCAGAACAACATTTTCAAAAGGCACTAAGAGAAGAAAGCAGATGCTGTGTTGTGAGCAATGTCTGGTACTTAGAGGCAGCTGGGGCGGGGGGTGGCATTTTTCACAGTAGCGGAAAATACCAAGTGTGTGAGTTGTAGAATAGAAAAGAAAGGAAAGAGTTGTTGCATGTGCCAGTATACCTAAAGCATCACACTGCCAAATATTAATACTTGGGCCCTACTTTTGGTATTAGGAGGAGAGCAGTGTAGTGTGGGTGAAACTAACAAAATGCTGGAAAGGATTCTTTTATTCTAGAAAGTTAAAGGTTAGAGTTAGGGAGAGATTATAAGGTGCTCTTTTTAAACTGTTTGCAAATAAATAGACACATCAAATCCTTTCTGATTATATCTAGCTAATCCTTCTCTGTGGACTTTTATGTAAACCTCAGCTCATATAGAGTTCCTGTAAGCATTCAGCTGTTCCCTTGTGGCTTCATGAACCCTTGATTATTTCTTGCATTTTTCAAAATGTTTCTTTCATACAGTTCCTTTCACATTACACAAATGTCTAGGCTACACTAAGATATAGTATTTTAGGCATGACACAAAACACTATTATTTTAGCTTCAGTTTCTGAATTCACTTCACAGACATAAAATTTCTTTCTGAATGTATTTTTGTCAGCCCAAAACATAAGCACAGTAGGGCTATTTAGGGCTATTTTTATTTCTAGGGAAATGATGCATGCCCCCATGGTGACTATAGACAGGGGTCCAAACAGTAAATCAGTCCTCTGTCGACCGCAGAATGCGTTCAGAGTCAAGAGCCTGAGGTAGTAAGTTATTATTCAGTTGACTACTAGTTTGGGGGGACTGAGAACTACAGAAATGACTCATTTTGGCCAGGGCCTCAAATAGGAAACAAATAGTATCTGCTTTCTTAAAGCTTTTGCCTAAATCAACAGGAGTTAACTAGAGAGCCACCATTGAAAAAGAAAAAAAAAGTAAATCATTCTTCCACAAGAAAATGTTTTTATTTGTAGAATTTACAGCATAGGGGTATATTACATGTCATTATAATCCAGTTTTTATATGCACATGTGTTTATATACTCTATATCAGCATACCCTCATGCACCATGGTAATTTAAATCCAAGACAGAATTGTTCCCCTTGTTGGGGCAGGCAGAGGCAGCCATAACTAAAAGAAGGTCTCAAATCTTTTTCTCAATTCTCATTCCTTTTCCAATTTGTTTACTGTCTTCTGCACCTCTCAGCACCATACTGTCACAACAAGTGGGTCCCACGTACTTGGGGAAAGCATTTCAGAAAACTGTTGTGGCTTATATTCCTCCATGGAAGCCTGGCAAAGGGAGCTCAGGGCAGCCAAAGAGCTCCTTCGTACTCATTCATGTTTGCATTATCAAACGCTGCAGTGTGGTTGCTGGGGATCTGCTAATAATAGCATCTACATCTAAAATCACAACTTATTCATCTCTCTCACGAGCTGGAGATGTGTGTAACTTCCAACACTGGCTAGGTGAAAGTTTAACTTGACTCATACCATGTTGCGCAGGTTTAATAGCAAATTAGACATGTTAGAAAACTTGCTTTAAATATATATGTGGATGTGTATATACACTCTCTACATACACATTGTACACTCACATATAATTTAAGCTTCACCTATTTCCAAACAGGGATGTAACATAATTGAAACAAGATTGTACAGGAGAATGTTTAAAGAAAACAGAAGAACCTATTTCCAAACACTACAGAAACATCTGTTTACATATGTGATGGAACTAGAAAAAGCTATGTGTTTTTAAAATCAACACCCAAATAAGGGCCACCCTTACAATGACACAGCAGAGCACAGCTGTGCCCTTCCTGCAAGGATGCTGTTGTGGTGCACAGCCCGTTGGGAGATCCCCTTGGAGAGTGTGGTCAAACCATGTATGAGGTTCTTCTCCTGGTCTTAGTGATGGGTAATAGACTTTTGAATGTGGTTTTAACTTTTTTTTTTTTTTTTTTTTTTTTTTTTTTTGAGACGGAGTCTTGCTTTGTCGCCCAGGTTGGAGTGCAGTGGCGCGATCTCGGCTCACTGCAAGCTCCGCCTCCCGGGTTCATGCCATTCTCCTGCCTCAGCCTCCCGAGGAGCTGGGACTACAGGCGCCCGCCACCACGCCCGGCTAATTTTTTTGTGTTTTTGGTAGAGACGGGGTTTCACCAGATTAGCCAGGATGGTCTCGATCTCCTGACCTCGTGATCTTCCCGCCTCGGCCTCCCAAAGTGCTGGGATTACAGGCTTGAGCCACCGTGCCCGGCCGGTTTTAACTTTTAAAAACTAATCTAAGATGGTGATTCGGAGCCATGGATGTTGAAAACCAGTTGTAAATAAAAGCAGTTAATGTGGTTCAAAATAAGAATGATTTCTTCTTGCACATAGTGAATGCCTTGAAGAGGAATTTTACAAGGCTTTGAGCAGGAATAACAATATTGGACCACCGCTGTATACAAAATAGCATACAACCTATACACGCTCACTCTCTTTACCCTACTTTATTTTTTCTCTTAAGTACTCATCATTCTCTCTCTCTCACTCTGTCCCTTTCTCTCTCTCCATGTTTTGAAGTGTCACCTCCCACAAGAATGTAAGGTCCATACAAGTGAGAATGTTGTTTTAGTCACTGCTGTAACCCCAGCATCTCAAATAGTAGCTATCATATAACAACAGCTCAGTATCTTGAATGAGTAAGTGCAAACATCTAAGGATATCACTTTAAAGTTCAACCGTCCTAGTTTAGTTTGAGTATGCGTTTAGTCTTAGAATAAGTATGATTTTGTGCTGCCCTTTGGAAATCATACTGAACTAATTATTAACCATTGGGTAAATTATTTGCTTTTGTTGGAAAGGAATAGAGTTTTATTTTATAATAATCTATGTTCCATATTAGCTTTATTCTGAGCCATCATAAAGCTAGTTTTACTGTTATTAATAGAGCTAGAATTTGACCCTCCAAGTGATTCTTCTGGTGTATATCCACCTTCATACTTTTGATTCATTCCCTCTACAAATTGAAAAGAGGAGGCACAGGAGTGAAGATGTCGGCCTCCCTATGAATGGGGGTTAGTGCATGGGTAGTTATATTTGATGTATGTCATTAGGCATTTTCAAGAATGATAGAAGTCAAATTTTCATAACATGGGACAAGGAAACAAAAACATCATGAAGTTAACAGTTGAAAACACATGCAATTTTCTATTTTGGAAAGGCATCTTGATCCTCAGAAATCTGCAGGATTGGACACACAGCAGCCAGTTTCAGAACCCTCACACTTGTCCTCTTCTTTGGAGTTATGAAGTCTGAGATGCATCTGATACTTCCCTTTTGTCCTTCCTGCGATACTCCACTGTCACAGGACTAAAAAGCATTCAGCAGCTTTTCCCATTGGCCAGTAGTTGGAGAAGTTGGATGGCTCCAAAGCTCTAAGGGAGCGGCCCTTAAGCAAGGCTTGACTCACTGTCACGGACGTTTCTAGCCACAAGGTCTAGGCAATATCTCTGCAAAGTGGTTAAACTAAACAAGCTTTCTTTAATTTTATATGCTTCTCATGAATATGTAAGTCATTAAATCCCTTGGTCACATCTCAGTGATGGGGTAAAAATATCCCTCTCTTAATATTGAAGTGTACAAAACAAACAAACAAACAAACAAACAAAACCCAAGACCGTGTTAAAGGAAATAACATTGCTACAAGGTTAATTTTGCCTCATACAGCATTTCCTAGAACTGAATTGCCTGATCTCCTCCCTCGGGGGTTGCGCCAATGCTTGCAATAACCAAGGCTGATTTTATTGGAAAATCACCACTAGATGAAGAACATACTCCAGAGGAGATTTTGTATGGGACAAACTGGTTTCTGGTGCCAGTGTCATGTTATCCAGGTTAGCACTCTTTGAGCTCCCAATCTTTCTGTTCATTCAGGCAGCACATTCATTAGCAACCCTTAAAACAGGGTAGAATAACTAGACATATCAGGGAATTTACTTTAAATTGTTTTCAAGACTTATTGGCTAGCAGGCCAGTATTCAAATTGTAGCTCTTAACATGCACATTGAATGTTTTACTAGTAGTGGTGAGACTCGCGGTAGTTTTTATTTCAAATGCTTAACAGATAACTCTTTAACATAATATAGGACACTCAAAGATCCTGCCTAATTGGGAAGAATTATGGAGGGTAGATTGATAGGAGAGAGTATGATGGTACTGAGTAGTGAAGATCTCATGTTACCTTTGTAGGCACAGCTTATCGAACAGGCATTTCCTGTTAGTTGGCTTTTTTAATTATAAAAAGAATCCATAGTTATCTTGACAGCACAGCGTAGCACAACTCACCCAGAGACACAAATTCGGAAATATACCCCAGCTTCCAAACTTCACCAAGTGGAAATGGAGAATATTATAAATGGAATACATTGAGCCTCCAGGAGGAAGGAAAGGGAGGAGGAAATTGATAGAGAAGCCACACATCTGCGAACTCTGGTGACCTTGGGATGACATTAATTCTAGAGGCTAGAGGACAGATACTCAAAAGCTGATTTGATTCAAGATGGGATACTTGGAGAAAAATCCAGAAAGGATAGTTTTATGAACAAGAGAGGGAAACAGCATATATCTCATCAAAGTACAGACTGCATCTGATCTTCCAGCTTCTTAGGCAAAACCTACAATAAGAAGGAGAGAAACGAACCCCCTGTTGTCTTCCTTTTGAAAGTCTCTCTGCCTGGGCCACTCACCAAAGCACAAGAAAACTTGTTCAGAGACAGTGTACCTAATGCCTACTTCTAGATTTGTAATAATTCAGACATTAATGTAGAAAGCCAAAATATCTGTCTATGCTGACTCATTGGTACCTTCCTTTTATGAATTTTGTGTCCAGATTACTATTATTTACTCTAACTGAGAGAGGGAAAGTAAAACAATTCCCAAGATTCGGCACTGACACAAAGCTTTTTAACTACTGATATAGGTGGCATATGGCTTAATACTTGGGTTTTCAGCAATCAAAAAGCAACCCTGTGCAATATCACCGTAGCTCAGTTCCCAGTGGGCATAAGAGATGATTAGATATATTGAGTTCTTTGTGTCATTCAAAGAATAAAGAATCTCATACACATTGGTGTTAGCTTCCTCTCACTTCATTTCAATTTTCAATAACCAGTGTCATCACTTGTAACAGTTTCTTCATAATGAAACCTCATGTCGAATTGGATTTGTCTTTCAAGTGAAAGCATATTGGGAAGCCTTCTGAAACCTCATCCTTGAAATAATTGTTACTGCTATAAAATTTTTACATATATATATAAATATATAATTTATTTATTTCAAATTCCCCAAAGAAGAATAATATAGAAAATGAATAATAAAAACAAAATTATGACATTTGAAAAAAGTTATAGGTTCACTTTTCATATTTGACAAGTCTGGGGGAAGAAGTGCTCTGGTTAATCCAAATAATTTGGTTAATAGAGCTACCACATATAGAGAGAATGATTTTCAAGGAATTAGAAGGCTATATACCCTTAATAAAAAAAAGAAACAATGTGATCCATAATATAATCTTTTCTAATTCAGAAAGACCATATAAGACTCTCACTGTGAATAGTTCTCATTGTGCCATTTGCACAGAAATTCTGATTACTCAAAAGTTCTAGGTGCTTGGACACAATCATGCTCAGTCTCATTTTCCAGAATATCAAATTATGTTCTTGGATTTGGTAGTTTGGTGTTAAATCACACCTTTGCTCTATGTGGCTTCCTACCACCTCAACAAAACTATAGTCAATCACACTGTGATGTAAAAAAAACATACGGTAGTGTCTGCACAAATTCTACAGTGTCCAGGTTAAGTCAAGCATTGCCTAGACATTTTGTCTCCTACTTTCCCAACAAGAAGATAGTTGTATTGGGGTAGTTTTTCTATAGATTATAGATTATTGAGAGTAGAACTCCCCCAGGCTTTTTAGTGGTATAGATGACTGAAATCCAGACATATTGATCCTTGTAACATTTGGAGTGACAAGGGGTAGGAGCCCTGAACCTCTTGACTGCAAACCATCATGTTAGTTTATCCTGACATACTATTCCAATTCTTTCCTTTGTGGGCCAAGATTTGTAAAAGGTTAGGAATTACTATCCTAGGGATTTAGGTGTTGCATATCCATGTTCATTTTTTTGAAATTAAAATTCTATAAAGCAAGGTAAAGTACTCAGATGGTAAAAGCTTTAAAGTCATGGTTCTCTCTTCCTTCAGCCAATTTGATGAGCTAAATAAGCATTTCTTAAAGTATTGTCCATGAATGGTGTTTTGAGGGATGTCAATAGGTATTGTGAAGGACAAAAATGTGTATGTCTTTGGGGTGTGTGTGTGAGTGTGCGTGTGTGTGCGCGTGTGTGTGTGTGTGTATTTGGTGGAGGGTGGTTAAATAAGTATGGGAAATTCTGAGTTTTAAAATTTTTCTTCTAAGTTGAATTTTGAGCCCTTAATATTACATTGTGCACCTCTAAGATGGGGGACATAGTTTATTGTTGTGTTTCCATAGCTTATTTGACCCTAGAAGCTTTTTGCCTATGGAATATCAGAATCAACTTTGAGACATGCTGGAATGAGTAAAGTTGAGTTGTGTTGGTGATTTCGACGCATCAGTGGGTTAAGGAAAGTCATTGCTGTGTAAGGCTACCCCTAACTGAGCCAGAAGCAAAAATGTCTTTAGGCAACATGTTTCTGGCATATGGAGCCGCTGCAGCAAACCCTGGAAGGTTCACCAGCCTATCAATGGGGCCACTAAGCTGGACAGTGGTCCTAAGCAGGGAGTCTTTAAGCCACAGCCTCATTGCAAGCAGGTAAATTGAGCTAAAAAGTTGGAGATTTATGGTTCAACTAATTAGGTGATTATGAATACTCATATTGGCTAGGTCAGCATCGTTAGTAATGTCTATTCCTCTCTTAAACTTTCCCCATGGTAGACATATAAAGTGGGGATTTTGAGATCATTACACAATTTTAACAGCTTTATTGAGATATAATTCACATATCATACAGTTCACTGATTTATACAATTCATTGGCTTATATATTCACAGATTTTTGTAACAATCACCGCAATCAATTTTAGAACATTTCTCTCACCCCCCAAGGGAGCCCTGTACCCGTTAAGCAGTCACTCCTCATTTCTCCCTCCAGTAAGCCTTGACCAGTAAACTACTTTCTGTCTCTATGGATTCACTTATTCTGGATATTTCATAAAAATGGAATCATACAGTATGTAACCTTTTGTGTCTGTTTCTTTCACTTAGTATGTTCTCAAAGTTCATCCATGTTTTAGCATGGGTTAGAACCACTAGCTGATTCTAACTAGGGAATGTTACTAGGAAAAAAAGAATGGTCTTCCCTTTTCTACATTCTAAATGTATAGGGAGAAGGAATTTGATGGCATTTTAAGAACATTGAGAGATATTGAAACAAAAGTAAATGATAACTTGATACATTCTGATGCTTAAGATAAAATGACTCTATTATGTGGATCCTTCTCAAAAGCATTGAACATCTTGTGGATTAGTTTTTAGTAAGCTGGTGTTAAGTATGAATGGTGTTCTTCAATTCTGTAAACTATTCGTCCTACTTGCAAAACAAGGAGGTGGTGTGGCTATTGTATCACATATCTATGGCTTCCCAATTCATATTCTTACATCTGGCAATTTCCTATTTTATGAAATATTTTAATATGGCAAACTCATTCCAATTACACAGTCATTATAAGTTTTGCCAAGGTTGAGTATGGATCGTTTTGTGTTCATTAGAGCACAAAATTAGAATTTTCATTGCTGCAACCATAAACACCATTGGCACAAAGGATTTGAGCATTTTCTCATAAAATCTTGGACAACTGATAATTGTTGTTTTCCCTGTTTTTCAGCATATTTTAATTTTTTGAAACTATTTTCTGTATTTCCTCCCCTGGTATATTTCTTTTGGCCTAGAAGTGATTCTCTTCCAAACGGATGATGTCGCACACGATGCATGAACTAGTGAACACAGAGAGCACCATCCCTAGAGTCAGGGGAAGGAGCATAAATTATTTCTTTAATTTTCTCAGCTTTAGTTGGTCCAAAGTCTGGCAGTTAGACCTGAGTAAGTCTGGAAAAACCGTCTGGCACACCTACATCTGTTCTCACATTTGCCAATCAGGATTTATCAAAAATCAATGGCTCAAAAACATGAAGCTCTTGAGAGGTGCTAATTTGTGGCTAAAGAATAATTCAAATGCAGCACCATTTGGTCTTCATGGAATATGGTTTCGATTTTGGGAAATTCAATGACTGTTTCATCTTGCTCTCTTATATTCTCTGTTAAAAGAAGGAAAACTGGAAAGTAGTTCTAATCTAAGGACTTTATTTCCCCTACATTTGTCCCTTTGGAAATTTGGAATAACTTTGCCAAGGGGATTTAGATACATCAGTGCTATTTATTTATTAATGGTCACTCATACATCCCTGATCTCTTCCTACTTATCAGGATGTTCTCAGCAAAACACCAACACTTGATTCTGTTTTTCACTTACCATCCCTTTTCTCCAACCCTCTGCCTGATATTCGAAGTCAATCACCTATGAAGAAGGTGACTCCCATTCCTCTCCCTCCGAGGCAGCAAAGAGGAGATAACATTCATTATTCATTGCAATGTTTCCACTTTGCCAAGATGTATTCTCTTACTTCAAATTCAGAACAGTTTATTGGCTTCTGGGAGTTCAACAGCCATGGGTGGAGGAACATGTTCATTAGAGGAAGCACATGACTCTGCCAGATTTAACTGACAGATTTTGAAGCTGGAGCAAGCAATTGGCTGGCACTCTTCAGGCATGAATGTCCTTTGGCTTGTGCTGTGCTCATTGTTACACAGGTGCTCCTTATAAAGTACGTGCACATTTCTAACATAAAACCAATAATGTCATTCACATACCAAAAACTATAGAGAGCTTATGCCCCCGTGACAAATTTGAGATGGGAGCAATCTACACTATGATGTATATGTATAGTATGATGCATATGTAACTGACTAGATTATACTTTGATACAGTTAGGTTGCGTTTATCAGACTTTGTAGATTTGGAGATTAAAATGATTTGCTTTTGAACCTCATATGCTTGGGACAAGAGGTTTTGTCTCTGAAAGCCAAAAGCGTCTTGTCAAAAGGCCGCTTCCTTAATATTGCTTCTAAGGTCAGCTTTATGATGTCAGGTCTAGAGTATAAACATTAAACTCTACTACTGTTTGCAAAAATTTTGAAACGGAAAGATACCAAACCATATTTAGCTCACTAGTAAGTAAAACCCAAAGTGTGTGTGATAGATAAAATATGGGCATGTGTTAAAAAAAAAAACATGATGTATATTAGCAGAGTTGAACTGGGTCCCACAGATACAGCACAGAGAATAGAAAAATACTTCGACTTCTAAGAAAACACTCAATTGTTTGCTTTGTAGGATGTATATAGTCTTTGCCTAGAAGAGTTTTATTCTCTGTGAGGGAATCCACAGTGTACCAAATATTCCCTCTTGCAGGATCACAAATCACTTTCTGAATCCAACCAAAAGCTTCTCTGATTGCATGTGTTTATGAGGCTGGTGAGTGTCCAGGCCTTTGAAGAAGGAAGACTGTTTGGGTATATTTGTTACAGAAAAAGGAAGTTATGGAGGTTTCTCTGGAGCTGTTTATCTTTTGTGAAAAAGTAGAATATGTCAAAATAGAGCCACAGCTTAAACTCTGGCAGTTCCCAGCAAATAAACGAGGCCTAATTATATGTAGGACTTCAGCTCTATTTAAATCAATAATAACAATGGAAATGATCACCAGATTTTTAATTTTTCTATAAAAAGTGAATTGAATGTCAGCTTCATATACTTTGGATGAACCTCAACTCTTCCTAGAGTGGAATAGCAACTATAGGAAATCAAAATGTAAAACCTTTTTACTATATGGACTTTGATTTTCTTCAGGGACAGAATTAACCACCAAAGATAATGATTAAACCTACCAGCTAATGAAAAGACAATAGTGAGATAGTGAGATTTGTAGAAAACTCATCATGTATATGCATGGGTGTGCATGTGTGTGGGGGTGTTTGTATACACTTTTAGCAAACATCGGTTTTCTTTCACTGGAGGCAAATCTGCCTAAATTCAGGGTTCTTACCTGAAGCCTATGCCTTCCATGCAGATGAACAATGCTAGATGTTATGAGATTATGAAAAATGGAGATAACTTGGACAATTAGTATCTCTTCCAAGGAAAACATTCTCCTTAATTTGATGCATGTGAATGGAAATGTGTTGAGCCTCTACTCTGCTAGACACAGTAGGGAATTTCAAAATGAGGAAGCCAACACCTGCCTATAGGGGCATTAGAGGTTAGGTGGGGTGGGATCAGGGAAAGGAGGAATTCAGACACACAGCTTCTTCTACTTCCAGATAGATGCCAACCCAAGTATGACACAGAAAAACTCTTACAATGTTAGAATTAGGCCAAAATTCCCCACAAATCCTTCTAGTTTCAACAACCTTTGGGTAATATAGGCTTACACTGCTTCTGTTGAGTTCTAATGTCTACACACTTTATCTACCTCACATTTTGCCAGAAGGTTCTTTGTAGGCTGAATATCAGCAGACAGCCCAGCCAGATCTACTCAATAAGTGAATGCATATAACAAGACACTTGCACAGACTTCTAAATCTAACCATTCCATCAAACAGTAATAAAAAGTAAATCTGCATGATATTAGATCAGATTATTTTAATGATTTCCTTTTAAGAGCAGCTGTCCAGTTTGCATACGTCCCTTCCTGAATCAAAAGAAGGGGGGAAATGCATGAGCACTGTGGCTCCACACAGTTCTAATCCTGTCTAATCTGTAAATCCCTATCTGCTAATGTGTAGCTTCCTGTCAGTAGATAGCCATAGGGATAAACTTAAGAATATTCAGCGGTGTTATCCCAAATCTTAAAGAAACCATTATACCGATGAGATGTTATCATCTTTATTTTTAGAGAAAATTTTAAAGACCAGAAAATAATTTGAACTTTTTAACCAGCTTATAGAGTTAGTGGCTAGAACACAGTAGGTATTTAATATTTGTTTAAATGATTGAATGCAAGAAATATTAAAGAAAACCTCAGCCTATAGGACAACATTTCCACAGTGTGTGTTACAGGTACACTTGTCCCAAGGGATGCTAAGAAGTCAGCAGTTTGGTGTTCCAAACAGTTACTTCCATAACAGAATGCTGGCCGATGGCTCTGGCCTTGGGAGTTCAAGCCTCCTGTAAGGCTTTCAAAGAACCTAGGTTACAAGAGGCATAGCCTGGAGTAGTGAGGGGCACAGTGTTTGGGTTCAAATCCCAGCTCTGTCACTTCCTCACTGGGTAGTTTTGGGCAAGTTGCTTTAGCTCTCTTTGTTTCCCTTCCCTCATCTGTGTAATGGGGATAATGATAGAATGTGCCTTATAGTGTTGTGATGGAGATTAAATGAGGTGATATGTGTAAGGCAGCTGGAATAGTGTAGCTATGCAAGCCTTCGGTATGGTGTTCATTCCCATATTGGATAGCCTACCAGCTGGGTTCAATGGCAAGAGTTCCATACCTGGTGTAAGAAGACCTGGATTTGAAATCTGGTTAGCTTTGTGGCCTTGGGCAATTTCTTTAACTTTTCTTAGCCTTAGTTTCCTTGTTTCTAAAATGAAATAATGCTTCCTATAACTGCTGTGAGGATTAAAAAAGAGAATTAAATGAGATTCTATGTGTACAAAAATCCCTGGCATATGGTAAGTGCTGGATAAGTATCTTCTGAGTCTGCTGGATGAGGGTCCTTAGAGCAATGGCCCCCACACCCAGCCACGCTTAAGCTGATCTGACATTCCTGGTATTTTTCTTGCCTTATCTTGCAGCTCTACTGCTTCCCATGTACTGTGCATTACGTAGAGAGTAAGTCCAGAGGTGGGGAAGCATCAAGGCTGTACTGGAAGTTCCATTTTAGGCCGAGGCTTGCTATGTCATAAAAGAAAATAACAAAGTATGTGTTGGTATCTTTTGCCAAGAGCGACCTAAACACATCAAAGCCTGACAGTTCTATTTATTTGGTCTCTTCTGAGATGAAAAGGGGTGAATGGAAATTCTCGCACTCCACCTCACACTGGTTGCATGAGCTCCCTCTCCACCAATGACAGTGGCCGACTGATGGTATAGTTTAGGAGGGAGAGTCTCCCTCCACTCTAGTCATTACTCTTGTTGGGGATCTGTGTGAAATCAATTTCATTGCAGAGCAGCAATGGAAGTAGCCGTGAATTCCATAGTTTCTAAATGAAGACACAGCATATGGAGAATACAGAGTGGAATTTATAGCTCATAATTACACAGGATATGTTGTCGGTCAAGTCCATCTTGCTGGTGTTCACAGCAATCCACTCCTGCCCACATTAAAGCATTGCCAAATTGCAATAACCTCCTGGCCATTTTCCCAGTGATTGAACCTTGCACACCACTTCAATCCATATTCGTTGATTTTCGTCAATAAAATGAAAGCTTATTGGTGGATCTATTTGGGTGACCTCTTAGAATAAAAGCCTCAGTGTCACATGGAAAAAACAGCTTATGAATTCTGCTCTGATGCTCTAATAGAAAGAAATACAAAGCATTTAACAGGTGCCCACCTCACAGTTCTACTTTTCCCCAGATATTTTCAGATTTTCCAACCCTGAGACCTAAGGCGTCACTTTCTCTAGTGATTGTGTTTGAGGTTTTTTATGAATTCTCATTATTGGTTTACCTTTTGGTGCCACTCTGAGTAATGTTAGGATTTTTTCTTATGGTATGCCTGAGACTTAAACTTTACAATTTATCCAGAAAGCTAATACATTTTGGAAAAAAGAGAAATTGGGACCTTG
The DNA here is from genome assembly GCF_000001405.40 of Homo sapiens. Taxonomy (NCBI): domain Eukaryota; kingdom Metazoa; phylum Chordata; class Mammalia; order Primates; family Hominidae; genus Homo; species Homo sapiens. The sequence goes on from NC_000023.11 coordinate 148,927,176, forward strand.
AGCATGGACATTTATCAGTAACTACTAATGCTATGACTAGTGAATTATTTAGAGAGAGGCAGGGAGTATGGCTGAGGCAGGGTTCAAGGCAGAGAATATGTGTTGGCAGAAACCTTATAGCAGTCAGACTAAATAAGCTTAATAATTTTCTTTTCTTATTTAAACAAATAACACTTTTACTGTAAATCATTCCTCCCTGTTTTCTTCTTTCCCTTTCTCTCTTTTATCTTGTTTTTCTTTTTTGCTGCATGTCTGCCTCGCCTTCTCTTTCCTGTTTCCTCACAGTCCTCTCTTTCTTTTCCTTTCCTTTTTTTTCTGTCGTACATTCTCACACTCTACCCACCAGGGCTCAAACTCCACTATAGTCTCATTAGACTGTAGTTTATAGAAGGAAAGTAAAGATACCTGGAGGCTAGGTTAAAGGGAAGGGTCCTCCAGCTATTCTCTTGTGCTCGATTATTATTTTGAACACTAAACAGCAATTCGCTCACAGGCAAGAGGGATGTGGCGTTCTGCATTCTACTGAGATGTTGACTTCTTTCATGGAGTGTCATGAACACTGTTTATTACCAAAGCACTGTCAAACTCCCTATTTTTGGAGATGGAATACATGATGTTACAATGTTTTTACACATTCACTATTGAATTGTACTTTATTTAAATAAAACAACATTGGGGAAGGAATCATTAAGTATATCAAACTGGCATCTTTCAGGTGGTATTTCCATGTGCTGAGTTACTGAAATGAATGCAAAGATGATCAGGGATTTTCACTGTATTCCTGAAGATACAGATGGTATCCAACATCTCCTCAATGAAGCCTTTGGCTCTGTTTTTCGTAAGGTTCCCACTCTGTTCATATGAAGTAGTGTATCTTAAATATAAACCTATCATCAGGTTTAGCAAATCAATACCATAAGAGTGTGAAATGTTCCCCAGAACTCTCTACAAGGGCATTTCACAGTAAAAGCAATTGAAAAAGAAGCTGCAATGGAATATCTTATGAGATAGCCATTTAGATCACAAAAGGGCCATAAAAGTCACAAGCAGTTTGTGTGAAGCAAGGTTCATAATATAACCATACAGGACTGGAAAGAAAGAGGAAAATTGCAAACCAATTTGTGGTTATAGCTTTTTCTGTCAATTCTACTGGGATTTAAAACTTGTAAAAGGTAGAAACTTCTGCCAGCTTACATTATGTAGAGAGACTGTGATAACCATAATCACAGTAGCCAAACAAACACCAATTATTTGAAGCCAATAAAGTCTTTATTAACTTCAAAGCAATTAGTGCTTCTTGGATTTATTAAGCCACAGAATGAGAAGATGCCACCCAAGACCATTTGTCAGCAACAAATTTGGGAGTCATCCCGGGATGCTTCATTTACACATTTCAAAATGGTTTTGCAATTGAAGGATGAATACTTTGAAGTTGAGTAGAAGAAAGAGCGGCCCTGCTTTGGGGAGCCCATAGAGGCTCCAAGATGGCACTCAGAAGCAGGCCCTGTTTGGTATTTAATGCTGTCAGACAACCTACCATGTCCATCATTTCAGGCTCTGCAGACCCAGCTAGCTTTCTCAAAGCAATTGCAGTAATAATTGCTGTCTATACTGAGGGCCTGCTGGGCACAACAATTTCTATATGCATCATCTCTAATCAGTTCATCAGCTCTGCAAGGCCTTATTCTCTTCTTATAGATGAGGAAACTGAGGCTGAGAAAAGTTAATTACTAGTAGTTGAGAATGGAACCCAAGGTTGCTTGGTTACCTCACTTGTGATCTTGCCAGGTTCCTCCTTCATTTGATGAGTCAGTTGATGGCCAGAGCCACACCACACACATTTTTCTACTTGAGTCACGTTGACATTACCAAATTGAGACTAATCTTCATGTCCTCTTAGACTGGAGGCAGGAGCTGACAGATCTCCTGGCTATATGTAATTCTGTATTTCTTGCTCTAGCTTTAAATTAATCTCTCCCAAACAGTAAGAAAACTAATTAGATTACAATTGCAAGTCTTTTAGCATGTATCTTTATGATTCACTGTTGATTATAAGCTGATGCACAGCCAGTCTATCCAGATCTTTATTTCCATCTGAGCAATAAAAGTAGTTTCTGGTTTCCCTTCAGTTAACATTTCTCTTTAAAGAGCAGCATTCCATTAATGAAGACATATGAAATGAAATTTTGTTGCTGCTGTACTCAATCTGATTTCTGCAAACAAATGAAAAGTATTACTGCCTCATTTAATATCATTAGGAAACCTGACATCTCATAATTATCTTTAGGTTGTAGTATAGCTGAGGCAAGAGTCCTAGTATTTTTGTGCCACTTGTGCATCACTGAAGTTCTTTCCTCAAGTGGCAAAACAGATTAGACCGGTGTTCTTGTCATCGGTCTATGTAGTCTTTCTGAGACCAGACGAAAATGTCTATTTCTGTGTTTTGCAAAATCTTCACTCACCCCAAGAATTCATGCCTGTAGAGCACTCTCAGCAGATCACTCACTAGTCGTAGCTTAGCTAAGAGTCTGGAACCCAGTAGGTATTATCCCCTTTCTTGGCTTATAAAAACCAAAGATGGGAGGAAACCCAGATTCAAGTTGTCCAGAGGAGTTCTGGAAGTCCCCAGGGCTCAAAGCCAGCTCTGAAAGATCCTACAAAATGAGTCACACTCTAGTACATGGAAGTCGGTGGGCATCCACTACTTGCTAAATTTATGGGCAGAAAGCACACTTTGCCTGAGTGTATGCTGCAGCATCATAGCCTTAGGCAGAACTGTGACACAAGAAGCTGGAGATGAGACAGACCTGAGCCATTCTGACACTGCTGTGTTTCTAACTCTGTGGCCTCAAACTAGTCTAGTTTCCTTCAAGAGCATCATGATTTTTACCGGCAAATGGGAATAAGTAAATGGAAGTTACAGTCTCTGCACTGGCTCCCTCACAAGGTCACTTCAAGGAACAAAGAGAGGATGTTCTTTGTCCAAATTATGTATAAGTGATAAGAGGCTATAAATTAACATGAGATTATTCTCATCATACAGTATCCAAAGAGGCAGGTAAAACATCAGGTCTCAACATGCCCTGGCCTACAGTAAACATTAGAAAATATCCTATGAATCTGGAAAATCTTTCACACTGAACTATACCAGCTTCCTTCATTAAAGGGGAAGCAAAGGCCAAAGGGGAAGCCCTGGTGGGGGCTGAAGTTGTGCAGGACACTTGCCATTTCTACACTGGAATGGAATTACTCAGGGGATAGCAGAAGCCCTCTGTGTTTCTGAGCCAGCCTAGGCCATTGTGAAATGTCCACTGTCCCAGCATTACCTCCCTGGCATAGAAACTAGTGATCACCTCAAATAGCCAGGGCCAATTAGCAACAGAACCTTGCCTGCAAGTCACTACATGTCCAAATGCTCTGTTCTCCATCCCCATTCACTACTGGCATTCTAAATGTCAAATTTCAATTGCGTTGGTCCCAAACCACGTATGTGTATCACAAATAAAGCAAGGACTCTTTGAGGCCTCTGGCTACTCAACCTGGAAAGATGTCTATCACCTTGCTAATCACTGACCTGAAGCTGATGAGGGTTTAAATAACACAGTGCTCCTGGTCCCATGGCCACTAAGGCAGTGCTATTTCTGCAGCTTCTGCTGGCTGACTTCAGATAGAGTCTTGGGATGAGTGATATTTTTGCAAACTGCAAATGCCTCTGAGTAATGGGTTTCATTCATTTCATCAAATACCACATTTTACAACTGGTTGTGCTAAGTGGACATTTAAGAATTCATATGCAGCCGGGCACGGTGGCTCACGCCTGTAATCCCAACAGTTTGGGAGGCCGAGGTGGGTGGATCACGTGAGGTCAGGAGATCGAGACCATCCTGGGTAACATGGTGAAACCCCGTCTCTATTAAAAATACAAAAAATTATCTGGGTGTGGTGGCACACGCCTGTGGTCCCAGCTACTCAGGAGGCTGAGGCAGGAGAACCGCTTGAACCTGGGAGGCAGAGGTTGCAGTGAGCCGAGATCACGCCACTGCACTCCAGCCTGGGTGACAGAGCGAGACTCTGTCTCAAAAAAAAAAAAAAAAAAAAAAAAAATTCATATACAAGCCATGTTTGTGATTTGCATTCTCAACACTGAGTTATTTCATAGTATCTGCCCATTGCAGTGCACTGATATTTTAAGTAATATCTCTGCTTCTTAGAGTAAAAATTTTAAAATGTGATGGTTATTATAGTCACTATAACCCATTTATCAGAGTGGTACAGTTATAAATTGTACTGCTCCAATTAATTTGTAACTTTAGTCACTATATAAACACAAATCACACCAACTAGCATCATCTTATTTGCATGTTTTACACAATTTTTATCATCTATAATGACTTACATTGTTGAAATAGATTTGTTAATGTTAGAAAGACAAAAGCAAATTACCTTGTTTTCTCTTGTAACTGTTAATAAGGTGAAGGCTGAAATGCATGTTTTTATTCTGCTGTAGGTATTATGTCATATTTGGGAAGGAGTGGGGTTCTCTTTCTGAAAATGCATTGGGAAATTCTGATTTTGACTGGGTGAGTGCTGGAGAACTAGTTCAGAACACCATTATGGGAAGAATCCACTCCAGAAAGAAAAGAGTGATGATCACAGTCTGTTCGGTCTTAAATCCAACAATTTGGACTGTTCATTTGCTACTTACATGTAATTGGGGCTTTATATTTTCTTTGTTGCTGTTGCTGCTACTGCTGATATCAGGAAACACGTCTTAGGCTAACGTCATCCTCAGTATGGCAGATATGTAGTAGACTCCACTGGGAGCCAAAAGACTAGCACTCTCCCACCAAATCTGCCTCCAACTCAGGATTTCACTGTTGTCAATTCCCTTTCCTCTCTGGGCATCAATTTATGCTCCTGCTGAGTGGAGGAATAGATGAGACATTCTCCAAGTTCAGCTCTAAAAAGTTTGATGGGAAATTTTATAAATTTGGATCTGCTTGTGAGGATGAATCATGGAACTGAAGGTACCGCTTAGGTTGAGATCAGGTATAGCCTGTGCAACTTAATCTTCTGAGAATTTCTCAGATTGGAAACAAGCTAGAATTATTCTGGATTTCCTGGGGATTCACAAGAAACTATAGGCCTGCTGAGAGGCTACTGCTCCTTTGTGGGTTTGAAAAGAATGATTTTCTTGGGCATCTACCACTCTATTTGTTGTTCCCTTTTGCATAATAGGAAGAGCTTTGGAGTGAGGTAGACCTAGATATGACTGCTAGCTCTTCCAATTATAACTTGTGATCACTGGCAAACTTACTTAAGCTACCTGAGCCTCAGTGTCTGGGAACCAGCTACACATTAAGAAGCCTTTCTTGCCCACCTTCCAGCATCAAACTCATAAACACAGTCTCTCTCCGGTTGGGTTAACTGGGTTCCAGCATTATTCCTATCTCTTCAAAGAATGACTGTGAAGATTGAGAACACTTGTGTGAAGTACTCAACCCCCCTACCACTGAGTAGTTGCTCAATAAATAGGTTCTTTTGTTCCTGTTTTCTGTTATTAGGGTTCACTTTGTCAGTCGTTGAAACCATCAAGCTTACCATAATTTTGAAAACACACACTTTTACATCTATTCGCATTCATTCATTTGTGTATTAAATATTCATTAAATGCCTACTAGTTCTCAGGGACTGTTCTAGGAACTAGAGATACAGCAAAAAACAAAACAGTCCAAAGCTCTGCGCTAGTGGAGTTTATATTCTCTTGGGTGGAGACAGACAATAAACAATATGAAAGTTTAATGATAAAATATATTGGAAGGTGATAAATATTCTAGACAGAAATAAATCAGGGGATTGTGCTAGAGATGGATGAGTTAGAGCTGTAGTTTTAAATGGGGTTATCAGGGAAGGCTTTTCTGAGAGCTGCATCGAGCAAAGACCAAAAGGAAGTAAGGGAGTGAGCCCTGCAGAAATTGCAGGGAAGAACATTTCAGGAAAAGGAATAGCACGTGCAAAGGCCTTGAGGCAAGAGTATACCTGGTGTGCCTTAGAAACAGTGAAGAAGATAGTTCAGCTGAAGCAGAGTAAGCAAGGGTAAGAATGTTGGGGAAGGAGATCAGAACTTGCAGTGGGAATTAGACTGTACAAGAGCTGGTAGGCCATTAAAAAGACTTGGCCTAGATTGAGTGAATTGGGAGCTGCGAGAGAATTTCGAGCAGAAGAGAGATATGATCTGAATTATGTCATAATGGGATCACACTATACCTATTGTCAAAGGACTATGGGAAGGGAGCAGGGGTAGAAACAGAGAGAACAGTAAGGAAGCTATTACCATAAGCCAAATGAGAAGGATGGTGGCTTGTATCAGGGTAGTGGTGATGAGCGGTGAAGAGTGGATGGATTAGTGATGTATTTTGAAAGGAGAACAGATAAGATTTGCTAATGGAGTAATTGAATAGGGATACAGACAAAAAAGAAAAGTCAGAAACAATTCCATGAGTTTCAGCCTGAGCACTTGGAAAGGTGGTATTTGCTATTAGCTGAGTCATTTACTATAATTATTATTTACAGGTAGCATGATAACAATAAGACCATATGGAAATATTTAAATAATTTTTTTTCAATAAACAGAGTGGGAGAATGTTAGCTGCTTGTTATCTATTACCAATATTGAGGGGGAATGTCCAAAATATGTGAGATCATTTCTCCTTACACTGACCAGTGCTTCCTCCTTTCCTTCCCACCTGGTCATTCCTTTGATTGACTTTCATAAGTCCAGGCTAGAATTACATGCCTCAACTCAGTGGTTCTCAAACTTGGAAATCAACTATGGCGCTTGTTAAGAAATCCAGGTATGAGATCACCCTCTCATATCCGTGAAATCTGACTGCTGACGCATAAACACACAGCATTCACACACATCAAGTTGTCACATATTTTTACATGACTGAATCAGTCAAATACCTGGTTTGTGGTTGATCACCAGTCAGCTTTCAAAATAAAATAGCTGGGTGTTTTAAAGAAAACATTTTTTCTGTCCAGGTTATCTGTACTCATCAGCTTCTGTCCACCATCAAAGTAAAATGGCCATAACCGATCTTATCCAGATGGGGGTTTAGGCAGTTGATGGACTCACTCATGTGACCTTTACTTCCGTGAATGCAGTTTTGTTTGGCCTCCATTCCGCTTTTGACAGTTTCAAGAGCTGGATTAGTAAATCTTCAAGGTCTTCTACACCCATATGATTCTATGATACTGCGATTCTGCCACGTTGCTATGAAATTGTTATTAGAAGGCCATTTACCCCTTAAACCTGGGTATTCAAAGAACTAGAAACCTAAATGATGATGACAGATATCTTACTTAAATTTCATATAAGAATTAATTCCAAGTCAATTCAACGTAGCATAGTAGTAAAAGATCATACAGCCTTTGTGATTGGAAAGAGTCTCATTCGAACCTTGATGCAAGTTGCTTAACGCCTCTACACCTCAGTTGCTCACCTGTAAAGTGAAGGTAATAACAGCATGTGCACCATACTTGTATTATAAGGATGAAGTGAGGTTTCATGAAAAGTAGTTAGCATATTACCTGACACACAGTATGTCTCATAAAAGTAGCTATCACCATCACCATCACCATCATCATCATCATCATTGTTATTAACTGAAGAATCATAGATAAACATGCATTTTCAATTGTCATTGAAAGGCGGAGAGAAGGCTGCAAATAATTTTATGAAAGCATATGTTTAAAGATTTTAGGACTAGCTCTTCAATGGGTTTGTCTGAATATACATATATGGATGGGTGATTGGTTGAAATAGAGCATAATTTTTCAAAGTGTGTTTAGGCAAAACAAAAACAACCGAAAAGCCTAATTTTTTTTTTCTAGCCATTTACTGGCTGTGATACCTTGGACAAAGTCATGGCACACATTAAGAACTCAACAAACAAAGTTTTATTGGTATTATCATTATTTTACATATATATATATACACACACACACACATAATGGTGACAAAAGAACCATGTTGGACAAAAAATATTTATATGCATGATGTCCTAATAACTTTGTTAGGTCTTACACTCAAGCGTTAGACTCAGAAGAGAGAGGAACATAACATATTTTGAAATTAGGTTTATATAAGACTTTCTCTTTATAAGCTACAGATTGTTGATAGGCTAACAATAAGCTTAAACTTGTGTCATTTGAAACTACACACACACACACACACACACATATATATGAATCTGTGCATTCTTATACAATTCTATGCCCAAATTTCATATTCCTATCATCCTTTTCTATATCAGTAGCTCATTTTCAGAGGTAATGTTATTAGTGCTCTTCACTCTCATGGACAAATTAAGTCCAAATCAACACATACCAGACCTTCCTGAAGCTCTCAGCGGACACCCAACTTCGTGATCCTTGGTTTCGTGTGAAATTGCCTCCTCCTAAAGGCCAGACGGGAAATCAGGACTTGGAATAAGCACAGCTCTCCAGCTCTGCTCCTGCCTTGGCAATTTTGATATTTCACAAGAATTGCTGTGTTTTTTATAAGAATGATAAAAAGGCAGATATAAAGGCAAATATCAAGAAGACTTCTGGCTGACAAAAGCAGAATTTGGAGAGAAATGTGAAAATAGTGACTTACTTCAGCAACAGAGGGAGTATTTTTTATACTTTAGGTTTTTTTTTTTTTGTAAAATCATGACTTTCTAGTAAATGACATCCTAGAAGATATTTATCAAAGCAGGAAAGCCGTGGAAAAGAGCACCTCGCATTCACTTTAATATTTTGCCTTTTCTTTTGACATTTTCTTGCCTAGAGATCTAATTCCATTAAATATGTACTTTTTTTGACTGGAAGTCTTCTTCGTGGATCTTTCAGATAAATCTTAAAAGTACATAAGGTCTGTAGGGCAGCTTTTTTTTAAGTGCAAATGAGACACACAATAGAATATTGTCTATGAGGGTTTCCAAATTATTTATACTCCTGCAGAAATTTACCTTGCGTTTTCTGTGATAATGATAAGGGAAAAGGTAAGATTCCAATATGCCTTCTGTGGAGCACTGTCAAACCATATTAGTCCTATTTAATATCTGACATGCAGGAATTTACTTTGGCTGATACCCACTTTGATTGGCTTTATTAGGCATTGTCAAGGCTGTAACTTTGTCTGATGGACAAGGTAAATAGAAGTGTAATCAAGTGTCAAGTTAGCAGCGCACTCGGTAATATTCCATCATGCCTTTGCAAAGGGACATGGCTTCACTACTCTGCTTCACCATGACACTTCTCTAGGACTTTGGAGTGAACATGTTTGCTAAATTGGAAGATTACATTCCCACTGTGGTGAATTGGAATGTCTCCTAGTAGACTTCCAAGCATATACTGTTGCATCCGTAATTTCTTCTGTTGCTTTTATTTATCATTCCCTATGCCTCCAACTATTTTTCTGCATTCATATGAAATCAAACTCCCACCACAGGATTCACAAATGTAGGTTTTTAGAATGTCACATTTTATGGTTAGTCACTGTGGGAAACGGGCTACAGTTGAGGGGACCCAAAGTTGGAGTTGAGGGTAGGAGTAATCCAGATTTGGGTTATGCTCTGCAGCAGAACTACTACTTCATTACTACATATCTTCTAGGTGTGATCTTTTCAGTACGTAAGAGCTTCAGTATATCAAGGGAAAATGCAAAGTCATTGAATAAAGTGAGTAGGAGCACTGAGAAGCTACGGCAGGGCTGAAATACTCAGGTTAATATGTGACATTACTCAGAGGCTCAGTAATGCAGTGCAGGCTCCAGCCTTCTCCTGCAAACCAGCTCAACTGATGGCTGCCGGCTAGGCTGGTAGTCCTATGGGTCCTATGGGATAGGAGAGGAGACCACAGTTAAGAATAGTTTTTCCTTTGCATTATAAAGGCAGGAAAAAAGTCTGTGATTATAAGGTTCTCTGCTTCCAAATGATCCATCTAAAAACTATGAGACTAGACATTAGAAAGACAAATATGAGGACCCAGAAGAAAGAAGAAAAGAAAGGGAAATAAAGAAAATCTTCTAGCCCTAAACACAACTAAATCATATCTCCAGTCCACCTTAGACCTCTGGTTTGTTAAAAACAACTTTGCATGAGAAGAGTTGATTCATTTTTCCCCCATATATATCTTACAGCTTTGGGTCATCTCTGGTCATTAGATAATTGTAGTAGCTTTACACAACTAATTTTTCTATTGCCAAAGACAAAGATGTGTTGGAATTTTTGCATGGTGGAGGAGATAGTGGGAATGAAGGAAGAGTGCAAAATATGTTGCCTTTGCAAAATTGTCATCGAAAGGATAGCCAGAACATAAATGATACTGTTTTGGCTTCAAAAGGGTAAGCAGGTGTCTTCAAAGTCCCAAATGAGCTGTGTACAAGCTTGTACAAACAAGCGCAGAATCAGGCCTGTTTGTTATTCACACAAACAGAGTGTAAACCATGTGAATTCCACAGTTCCCAGGATTCAGATGGTGCACAATGGTCCATAATGAGCAGCACCTGTGCTTACCTCAATTACCAGACAGTTCTCAACAGCAGCAGAAAGGGCTCACTAGAATTGTTTTTCAATAATAGATTTAGTTATGTCTTTCATAATTGGATTCAAAAGCTCAAAATTTCATTTTGCAACTTGTTCATAAAATTTGTATGAAAAAGTCTGGCATTTATTCAAAAGAAATAGTCTATGAAGAAAAAATTGCAAAACAGCCAACCGCTGGTAACTAAGCAGCCAAATTATAGTCCAAGCACTTGGCAAATACACCGTCTTTTTATTATTTCAGTAATTGAATTTCTGTTAAAGCATGGAGCATAATTTAACATGAGGAATTTATTTATAGTACAATAGTGTTTCAGTAATAAATGCATTATGATTGTCACTTTTAATGGAGTCTTATGTATTCCCTCTGAGACTGTGTGGCAGACTTTGAGACAGCCACTGCACCAGTGTTGTTTGTAGACAATTGAATTAATTGGAGACATGGTCATTAACTCGACCTGAATACCTCTGATTGCTTCTGTAAATAAGGTTAGAGAGCAAATGGCTAATCTTCGTTGTCATTATAGATTCCTCTTACATTTTCACACTGCCTTGTATATTAAGATCATTTTGCTAAGCAGCTTTTGAGACTCTCCTTATATTTACAGTATTGTCTTGCGTGGCACATAACCATAATTGTATCAGACTTATATTACATTCTCCATATCTTTATAAAGCACGATACTAAAAAAGAACCTATGTTGAATCACAACTCATAAAAACCATCAGACCAATAAATGAATAAACCACAGTGTATAAACCATCGTATTAAAGGAAAGTAAAACCACACCGCAAAAGTTGCTTTGGTCTCCTCTTACAGATCCTCTTAACACAGGATGGCCTCCCAAAGATGCAATCACTAAAGAAAGAGCACAACAAGGAAAGCATTGATTAAAATATCTTTATGTTTCAGTTGATGTCATGCCCTTTCTTGCCCTTCTGTAACAACATTAGTAACATGCAAATCACAGGAGGTTAGGTTCTTTCTCCTTGTTCATTCTAGAATGGAGTTACATAAGAACTATTTCAAATACAGATATTAAAAACTTTTGAATATTTGACTTACCATGTTATTTTTGTAGCTTCATCCTGTTATAGGTATGCAAGATATTTAGAGGGGATTTGGAGAAAAAAAATCTTCTCCCTTTATGACTCAAATAATTCAAAAAGTGCATATACTGGAAACATCTCTAAAAATGGACTTTCCAGTCATTTTATAATTCAGACATATTATAAAGGACCATTAAAACTGTACAGCATTATGTTGAATAATGAGACATTTACAAGTAGGATACCACAAAGAGATGAAAAAGAAGGAAGAGGAGGAGCAGGAGGAGGAGGAAGACAAGAAAGAGGAAGGAGGAAAGAAAAATAATTCTGTGCTTTTATTTTTCCCTTGGCAAGACTGAAATATACTGAATATATAAAAACGATCATTTATACTAGCTCTGTATAAATTATCTATACTACTAGAAGAGTAGATCACTTCCTCATTGTTGTACCAAGCCACTGGAAGCCTATCAGTTTTCATGAGTTCCATGCCTAACTGAAAGTGTTGACATTTTCTTTGGATATTAAATGGGTCATGCCCAAAAGAGAAAAATAACGACCATTTCAATTATTTCAGACTTTTTGCCTTTATATATTCTTATTTTAACACTAATCTTTGTGTATATGATGGAAATGTTACATTTGACTCTCATACATATGAATGTGCATATGTGTATGCTAGTAATCATGGCTAGAACCCAAATGTGGGTTGTTGTATATACATTGGCTGGCAGCAATATCATTTTTAATAAATGACTAATGGCCAACATGTGCTGCAGAAGTCAACATTTCTGTCCTTAGCCAGCTAATAGTAACATTATTTTTAAATTAATGTTATGCACACCATTTGAAGGATGACACTTCTCCCAATGTTTTCACTTCTTAGCCAGCCATCTCAATTAGTGCTGAAATGATTCTACTTTCTTGGTATTAGCCATCTTGGATTTTAACCAACAGGTGTACACACTCTCACATATACACTCACTCAAATGCAGACTGGCACACGTGCATTCATACATACATACATACACACACATTCATCCATTCATGAGGCGCAGGTATATATACACATGCACACACATATTATCTCTTGTTTAAACACCTTGAATTTAGGCACAGTTACCTGAAATGAGTATTGAAATATAATTATAGTGAAAGGGAACATTTTGGCATATAACCTTTCTGGAAAATATCTCTCTGCCAGTGTTTTGCCCAAGTTTCTAACTGGCACAGTAACATACCCAGGTTTTGTCATTAAGAAGCTGTAGTAGTATGGGACTCACAGAAACTGCACTGGATTTTGAGATGTTGATACCATCAGACTAGAAATTACTCTCATCTCACTAAAAGTACATGTCTCCCATGCTTTGCAAGTGAGAATATTTTGTTTATTTGTTTGTTTTGGACATTTAAACCCCACCCCCCAAGTTGTCAAAGCCTTGTCTACACTATAATCCCTAAGATGTGCATTTGTTTGAATTTAGTAGGTAGGGACCCTGTAGCATTGTGATTTGCTGTTGACATACTAAAAGGGGATATGATGTAACCTTCAGAAAATGCAGATTTCTAGATTTTTCTGATGAAGTGGTTGACCACAAATGTAATCTGCTTAACCCCAGAAGGTATTTTAATTCCTGTTTTAAATCCATTTTATTCTAAATTCTTCCTTCTTTGAAATTGCTAAATTTCCTAAATCCCTCTTAATAACAAAACCAAACATCCTGACCTTATTACCACCTGCCTGTTTGTCATCATCACAGGTCCTGCCAGTTCTTGGTGAAATGCCTAAGTTTGTTTCCATTTCTTTCTATGTCAGCATTTAATAGACTCTGTGTTCATTTGTAACTCAGGATTGTCATTCCTCTTGCTATTGATCTAGTTGTAAGCCCTGCCATTCCACATACAGGAGTCAGTGTTGAGTAAGGCTGCCTGTCCTCAGCTATCTTATCACTAGTGGCCATGTACAGACTTCCTCTTGACGTCAAAGGCAAGTTGGGTACAATATCAAATGAGTTCCCCTAACATGAGGAAATTGTGTTCCTCTTTTCTTCTCCCATTTGCACTTGGCCTCCTTCAATTTAACATTGATGAGAAGGGAGACTATTAGCTAGAAGGTAAGATTTTCAGGCAGACTAAAGATCTAGTATTTCCTATGCTGTCATTCAAAATAACAGGCATAAGAACTTCTGTTTAAAATAGCTGGGCTTTTTGACTAGAGGGCTTTTGTGTAGAAGATTTAAGATGTCAGCTTTAAATATGACATTGATAGTCTTTGGCAAAGAATGGGAGTGAATTTTTGTAGAAACTGCCTTTTTTTCTGATTGTTTATTAATGGTCTTTGTGATTTATAGTAAATGCTGGGGAGGATTTCCAGGCCCATTTATCATGAGAAGGGAACACCTTCTTGTTCTTAATGTGAGTGTGTCATAATTAGCAATGCATGTGGGCCAGGAGATTTAACTCTGCCTTTTCTGAAAGTCCTTCAACCTCATATTTAATCCCAAACTGACTGAATATTTTTTCTTCTTTAAGGAAATTAATTATGCCACTGGAAAAATCATCAACTAGAGAGGGAGTTGATAACAGGCACAATGTAGGCTGGGTTGGCTAATGTATCAAAATGACATGATTAGAGTAACTCACATCTTAGACAAATTGGAATAATGGAGTCATCATTCTAATTAAAAACAGGAAGGTCTGTTTGTATGTAGCATTCATTTTCAGTAAGAACCACACCATTTGTTTTTCATGTTCATGCATGTTTGTACACTCTGCGACCCATCAATGGTTGTTGCTCTAAATACCAATTACATTAAAAATATCCATCCAGATACTTTGCATTTTGTCAATGAAACTGAAGCTGAAGAAGGAGTTGGGCACTGTGTCATATGGCCAGCATCCATAGAGGCAGTTGAAGGGTTACAACAAATCCATCATCATGCAACCTATTTGCCTGATTATTTTCATCAAATTAACTTATGCTTCATGATGTTTTTGTGTTCCATAGGCTGGCCTAAGTACTGGCTTCTGTTGATACACATTTCACAGTTAAGTATTGTTCTTTACCAGGTGACTCTGTTTGTGCTTCATTTCTATATATTATAAAGCCATCTGAAGTATTTTCTTATAACAAGAAAATTATATACAATTTATCATGCCGGTCACCCTGGGATATGCAAAATGACTTTACATTCTGGTCCCTGCCATCAAGGAATGTACAATTTAGTGGTGCAGGTTAGCACAACGAAATAAAATCATCTGAGATTAATGAAGTGATAAACTGTGATGCAAAACAGGGAGATATCTGTAAGAATTAAAAAGTCATTAGCGATGACTTCATATTATTTGAATTTGAGCTTGAAAGATAAAGATTTAACCAAGCAGAAGAGAGGGGAAACGTGCCACTGTAGATAGAGCAAACAGGATAAGCAAAGGCATGGAGGCAATGTGGGAGCAGAGAGGAGACAAAAGTCGCATTTCTGTTGGGAATAACAATCAGAAATAAAACTGACACTAAGGTAGGGTGTTGATAGAGATCTAACTCTGAAAACCTTATAGCAAAGAGTGTATATATCTGCCAGAAAGTCATTGTGAATTCTGAAATAGAGAGATCTCATGATACAACATATTGTCACAGAGGGTGAGTATAAAAGAGCAAAGCTTTTAGTTCACCAGGGAATGAGGTCAAGGCAAGTAAGAAAAGAACATTGGATTTGCGGCCAGGCACGGTAGCTCACGCCTGTAGTTCCAGTACTTTGGGAGGCCAAGGTGGGTGAATCACGAGGTCAGGAGTTCGAGACCAGCCTTGCCAACATGGTGAAACCCCATCTCTACTAAAAATACAAAAAATTAGCCGGGCATGGTGGCACACACTTGTGGTCCCAGCTACTCAGGAGGCTGAGGCAGGAGAATTGCTTGAACCCAGGAGGCGGACGTTGCAGTGAGTCGTGATCGCGCCACTGCACTCCAGCCCAGGCGATAGTGTGAGACTCCATCTCAGAAAAAAAAAAAAAAAATAGAAAAGAAAAGAACATTGGATTGGCAATGATGAGTCAGGAAGAGAAGGGTTGTTGCGGGCAGTTAAGAAGCAGTTTTAGTAGCCAAAAGAGTTTCAAAGCCTAATTACTAGGCCTGAAGAAGTTTCCAGTGGTGAGGAAGTGGAACCAATAAGTGTTGACTTTGACCACATCTTTAAGACATTTTCATGGTGGAAGACAGTCAGTGACTTTTTCCTGATTAGGAATGTATGGGCTAGTCTGGGTGACCACCCAGCAGGGCTGTCTGTACATCATCCACTTCTCTTGGCAATATGTTGTGTTGCTGCCTTGTGAGGGTTAGATACAGCAATTTTGCAAGTTACAGTTTTTGCCATTCACTTAGATTTCTGATGATCGTGTTTACAATACAATTATGAAGTAAGATTCATTCAGTAAGGAAACTATATGACTTTTATTTCAGAAATTGCGTATGTGACTTTGAATAGGCTGACTGCAACAAGGTTTTCCTAGCACACAGCGTTGGTGTCCTTCAGTGTTTTCAGCACCAAATTCTTACAACCAGATTCATTAGGTCAGCTGAAGAAAACTTTTTGGATTAATTTTGAGTCTTATTGCTTTCTGAGATGATTAGAAAGATGAGTTTTGTAGTGGGTTTTGATTGTTCTCATTGCCTCTAGCTTGACAGTGTTTAGTCGATGGTCACAGTAGCCTAGTGAATAGGTATCCTTCGATAACTGTTCCTTCTACCTTCTAGTGTTCTTGTGGCAATCAAATCATGGGAGTTAACTTGCTTGAAAACTATCAAGTGCTCTGCACTTAAAAGTATTCTGATCTTATTGATCCAATGATGATGATATCCTCTTGGAACCATAGAGTCACAGAGCAATAGGGATGTTAAGTGCCTACCCAAAGGCAGAGGATATGTCTGTGGACAGTCCTCCCTGAGATTTATAGAGAAGACTTCTTTGTGGCTTTACTCTAGGGTGTATTAAGCACACTAAGCATTTTACAGAATATGTGGTTGATAAAGCCTCTGGTCTTAGAAGCTTACCTTCTAAATCAAGTGTCTGTGATACATCAGGTAACAGATCAGACATGAAGGGAAGCAGACAATACTGATAAGGAGAATGGCATTGACCAACATCACAAAAGAGATGTAGTCTAAGGAGAGATTGGAAGAGCAATGCCCACTTCCCAAATTGAGCAGCAGGTCTAAGTACATTGAGTAATAGGAAAGAAGACATAAAGCACGGAAAAAGGCGGAGGCTTATGCTAAGCCACTGTGAGACTATCTTCAGGAAGACCTGTGCCTGTCTAAGCATGCTTTGTACTTTCCTAGGGAATTCAGCCCGCCATCTGCCTGGGTTCTCCTGACAAGCAGTTGGGCCCCATCTCCGGGCCAGCTTTTGGAACACAGTGGAGGAGATTCCTCCATGGAAGCAGTTTCTGGGTTTAAGACACCCAGTGGAAGTACACAGCCTGCTCCACCTACGATTTGTAACTGATATGATTCCTTGTGGGAAGGTCTTGACCTTGTTGTAGACTCCTGGAGGCTGGCCCTTTCTGGGTTTCTTGTGAATGCAAGCTGCCACTCAATCATTCATTCTCAGCTTTGCAGAGGCCAGAGCTCACGGGAGTCAGTGTTCACATCCACTTGCCCGCCTTTCTTCTCTCCTTTGCTCCCATTTTTAAAAATGGGCTTTAAAGGCAAAAGGTACAAAAATACTTGGCTTTATATGATTTTTTTTCCCACCTGTTTGGCTGTTTGATTGAAACAGCTCTGTCTCATGCCAGAAAAGTCAGTGTGATTTTTTAAATTATTTCCATAGAAACCGAAATATCAGCTTATTCTTCCATATGCAAATTGCAATGCTTTGAAGACATAATGGTCCATTAGCCAACGTTGGCCAGTCTTACTGGGAACATGCTGACATCCTCCATAGTGTCACCTCACCATGTACCATGGTGAGGTTGAATCCAGGTGCCTTTTTTTCATTCAGGTTGAATCCAGGTGCCTTTTTTTCATTCCTTTGAAATTGCAATATTGAAGTTAATCTCATAGTATCCTTAAAACTATTTTTCAACTTGATATGGTTTGGTGCTACATCTCCGTATTCTCAGCTGTAAACTGGAAGTAGTAAGAGTATCTAATTTATCGTGTTGTGGTGCAAATTAAGGGAGAAACTGCAGGGAAGGTGCTCAGTAGCCCAGTTCCTGGCATATAATGAACACTAGCACTACCAGGATGAATTATGCCCTGGATCCCCACTACGGCCATGGATATAGCCTGCTATGACCCTGACCCTTGGCTTGGGCAGTGGCAAGCCACCTTTGAACGTCATTAGTGATCCATAGGACGTGCTCACAGGAAAGAAACATACATTAAGTGAACTGCTGGTGTGGGCAAGTAGGTTCAGGAAAGTGGTAAACTGATATCCCAGCTTATCAGAAGGAATCTGATAGAAATTGTTCAGGAACAATTGCCTAAAGAAAGCTTAAATTTCACCAAGTCAGATTAAAAATGATACAAGGTAGTCAACTTTCTCTGTTGCTAAAGGAGGACAGAATAATTATGAAAAAGTGAAATTCACAGTTCACCTTAAAATTGGGTTTTAGCCTTTAGTTTCAAATTCGTAACTCACCAACTTCTTTTTCTCCCAGTGGCTCCCATCTGAATAGCCCCATGTAGATATTAGCCTTGCCATGCTCAATGTGGTCCACTGGGAGTTATCTGCATCACCTGTGATTATATTGGAACTGCAGAACTCAGACCTTGCCCTAGGCCTACCTAATTAGAATCTGCAGGTTAATAAGATCTCCAGGTGATTCCTATGCACATTAAATTTGGAGAAGCATGGGTTTGTGAGTTTCCTCACCTAAATTACCTCATCCAGCCCTCTTAAAAACCTATGTGATATATTATCCCCATTTTACAGGTAAGGAAACTGAGACCCTTATGTTAAGTGCCTAGCCTAAGGTCATACACTGATGAAGTATCCAAGGTGACACTCAAAAGCAGATCATCTGACTTCCAACCCTATGCTCTTCCCATTGTACTAAAACTGACTCTTTAAAACCAGTAAGGAAAATGCAGCTGTCTAGATATGTGGCAGTGGATTGAAAATGGGAGACGGGGCACAGGTAGGAAAAGAAGAGGCCAAGTGCCTGAGTCTGGTCAATCTACAGAAAGGACAACCAAGCCCTGATTAGTTGTGAGTCAAACATGGTGCTGAAAAGCCATTGCCAAAATCACTCATAATTATCATCTCAGAAAGGAAGTAGGGGTTGAGTAAGTTAGAAGAAATAGGAACCAACAGCT
Source organism: Homo sapiens (assembly GCF_000001405.40). Taxonomy (NCBI): domain Eukaryota; kingdom Metazoa; phylum Chordata; class Mammalia; order Primates; family Hominidae; genus Homo; species Homo sapiens. Next base: position 148,946,135 of record NC_000023.11, read on the forward strand.
GGTGATCGAAAAATGTAAAAAGCCGGTCATTTACAGTTATCATAAAAGTTCCAAACGGTCTGTTTGCAGCCTCTCTGGAAGATGTAACCTCTCATTGCACCATTGATGTGGCATTAATCTACTAGCGTCTTTTTACTCAGAGATCTGCTTCCCAGCACGTCATTTAGCCATCAAGGTTCCCTTCCCAGGGTGGGCTTATATGTTTGGACTTCTCTGAAGGGAAACTAAATTTTACAAACAAAAGAAAATCTGTTCAGGTGTAAGAGGGTGCACTCAGAATTTTAATTATTTGGATCTTGTATTACCTTCCTATTGCTGCCGTGACAAATTACCTCAAACTTAGTGCTTTAAAACAACACACATTTGTTATCCTAGAGTTCTGGAGGTCAAAAGTCAGATGTGGGTCTCACATGGTTAAAATCAAGGTGGCAGCATGGCTGCATTCCTTTCTGAAGGTTCTAAGGAACAAACTGTTTCCTACTCAAGTAAGTTATTAGCAGAATTCAATTCCTTGTGGTTATAGGACAGAACTCTCCATTGTCTTGCTGGCTGTTAACTGAGGGCCAGTTCCAGCTTCTAGAGGCTGCCACATTCCTTGACTTTTGGCCTCCTTCGTCCATCTTCAAACACCAGCATAGCAGGTCAAGTCTTTCTCACATGGCATCACTCTGGCCTCCTCTTCTGCCTCCCTCTTTTACTTGTAAGGATCCCCGTGATTACACTGGGCCCACTTGGATAATCCAGGATAATCTCCCCATCTCAAGATCCTTAATATTTACATATGTGAAATCTCCTTGGCTATATAAAGTAACATATTCAGAAGTTCTATGGATCAGGTTATGGACATCTTTGGGTCAGTCATTACTCCATCAACCACAGATCACTTCAGTCATTCAGGGCTTTAAGCAATGTCATGTATAGTAACTTGTCTGAGAAAATGAATAGGAATGAATAGGTGTGGACCTCCTTATTACTCTTTGCAAGTAAATTGAGGCGGCTCTATTTCAAACATCAGGATGAGATAACAGGACAAACATCCTAGTGTATACATGTTAGGCAAAGACAATCTTTTTATGAAGTTATATCAGGGTGTGGCCCAGATCACAACTGGACCATAATCGACTGTCTGCTCATCAATAGCATCAGAGAATTAGCAGAAAATATATTTGATTGTGACTTGCTTGTGATGATATTGGGATATGAATTATTTTATTTTCAAATTGTGCTCAGGGGGCATCCCAAGGAGGTAGGGAAGCTGCTGGGGACATAGGCTCCCTCCCCTCTCCACATCCCTTGTTTCTTTTTTCCACCACAGCAATTCTGTTTTTATCGGTTTTATATATTATTCTTCTGTGTACACTTTCTATTGCTTTCTATTTCTGCATACACTATTTGTTGCAGAAATGGGCTAAGTGGATTTTCAGGGGACAGGGGAGATGGGGGAAGATTTCAAAACTGCTGACACAGACAAAATGGAATCTTCCCAGTCTCTAGCTAGAATAAGTTCAGGGTTCAGAGTGTCTGCCTCTGGTGGCCTAATGTGATGAGGCAGGCATAATGCTCCAGTTCTGGAACCCAGAGTTCAGAGACAAAAACGAAGGAGGAAGGAAGATAAGATCAGCTGCGGATGTTGATTCCTTTGCCTGAAGTTCATCTGATTACAGCTTAATGATGAAATCAAATATGAAACCATTCTAAATTACCTAATAGACATTTTATCCCAGTAAAACTGGAACACAGTCAAGCTGATGAAATTCATGCAAGTCTTAACTGAAGAGGAGAGTTTCATGTAGGACTCTCCCATTAAACATGTCTTGCTCCATGTCTTTGGCAAGTTCTGGGCCTTGTGAAATGTGTTGCCAAGATCAATATGTGGACTTGCTTATAGAATCCTCCCATGTACATTTCCTATACATAGTCTGGATGCCCACACAGCTTGTTGGAGCAGAATGGCCAATTCATCATCTCTGTTTATCTCCAGAGAAAGGGATTTACAGTTAAATTAGAATTAGAATCAAACAGCACTGGTGCAGGTGTTTGGCTTTCTGGAGGCTGTTAATCTGAATTAGTAAAAAGTCTGACTTATAAAATAGCCTACAGAAGTGCAGTTTTAATCCTGTGAGGTTTATACAATAACCCTGTGACTGATAGAGTACTGTAGAGACAGGACATTCCTAGACTTGCCTTAAGGAGCAGATTGGATTGCACAAATGCCTCCTCACATGTTTCTCATAAAGTCCATAAACAGCCTCACTTAAAATCCCCAATACACTTTAGGTTCATAAGGATTATAATCTTTGAATTGGAAGACACCTTAAATTTTGTGGGTAGTGGGGCCAGTGGTGCAAGTGGTAAAGGAATTTACCAATACAGTTGTAGGTAAAGAAAGGAAGATTTATTAAAGTATGAAAATATGTTGCAAGTTTGCAACAGCAGAGAAGGGGCTGTCTGCAAAGAGGCAGGGGCTGGAGGGAAATTTTACAGGGTCATGCTGGAGGGGGCTATGTGCAGAATGAGGTCATTTTGCCCATGAAACAGGATCATTGTGCCTGTGGAATGAGGTCACTGTTTGGGATTAGCCATCTCTCAGAACAATTGTTCATTGTTCTTCCCCACCTGGGCCCTCCTACACCTGGGGCCCCTTCCTCATTTTTGCTTACTTATCAGGACTCCATACTAAAGATCATCCAACCCCACTTCAGACCCACAATAAGGATTCTTCTCCCACATTCTTTATAGCCACTGGCTATCTGCTCACCTAAAGTGCAGGGTTCACTGGCATGCAAGGTAGTGCATTCTTTCTGTGGTCAGCTGTAAGTTTTTAAAAGTATTTCCTGATGTTGAGGTAAAATCTTCCTGACTAGATCTCCAACTCATTGGTTTTGTATTTACCGTGGAAGTTCAGAACAAGCCCACTCTTTCCCTGCTGCCAGGGCAGACCTGCACATTGTTTGAAAATTTTCAGTATATGTGCCTCTCCCCCCATCCCCAACCCAGAGTCTTCTTCAAGCAGAATAGTCGGTTTCTTCAATGTGGCCTTTGGCCTCTCCATCTTATCTGCATCTATTCATTAATTATGGTGCTACACATTAATCCCTTTATTGCAGAAGAGTCTGGGTGGTGTAAGCATAGAAAGACTATCACATATAGAGTCTAGGGTGCCCAGACTATCTCTTAAAGCCCATTTTTTTCCCCTGTCACTCTCAAGCTTTCCACCAGGGTCAACCGTGTCTGGAGAAGGCACCTTAAACGCCTCCCCAGCTTCTCTCCCACTGGCCTACTCTCTGATCGCCTTCCCCAGCTTTGGATTCCCCCACTAGGGTCACTGACTTGCTAAGCCATCTTCTCTGCCCCCAGTCTGGCCTATGACCATGAAGACCTAATGAATGGGTTTGGGATTAAAATAAAGCTTAGTTCTACTTGGTAAAGATGAATGATGAATACGATAGCAAATTCTGATGAATATGATAGCAAAATCTGATCTTTGAGAAGGTTGAGCAGTTGACTTTGAAGTCATTACAAATGTGGGTCCTTTGAGAAGTTTTGTTACATTGTAGTGAAGTTACTGAGTACACTTTTAATATTTACAGACTATAGAGTGGATGGCTTAATATAGCAAATGTTAATTATTTTTAGTATCAGACATTATGTTTGTTGTAATCACTAGCATTCTTTTTAAAAGCAGTTTATTGAAATATGAAAGTAAATGATGTGTGAAAAATAACATTAATACAGTCTTAGTGAATGAAGAATATATAAACTGTGCATTAGTTTTTCATCTCCTAGGCAGAATCAAGTATTACATGGGCTAGCTTTACTCATAACCACTTTCATGTACATCTGGAAAATAAATTAGTAACGTATGAAAATAAATGTAGCAGAAGTGGAAATTTAACTAGCTGAACAGCTAACAGATTTCAGTGAAGAACTGAAAGTGACATATTATGATGCTTTGCCAACTTGAAAGTTCCATGGTATATTCCAGACAAGAATGTGGCCTTAAGCCAACTATTCAGACATTGATGTTTGTCCTGCTTTTAAAGACAATGTTTCAGTTTTGTACTCACTTTTTGTCCCTGGGAGCAGTCCCAACCGGGCGCAAGGTAGGCCCAGAGGAAATGAGGCCCAGACTCAGATGTAAAGCTTACATTCCTTAGCAGACTGGCTGCATCTACAGTCTCCAGCAAGCCCATGAGCAGAAGATGGAGAGTAGAGGCACAGGAAAGGTGCTGGTGAGAGCAATTTTGCCTCCATTTAAGCAACCATTATTCCCTTCCACAAACGCTGGCTCTCCATTTCCAACTGTGCAACTTCCCGGAGAAAGCAATTCCTTTTCATTAACACACTGAAGTCCTTCACCCCTAGTTTGAGTTCTCATGGTGTCCTCCCTGAATTAAAGTCCACCCTCCTTCTTATCCCCATATCTGTATGTGTAAGTATAAAAAGCTGATGTACTTCTTCTTGTTCTTCCTATACTAATTTCCTCTAAGTGTTCATTGTCAAAATTGACTGTGTTGGAGTCCCACCTGAGAACACAGAAACAGATTTAGCTATAAAAATTCTTAGGATACATAATTTCAGGTCTCATTTCATTGGGTCTCAGTCAAGGTTGCCCTTATGTTTAAAACAGTTTTAATTTCATGTCTTTCTTTATATCTACTTATAAGTATTGTCAAATTTTCATATATGATTTCTATTTACATCCATAATTTCTTACACTTCTGAAATTCAAAAAGTTCTGAGAACCAATATTTTTTCTAACCTTGAGACAAACTCATTTGATGATAAAACCTGACCTAAACTGTTGTAAAGATATTTATTTAAAACATTTATGTATTCCTCTTACTGTGAATGTTACTGCAACAATAGTAACAAGTTTTATTAAGGGGTGCTTATCCAGATCCCACTGAGAATATTATATATGGTATATTCAGCATAGTACTTTTTAAAATTAAAAACATCCGAATACTAAAATACATCTGTTCTCAGAAGGGCTTTAGATAGGAAAGATATATACAAAACACATACACGCACACACACACACACGCACACACACACACACACCCCAATTTTTCTACTAAATCCATGGAACTTTGATTTAGCTGAGGAATAAGTTGATTTTGGTAAATAAATCATCCCTGCTTCATGTGTATCACCTTAATGTATTTGGTTTTGAAGGAGTAATCCCAGGGATTTTTTTGTTTCTTACAGAAGTTGCTAAAAAATTATCTAGTAAGTGGAACTCTATCCAGAAATATTCCAAAGTCAACCTAGAGTCTATTTTAGCTTAGTAATAGCAGGATGACCAGCTTCGTATTAAAAGAAATGAGTGCATAAATGTGAAATGATACTAGGAAACAGCCTTTTCTCTTGAGAATCATAAATGTGGATACAAATTAGATTTTATCCCTCAATCCACCACCCAGTATTCTCAGTGTTGCAGATGCTCTGTGTTATATTTAAAACTTCACTTGGGAGGAATTGAGGCCAAGTTAGCCTAATCTCTGGATTAGTCTCACTTAGATTTCTGTTCTCTCAATCTTTATTTAGTAACCGAAGACAAAAACAATTGATTAGATTTAAAGAGAACTTTGCATAAATAGGGTATCATTACTGACACTAAAGAGAGATCTACAAAGGAATGCAGGGAAATAGGAGCCCTGTTATAGGTCTCCTCCCTTTCCCCCCCACTGCTGGAGAAAGACACACAGTTCCCAGGAGATACAGTAGTCTCCTTATTTCTTGTACTTTCCCTAATCTCTTGATGTACTTGACAGAGAAATGTACTTGTAGTTCGCATTTACTAAGCAGATAGCAGTTTAAAATGAGCTTTCACTATGTTAAAGAAAATGTCTACCTGGGAGATTAAAGGGCCAGTCTTTAAGGACACACGGCACAGGAAGTGGATAGGCCCTCTGCACTGAGTAGTGACTGATGAGGAGCCTGTGCTGGCTTTGAAGGGATCCTATTCCTTCCCAAGCAGCAGCTCAGTATGGCTCCAGCTCAGTGAGTGAGAGTTGTAATGTTGGAGAAGAGGCTCTAGTGAGGGCATAGGGTGGGGTCATGAACTCGTTTGGGTTCAGGCAATGAATAAAGGTCTGTGCTCCTTGAGCTGGGGGCTGGGGAATTCTTGCGGATCCTCTTTCTCACATTTGAACATGGGGCCACAGGACCAGGTGACCTCCAGGACCATACTGGGCTCTCTTGACTGAGCTGCTGCTTCAGATTTGTGGAATGCGAGGGAGAGAGCAAGTCAGGTTGCTGCTGCATGCAAGAGGCTGCGAAGGCCCAGTAGATGGCAAACAGACAAACAGGCCCCGAGCACTCCCCTCCCCATGAGCTAAACTGATCTCCAAAGAGGGGTTAGGCTGAAGACACAGAGGGAGATTAGAACCTTCCCCCAAATTTAGAGACCCATTTCTGAGAGAAAGCAAAATTCAGTCCAAAGCAACAATGAGAAAAAGAAAGGTGATGGCATACCCCAGTGTACCAAGTTGCAGCTGAGGCTGACTTGTTATAGGACGCAGAGAGCAAACGATCGGTATGGAGGAGTATTATTTATCAATAAAGGCAGAGTAGCAAATGGTGTCACTTTCCAAATGCTTTGCTTGGTCAGCTTTACAAATTTAAAATCAATCATTACAGCTGGTTGCTCTCTTATGATCATAACTCCTTGTAAGAGTTACAAAGAGGTTATAAAAAGTATGGTGGAGGAGGCCTAGAAGTGTGTTGTCTCATTCCCTTATTCATGCACCCAACAGACAGAAATTGAGGACCAACTCTAGTCACTTTGGGGCTGAGCGCCAGGCCCTCAGCAATGAATATGCTCAGCACAGCTAGTGCCCTTTGAAGGAGCTGGGGGGCCAGGGTCCTAGGTGCTAGTCTTGGCTCTCCAACTAGCTGTGAGGCAGAGACCAGCTCCACCCCCTTTCTGAACCTCAGTTTCCTCTAATTAAAATGATAATTGAACTCACTCCTTCTTGGTAATAGAACTATATACCATATGTTTAGCTAAGATCAGAGCCCCTTGACGAACCTGTGGGGTATTGAACAAGGGGGCAACAAAAAATGAAAAACTACCTTAACTGAAAAAAATGGGACAGTTCAACATCTAAGGCACTACATCTATATCTGCATCCAGAAGGCATGCAAACTTGGCTTAAGGTTTTTATGTTGAATGAGGGTGGCAAGGCTTTTCTGGAAGACAAGGCAGTGTGATGGAAAGCCAAGGAACTTGCATACACATAGGCCTGGTTCTCTTCAAAGCTTTCAACTTGGGCCAGTCACTGGGCCTCCTAAGCCTCACGTTTCCTATCTATAAAATGGGAACGGTAAACCCCACTCTACCTGCATTTCACAGACCACAGGCCCTTCACCTGAACTGGGCTGTTTTCCATCTTATTTGAGAGTAAATGAGGCAATGAATTATGTTGTTTTTCTTTCAGCCCACCCTTGGCCACTCCCCAGCCCCCACCTGCAGTGCAAGCCAGCGGGGGTTCTGGCAGCTCCAGCGAATCGGAGAGCAGCTCTGAGTCGGATTCAGACACTGAAAGTAGCACCACTGACAGCGAATCTAATGAGGCACCTCGTGTGGCAACTCCAGAGGTGAGTGAAGGTGCCAGGGCCCTAACCATGATCTGCCTGTCCCACAGGCAGCACCCTCAACACACACACACACAGACACACACACACACACACACACTTTCAGCACAATAATTAATAATTAATTTAGCATGATAACCACTTCAGAAAAGTACCCAGATTTTTAACAGCACTTTTAAAAAGCATATATTCACATACTCCTAACATGCATACATTTTTTGCTGTGTGACTGATTTGCTGTGTGACTCACTTAGCTTCTCTTAGCATAGTAAAACTAGCATAGTAATGAATAGACTAGCAGCTTGTCTTCTGAGAGAATCAATGAAGCCAGTCAAGATCCAATTCTGGCCTTGGGGACACTAACCCTTACTCTAGATTAAAGTGATTAAAGTGTGAATTGCCACTTGGCAAGTAAGACCCAAGAAGTATGGCTTTCCTTAACGGTAAAATGATTATTTAAATGTTATATGTTCTTTATTTTAATATGCATCCTTCAAGTGTGTTTGATAATAATTCACCAAAACATTTAACACAGCTCCATGAAATACTAAAATAATAATTTTGAAATAAAAGAATTTGCTTCACATCCTCTCTGAGTCCAGGATAGCCGCTCAATTTCCCTGAGCCTGCATTTGGTATAGCAAGTAAATTCCACCCTCAACCCCCGGCTCTTCATACACTTGTTTTTCAATAATCAGAAAAGAAAAATAGGAGACAATAATAATATTACTGCTATTAATAATAGAAATACCTGTTGAACATGGACCATGCATGTGCCAGGCACTGTGCTGAGCTCTTGACTTGCATTTTCTCATATTATCCTCATGACAACCTTACAGAGTACTTATTATTATTTTTGTTTTACAAATGAGAGAATAAGGTTCTAGGAGGTTAAAAAGAACTTTCCCAAGACCTCACAGATAGACAGTAGTAGAGCCAGGACTGAAAACCCTGGTCCATGTGTATCCAGAGCTGATGTTCTCAACCTGAAAGCTCCACTGCCCACAGTGGCTGCTGATACAACTTCCTCAACCCTTGCCTGCCATTGTCTTGTGCAGGTTGCTATCACAACTACTCAAGTGTTTTTAATTCTGTCACCCTCTATTGGCTGGTACCATAAGCCTCAGCTGATGGCTTTCAAAGGAAGAGCTCTTCTAATAAAACTGATGGCAGAACTCAGAGTTAGGAATCAAGGACCCGAATAGTATGTATCATTGCCATGGTTTAGTGGATGCTAATGTCTGCATGCATGTTCCTATAAATTGGTTATTGCCCATACACCGACGAAAGCTCAGTGGTTTCTATTTTTTGGAAGTAAAATCTTTTTGTCCTTCAGTAAAAATACAAAAGGCCTGATTTGTTTGCAGGGAATGACAGCATCACATAGAAGGCACTGGCACTCTGGCAGCTGGAAAGCCTTTCCTTTTGAATTATACTTGAGGTGTGCTTACGTTCCTTTCAGGATCAGAGACTATTACCTTTGCCTCCTGGTGAGAGGTTGAGTGATGATTCCCACAAAGGATTTTGGAAACAGGTTTCCCTCATTGGCATCCCTGCCAACCCACTGGAACATCTCTCTGTGAATAATTCTTTTCTTCCTGGCCAAACTAGAGAATATTTTCAGAGAAGGAGTCGAAATGAGCTTAAATAAGTAGACTGCAGCTGGTTTGTATCTGACTATTTAGGTCATTTGAATATTATGGATAGTGGGTATGTGCAGGTGTGTGTGTATGAGTGTGTGTATTTGTATATGTGTGAACAGTCACTTGACATCCAAAGCTTTTAGTAGTAGTCTCTGTACTCAGGGTTCTCTTGAATCCTTCCCAAGTGTAAAAATCATTCTTGCTGCTGTTTCTCAATCTGCAGCCTGAGCCACCCTCAACCAACAAGTGGCAACTGGATAAATGGCTTAACAAAGTGACATCCCAGAACAAGTCTTTTATTTGTGGCCAAAATGAAACACCCATGGAGACTATTTCTCTGCCTCCTCCAATCATCCAACCAATGGAAGTCCAGATGAAAGTGAAGACGAATGCCAGTCAGGTCCCAGCTGAACCCAAAGAAAGGCCTCTCCTCAGTCTCATTAGGGAGAAAGCCCGTCCACGGCCCACTCAGAAAATTCCAGAAACAAAGGCTTTGAAGCATAAGTTGTCAACAACTAGTGAGACAGTGTCTCAAAGGACAATTGGGAAAAAACAGCCCAAAAAAGTTGAGAAGAACACCAGCACTGACGAGTTTACCTGGCCCAAACCAAATATTACCAGCAGCACTCCCAAAGAAAAAGAAAGTGTGGAGCTTCATGACCCACCAAGAGGCCGCAACAAAGCCACTGCCCACAAACCAGCCCCTAGGAAAGAACCAAGACCTAACATCCCTTTGGCTCCCGAGAAGAAGAAGTACAGAGGGCCTGGCAAGATTGTGCCAAAGTCTCGGGAATTCATTGAAACAGATTCATCTACATCTGACTCCAACACAGATCAGGAAGAGACCCTGCAAATCAAAGTCCTGCCTCCGTGCATTATTTCTGGAGGTAATACTGCCAAATCCAAGGAAATCTGTGGTGCCAGCCTGACCCTCAGCACCTTAATGAGTAGCAGTGGCAGCAACAACAACTTATCCATCAGTAATGAAGAGCCAACATTTTCACCTATTCCTGTCATGCAAACTGAAATCCTGTCCCCTCTGCGAGATCATGAGAACCTGAAAAACCTCTGGGTGAAGATTGACCTTGACTTACTCTCTAGAGTACCTGGCCACAGCTCACTCCATGCAGCACCTGCCAAGCCAGACCACAAGGAGACTGCCACAAAACCCAAGCGTCAGACAGCTGTCACAGCTGTGGAGAAACCAGCCCCTAAGGGCAAACGTAAGCACAAGGTAAGCTGTCTAAAGTGGCCTGCCAAGTGCTTGTGAGCAGTGTCTGTTTGTTGTCTAACTTGATCTTGAGCCTCATCTTCAAGGAAGCCAATGGCAGTGCATTGCAGATTTTGGCAAAGGTGATGATGCTTTCTGTGGGAAATGCAGTATTTGACATGACCAGAGAGGAAAAACTAGAAATGATCTGTAGCCAGTGGCAAGAGTGTCCATTATGGCATATGAGGGCTTATGATGTGTAGGAAAGAAAAATATGAAGAAAGTCTCCTTACTTAGGCAAGGCACGCAAGTGCCCTCAATGTCCAAATGCATCTTCTAGGGCTTTTTAATTTCTCTGGACAAACATTAGCATCTCCACAGTCCAGTTATACTCTAAGTCTCCTGGGTCCTACCAACCACATGTTCTTCCCAGCCTGCTGGGATCACTGATCTATGTGGTAGGCTTGACTTGGGAAAATTTTACCTGCAGAAGGCTAGAGCTGAATTCCAAGGCTATAAAGTATACTCATAAGGTGAAATCCAGAGTGGCCCTTTTCATTTGAACTATGTCTAGAGAAATGGTTTGGTATCCAGTATGCTCATTCTGTCGTATCTCCACATCTCAGGGTACTTTTTTTAGAGTGATGTTATCTCATGATGATATTCAGGTAATCTTATTTCTAAGGCTGCCACAGTGGCTAGAAAGGAGGTTCCAAGTCCTTTCTTCATTTATTCTGTCCCTTTCCAGGAAAGACTTAAGATTCCTCATTGAACCGCAGCCCCCACTGTGGCCAGGCCATCCGACTGACTAGGATGATGCAAAAATGATGGCAGTCATCATTCAGCTTGACTTTACAAGTTCCAAAACAGAGGATATTCTCTCGGAGTTGCATACCTAATGAGAGTACAGTTTGAGCATCCCAAATCTAAAAATCCAAAATCCAAAATGCTCCAAATCTGAAACTTTTTGAGCACTGACATGACACTCAGGAGAAATAAGTGTTCACTGGAGCATTTTCAGATTTTGGATTTTTGAATTCGAGATGCTCAACTGGTAAGTTTAATGCAAATATTCCAAAATTCAAAAATATTCAAAGTCTGAAACATTTCTGGTCCCAACTATTCTGGATAATGGCTACTCAGCCTATATTCCAAAATAGGGACCAAGAAGTCAAAGACCTTTGCCCTACCACTGATTCTCCACATTTAGTGATGACAACAGTACAACCACAGCTGACAGTGTACCTTCAAAACAGCACATGCAAAAGTCCAAAGGTGTGCTTTGAACGTGGTTCATTTCCTTACGTGATGCTCATTGTGTAAGCAACCTTTATATGTCAGCCATGATCCCCATGCTGCTTGGACAGGATTTATGTCACATTCAAGTTACAATGTTAGTTTCTAAACTACTCATTTGTGGGGGCATTGTTGATGGGAGAAGTGTCCAAAAATTGTATTAATAGATTCTCTTTACTTTTGTTGTGAGATTCCCATGCCACCCAGTCTTTACACAGAGGTTCAGATCACACAGTTGTACTCTCTCAAATGCCAACTTCTTTGTAGGACTCGGCTAGGCAAGGTTGATTGCTTTTCTGTCTGATCAAAGGTGCACATTTAACTCACCTACCTAATCTAGAAGTTAAAATAAAAGCAAACTATGTATCTTGCTCATTTTTAGTGTATAAAATATGGATGTCTGAATGGTGCCATGCATTTCAAGCTCTGTGTATTTTTTTCCCTGTTAAAGCCAATAGAAGTTGCAGAGAAGATCCCTGAGAAGAAGCAGCGCCTGGAGGAGGCCACAACTATCTGCTTGCTCCCTCCTTGCATCTCACCAGCCCCACCCCACAAGCCTCCCAACACTAGAGAGTGAGTTTGCCCTGGCCCTGTCTGATGGCTTGGTATGATTGTTCAGACTCCTAAGAAATCCTAATTGAACCTGTTTGGGGGATCTTGCCCCAGAAGACTTTAAGGTAAAAAACAGGAGTCTCTCAGTCAAGGCCTGACAGCTGTCCCTGGCCACTGGTCTAACAAGGGTGTGATAAGGGGTAGAACATATGCTGCCAGAATTGGGGTGACTCCATGAGCTTTTAGCAACATTTCTTTACTCTAATTCAGATTTATCACTAAAATTAGTCAAAACGAACTTTTAGCACTCAGTGAAGGGTAAAAGGAAGTAAATAAATTAACAAGAAGCATCAAGAGAACCCCTATCACTTTAACCAGATCACCTGCTTCTACCCAACATTCAGTTCTGATGGTGATTACTCAGTTTCCCTGGAAAAGCAACTCCTTGATCTTGACAGAACGAGGCAGCTGCTTCCTCTTTGATGTCATTACTTAACATTCATATGAATCTTGAGGACCAGTAGCTATGTCCGGAACTCCACAGAAGCCAAGGGAATGAAAAAAAAAAAAAAAAAAAGCTGTCTTTTCCTGACACAGAACTGTCCCAGGAGGAGGGCCACTCCCAGACAGCTCATCTCTCTGGCCTCCTCAAACATGTCATTCCAAGGAGCTGGCACCTGTTCTTCCTTCTCTCTGTGTGTGGAAGGTTCCAGAGTCCAGCAGGAGGCCTCCTGGCACCTCCTCACTCAAACAGCTTGAGTCTTCTTCAGAGAAGTCCTGCCTTCTGTTTCTGCCAAGCATTGTGACCAAGTTATTTCTGTCTTATAAATATCACTTAACTAACAATCATGTCAGCAACTTGAACCATTCTGTCTGAGTAATTATTGCCATAAATTCATTCAACATTAGAGATTACTTCCATCAAAGCCAGTTTTGGAGCCTATTAGCAGCCCAGAGCAGAGAGGCAATCTGGCTAACTGCAGCTAACAATTGATTTCACAGATTACAGTTTAACATCAGGGATATGGCATCAATCTGCTACAGATAAGATGTCGGAAATAAGTTATCAGCTTACATTTGTCTGGATCTTTGTTGTTTTGAGATGAAAGGAAAGAAAAGATCAATTACCACTAGATCTGGTTTAACTAATAAGGAGATTTGGGTCCTGGGCTGCCCCCTGCCCCCAGGATCAGTAGTTATTGGTGAGGTTCATCAGTATTCTCTGATATAAGTTTGCTCTGAAACATCCCTTCACATACATACTTGAAGTTCTCAGAACTAGAGACCCTTCCAGTGGAGCAAGCTGACCCCTTCACCTCAGGGTAGACCAGGCATGTGAGGAAGCATGCTCCCCTGATGGTAAGACGTGGTCATTCCAGAGCCCTCCTTCGTTGTTTGCAAGGAGGAAGGACTAAAATGGCATAGCTGTGGTGGCATTGTTCCCTCAGTTTCCAGGCTTGGACCAGTTTGGGCCATCCAGCCTTGCCACAGCCTTTGGTCCCCACTGCTACACTCTCTAGGTGACCCAGTGGCCTGTCGCCTTCCCCATCTTATAAAAGAGAGATGACCAAGTATTACATAAAGGCCTAGTCATTTGAGTTGGTTCTTACCAAATGTCACACTCAGGGTTGGGGTCCACCCCCAGCTGAGGTCTGAGGGGAGTGTGTGGATGTGGAGCAGGGAGCTTGGAGAACACTCAAGAGACAGCAGGTAAATGACACATAGCTTTATTTAGCAGCTCCTTCACTGGGTGAGTGTTACATTTATACATTACACAAACAATAGTGGCTGAGAGCCAGGTGGTGAGCTTCTCTGTGTTACGTCTTCATGGCTATGATTATATAAGACATGGGACTGTGCACTTGTGCCCCAATCCACTGAGTCATCTAGGCTGTTTACCTCAGCCTATGCCTGCTGCCCTATGCCTGCTTGGCTGCAGCACAGCCATGTTCCTTACACCAAATGGTGTCTTTAATCCACTATCTTTACAATGTCTCTGCTTTTCTAGTAGGTGGGAAAGCAGTGTTTCCCTTGTAGCCTTTATCGTTCAGAAAGAGCCTCAATTAGTTTCTTACGCCCATCAAACAGATGAGTTTTCTCTGGAAAACTTTCTGGAGTTGAAGAAGAATGAAGCAATGACTGACCTCTTAGGGGTCTCCTCCTGGGAATCCCCTCCTCAAGCTTTGCACCTTTGTGCCTTATTAACCTTTCAAACAAAATGGGAGACAACATTCACTTTTCTAAATGACTATTCTAAACCTAACAAAGATTCCACACCAGACTATGACAGCTATAGTTCCCCATAGTTCAACAGAAGGACTCTCCTGGACCTCCCCTTCTTCTTTAGAGCTGGTACCTTCAGCAGGCCCTCTGAGGAATTGAGTGCAGGTGGTGATGCTCTTCTTTTGTCTCCTGTTCTACTCTGGCCTATTGGAAGAGGTACCCAAAGACGCAAAAGCTGCTTTTCTAGTTGTAAGTCATAACAATGACTGAGTGGTCTCTAGAAAATGCTCCCTAGGTGTCTTTCACCAAGAAAGTCCTTAAAGACCCCGTGGTTCCAGATCATGACCAGGCAGATGTAAAGGGGGCCAGGTCACGGGTGCTCACTGTACAGAATGCACTGAATCCCCGCTGGTTGCTTTAGTGGCAGACAGGCAGGCATTGCATGACTGTAGTTGCCAATGGCAAATTAACTGCCTCTCAGAAGCAGCTCTTTCCCTTGAAGCCCCCAGTTTCTCCTCAGGCAGCTCAAGTAGTGGGGGAGTATTTACAGCTAATGAACCACCATTCACCTCCTGTAGATGCCACAGCAATGCTTGACATCCACACGTATAAATTCCCAAAGGCCTGGTGCCTTTGTAATTATTACACTTAATGTGATCTGCTTGTTGTGGAGCTTCCTCATGGACAAGAATCTTAATCCATATGTTCACCATCATTTTAATCAGGCATCACTACTATTTTAAAATGGTTATACATGTCAAAGCAATTTTTCAAATCCATTGGAAAGTATTTTTAATTAATTTTAATCAATTGAGGTAATGACAGAAACAGTTGCGTTTTTTCAGTTTCGCTACACAACAAAAAGTAACATAGGGCCACATTTATGAAACAAAAGATGGAGAAGATGACACATATTACAATTGGCAATTTTGTGCAACACAGTGGAAGTGGGCCAAGGAGTCTGCATTGACTTCTATTTCAGGGAATCAGACCACTTGAATGCTTGTTCATCTTTGATTTGTTGCTTTGAGATATTGTAAATCTATATTTCTAGACACTGACTGAAATTGACCAAGAGGAAAACATAAATTCTTGTTGACTTAATTTGCCATTGAAAATTGTAGTCAATAATCATGAAAAGTAAATAGCTGCACAGTGCAATATTAGTTGTCTAAGCAAAGATTAAAATTCAAGTAATCTTCCTTGATTAGTCTAAGACAGTAACTAAAATGAAAATCCATGACCCAATTACCATGTTAAGCAGCTAGCATAAGGTTTCAGTTGTTCTGTTTCATTTGAAGTCTCAGACTATTTGGTGGTGCCCATTTAATGGGCAGATAAATCAGTTTGAAAGCACGGGAGTACTTTTAAAATTGCAGATGTCTAGTGTGAATATGACAAAATAACATTTTTAAATGGAGTTTTGTAAAGTGGAGTACATCAGTACTTCAGTATAACAATTTAAGGTCAGAGGCTCATTATGCTTGGCGTTGGAGTAGAACATTCTGTATATACAATTTGCAATGTATGTCGCAATACTATTTAGTGCATTATTTATTTCTAAGTAATGCGTAAGCATAATATTTCTTAAGAAAGTATTCTTCCACTGATTCTTTATTGTGCCATTTATTGCATGATTGTGCAGTTAAGTCCTAGGGCAAAATAAGTAGGAACCATCCTGAAAAATGATGGGATTAAAGTCCTCATTGTATTTTCCATAAAAATCTAATTAACAGCAATCTTGAAAAGTTGAAAATATCCTACTGTAGCACACTCCATTAGGCATTTACATTTGTCATGGAGTTCTGCTGCAAAGACATGAGTTTATTCTTGGATACATATGTATGCATATATCTATATTTATATAGAGAGATATCTATATCTATAAAGATATCTATATCTATGTCTATATGCATTTTTAGATATGCTCTTCACCATAGGTAGAGGGACAGCAATTAAAATATGACTTCAGCTTACAGTACTAGCATCATGGGGAAAATCAGAATAAAGAGAGAGAAGACTTTATGACACCCTACACTTCTTGTTTTTCACAGAAATAATTCATCCAGGAGAGCAAATAGAAGAAAGGAAGAAAAACTATTTCCTCCTCCACTTTCCCCACTGCCAGAGGACCCTCCACGCCGCAGAAATGTCAGTGGCAATAATGGTCCCTTTGGTCAAGACAAAAACATCGCCATGACTGGACAAATCACATCTACCAAACCTAAGAGAACTGAAGGCAAATTCTGTGCTACTTTCAAAGGGATATCGGTAAATGTAAGCATCTTGGAAGAAATATTATTATTGTCAGGTAGAAACAAGTTAACCAGCTCATCTAACTTGATCATTTGGGGATGTTGCAGGAGGAAGGGAGGAAGATGCAGAGAAGAAATATGAGAGGCCTGTGTATACAAATACACAAACTTTCCATTATTTCTTTTTGTATAGTGCCTAGTATATTGTCACAAATCATTAGGGATTATAAATGATACAGATGTTATTATGACAATGATAATGCTTAAAAGAATCTGCAAAGTCATTTCCACAAGGGCTAAAATCTACTGGGGAAACATGATAAATATATTAATATTTGCTCCTAGAAATATATCATCCTTCTTAGGGAAATCACTAGGCTTCTCTGATAGCAGTGAGCAACCAGTGCCTCTTCTTGGGCCATTCTTTCTATTAATGATTTGAAATCTAGGAGACTTTGTGGCATAATTTTTGCCTTAGCCTGTGATTAAGACACTTAACTCTTGTATAGTGCTAGCACTGCAACAAATTTGCTCGATAACTCTGGGCCAATCATGAAACATCTCTGAGATAATAAAATGAGGGGATTTGACTAGATGATCTATAAAGCTTCTTCTAGCTCCAAAAACGTTTGCAATTTTGTGCTCGCAGAGTCTTCTCTATTCCATTTAGGCATGAAGTCCTGTTTATTGACTCAACAGGTGAGTGAGTGTGGAGAGATGACATTTTTATGTAACTTACATGATCATGGCTGAATTCAGCCATTTCCAGTCAGATGTGCCAGGACTGACATAAATGCCGTGGGTGGTGGATGTAATGTTTCAGGGTTCTTGCCACATATCTTGGCCATAGAGACAAATGACACTGTCTTGGGCTGGCCTAACTGTTTGGTCTAGGCCAATCGGGCTGTGGCAGTGGAGACACGAAGCTGGCTTACAAGTTTTTTACGGCTCTGTTTCCTTTAAAATGTTTGGGTTGAAAAAAAATCTTTATTTTCTTCGTATCCATCATAACAATTTGTAGATGATGCGTAGGTTCTCAGCACATTTATATCAGTGAGATCTAGGTGGTAATAATTATTTTGTATTCAGAAGGTCCAGGATGAAGTGTAAAAGATCCACAGAAATATAAGAAATACATTTCACATTTGGCTTTTATCTTTAAAGTGACCCTGTTGACTATGGCAAGTGTCTGTGCATATGTGCATGCATGCACTCAGCAAACACTGAGGGCACTGGGCTGTGGGGTGGAGGGACAGTATCGTAAATCAGAGATGGCTCCAGTGCTCAAAGAACTCTCAGTCTAAAGTGAGCAATGAGACATATGCTCAAAGGACTAGAATATAAAATAGCTGGTGATTGGTGTCTTAGGGCAGGGATAGAGACAGGTCTCTGAATGGTCCAAGGAGGATTAAAGTACTTCTGGCTGTAGGCATAAGGTAGTTTTCCTGGTGGAGGAGGCGTTTCCTGAGTTGATCCTTAATAGATGAGTAGGGTTTAAAAATGAAGGGAAGTGGATGAAGAAAATGTGGTCTATCCACACAATGGAAAAGGAAGGAAATCCTGTCATATTATGCAACATGGATGAACCTTTAAGACATTATGCTAAGTGAAATAAGCCAGACACCAAAGGCCAAAACCATGTGATTCCGTTGACATGAGGTCCCTGGAGTAGTTAAATTCATAGAGACAGACAGTAGAATGGGGGTTGCAAGCGCCTAAGGCAAAGGGTAAATGGGGAGACACTGTTTAATGGGTACAGAGTTTCCGTTTTGCAAGATGAAAAGAGTTCTGGGGATTCACAACAATGTGAATGTACTTAACATGACTGAACTGTACACTTAAGAATGGTTAAGATGGTACATTTTATTATATGTGTGTTTTACCACAATTATGAAAATTTCAAAATGCAATAAAAATAATAAGTTGAATAAATTATCACCAGGTGGTAAAAAAAGAAACAAATGAATGGAAGGCTTTTTGAAATCTAAAACTTCACATGTATCATCAAATCAGGAAAGTGAAAAAAGCGGGGACATGTTCAGTTCAGTTGAAACTAAGGTTCATGGAAGGGAACAGTCAGAGATTGGGCAGAAAGCTGCAGCCAAATCAGGTAGGGCCTTGAGTGCCAGCAAAGGAGCTTCAGCCTTGAGTTTGCATTTGAGTGCAGAGCAGGGAGATGCTAGGAACTTTGTTCAGGAAGCTCAAGCTAGCAGACAGCAGATTGAGGGTGGAGGGAGAAGCTAGCTCAAGGGCTGGGAGTCCAGCCAGGAGACTCTTTGTTAGTCTCAGTGAGAAGCCATGAGGGCCTGCATTTTGAGGCTTTGAGGGAGAAAGGGACAAATTCGAGAGATGTTGGGGAGATACAATTAATAGGAGTAATTAACTGCAATTAACTGGTAATGTTGAGGGAGAAAAATTAAAGATGAAATAGAGGAATTGTTTTCAAGAAGAGTTCTAGGAGCATTATCATTTTTCAAAATGAAGTAATTTACAGAACTTCAATATATAAAGCTGATTAAAGCAGAGCAGCTCAGATGGAAGGAAAGGTGGGGAGTCTCTACCTTGCCAGTTTCAGTGCCACTAGCCCAGATACTACTGCAGTTCCCTGTGTAACTGTGCCAAAGTCAGTTTGGAAACTCTTTATTGACACGGAGAAATTCAGCTTTGATGACAGGGAAGACCATCCTGCCATTAACAGAAAGACGAAACTGGTTTGATTAGTGATTTGGTTTGCCAAAAATTTGAGGCGCTAATGGCCATGTTGGTAGAATTGTCCTAAGATGGTCACTGTAGGCTGGAGCTTTGGAGATTGGGTAAGATTGAGGTTTCCATTTGGGTGTTACCTACCTACTGTTGAATCTGTGCCAACAACACACAAGATTGACAGATCATATCAAGAAAGAAGAGAACTGCGGAGTGAACTTTGGGGAACACCAATGTTAGAGAGATACCAATTCAGAAGAGCAGAAGGAAGAGGAGGCACCATGGGAAGTATGGTCAGACAGAGAACAGTCAGGAGAGTCCCACAGTTGCTGGGGGCGGGAGGGCAGAGTCAGCCACTTGAACATGGCAGGTAGTCTTGTGATGCCACACTGTCACATAATTACAGATCTTACCACCTCCTTTCTCCATCCTCTCTATAGCAATGACAGTTCAAAGCAAAGCCCTTGTAAGTATCTTACCCATTTGATTTTGGACCTGGTAGAAATGAGGCTTCACCATCCTAAGATTGCAAAACAAAATGGAGACACACTCACATTTCACTTAGCTAGAAACCAATCAAGCGCCTCACATGAACAAAAGGGCGGCTTCAACCTCACTTCAGCCAGGGCAGGGATGATTAGAGTACAATTTCCTAGTATTTTGCTGGACTGTATCTGGTATTTTGCAGAGTGACCTGAGGACGTTACTTACCCTAGAGAAAGCTTCTGGGTTGGTTCCCTTATCAAAAATACCCACAGCGGGGTCAAGGGATTTATTTAATATCTCTATCTCTCCCTCTCTTTGTCCATGCATCTCTTCCTTTCTCCCTCCCTCCTCCTCTCTCCTCTCTATATTCTTCCTTCCCTTTCCCCTCACATTTATCACTAGATTTAGACCTTTGCTGTGGCTGTCTTAATGGGATGGTGGAGCTATGTAATGGCAGCACCCAATTAGCTTGATGTTTGGTGTCATAATAGAACAAAAGCTGGTGATTCATGGCGTTCATAAAATATCCAGGGTCACCTATTTATCCTCAAGCTGTGTGCATTGTTTTCTTTCTTTTTTTTTTTTTTTGCCTTCTTTCGTAACGTGCTTGACATTCAAAGCATTTATGACAAGGTGTTTTAAAAAGCTGGACCTAATGGAAACTATTTGTCCTCCTTTTTCCCAGGAGGGAGACACTCCAAAAAAGGCATCCTCTGCCACCATCACTGTCACCAATACTGCTATTGCCACTGCTACTGTCACTGCTACTGCCATTGTCACCACCACTGTCACAGCTACTGCCACCGCCACGGCCACCACCACAACTACTACCACTACCATTTCCACCATCACCTCTACCATCACTACTGGCCTCATGGATAGCAGTCACCTGGAGATGACGTCCTGGGCGGCTCTGCCCCTTCTATCCAGCAGCAGCACTAATGTCCGGAGACCCAAGCTCACTTTTGATGACTCGTATGTTGTTCCAGATTATCATGGACAGTTTGGAGTAGTGAATGGGGGGTGGGGGTAGCATGGCTTTTCTAGTGCTGTGCATGTGTCACCCCAAATAAGACCTCAGCATCAAATCCTATACCCTTAAAAGTCCACCCCACCCCCTGCATACACACTCACCACTCTGTCCCCACCAAGAAATGTTTTTGGCCCATTTTAATTAAGCAGCATTGTTACTGTTCCAAAGGCAGGTTGTTCTGTCCTTTCCTATCCATGTCCTCACATATAACCAACACACAGATGTATAGCTAGGTTTTGTTTGATCTATTTGGACAACTGTAATGGTTGGGGTTGGAGCATGTGGTTATTTATCCTAATGGGCCATTATGTACTTCAGATTTCATTTACAGTATTATTTCAAGGTTGGTTATGATATGAATGACAGCATTAGTCTGCCTTTTTCAAGGCATTATATGGGAATAAATTTATAGCAGAAAAGGTTTGATGATTCAGTCTTTTACTGAAAAGATGAAGCATTGGTTTCTGAAAGAGCTTGTTTTGTTTATTTAGGGTTCACAATGCTGATTATTACATGCAAGAAGCTAAGAAGCTGAAGCACAAAGCTGATGCACTGGTAAGTTTCCTTTTTCTCATTGCTTTGTTCCTATTAAGGATTTATGTTTCAAAGGAAAACAAAGAAAGCACTTTTCCAAACAAATTTTCAGTATCACAGCCCACACCTGCCTGTCAACACATTGCTGCCCTGACATAGGGAGATTTGAACTAGTGAATTACTTAGTTCTGTAATTCCCAAAGTTCTCAGGGCTTGGTTATCATGTCATTTGTTTTCCCACTGTTCTTCCCCTTACCCCAACTTCAGAAGCTCAATGGCATATACCACTGTCATTACCTTTCAAGTGATTTTGGAATGACTTATGAAACTTCCCTGGAAATGATGTGCTTTTTTGGTCCAGTAAGCCAGAACTCGTGTGGGAATGTGAGAGTTGTTTAGAGCTGTCTAAATGGCCTCAAAAATTGGCTTTGGGAAAACTAGGCCTGAGGAAAAACTCAGCTCCTTGCTGCATTTGATGACATGTTTTCAGAGTGAGCCCCACAGTTAGGCTGGGGCCCCAAGCAGAGAAGAGAAATGCTGTCATCTGGATTTCTCAAGATACTTTGCCCAGCTGCCTCCAAGGGTTTTAGCCACCTAGATCAGTCATAAGCTCAACATTTTGAGTTGTTTGATTTGGCTGAGGCTCCTAACAGTGGGTCTCAACCACACATCACATTGAAAGCTTTAGAATAACTCTGATGCCTAGCCCATATCCCAGACCAATGAAATAAGAATTTCTGGGACTGGGACCCAGGAATGAGTATTAAAGCTCCCCAGGAGATTCCCAATTGCAGATATTTGAGAACGACTGTCCTAGGGAAGGCCCTAAATTCAGGCTTCTCACTTTGACTAAACCCCATTGGGTTAAAAAATAGCATCCTCAAACATTGCATTGTGTCCTGCTAGGACTTAGTTGTCCCAGTGGTGTTTGATACTGGGAATGCTGTGATGAAATACCATGACTAGTGTGTAGCCAACATCAACTGTCCATGGTCCTTACATCTGCCTTTTCCCTACTTTCTGTCATTTCCCCACTGTGGTACAAATTGCTTCGTGTCTGCAGGTGACCTTTCTGTGGTGTAAATTGTTCCTTAGAAGCAATTTTCCCCTGCTCCTGCAGACAAAAATGACAAGGCAGGCTGGGTGCTAGCTCCATTGGAGATGCCAGGACAACAGTGCCTGTGACCATTGTATAGGTGATGAGAGATTTGAAAGGCACTGGATGGTAATGCTGCTCCCTCAAAGACCAAAGGTTTTCTCTAAATGTCCTCAATTCTGTGACACTACAGAGCACTCAAGTGCTCCTAGGGTTTGCCATCTGTCAAAGCAGGGGTTAGGGAGCATACACATGTTCCATTGACAAGCTGTTACATGAGCTGATGAAGACTGGGATATACATAGGAGACCATGTAAATGAAATGTTTGAAGAACTGAGAAAAATCGGTACCACAGACATATATACATATGATTATGAACTAACATCACTCTACATTCCAAGGTTGTGTTTATATGTATGTCTTTCAAGGGATCACATTTGGCCTAATCCATTTAGAATATGCATTCCCAATTGGGGAGATGCTGCCCCTATGGGGGTAAAAATTGGTTTTGGAGATGGGGTGAAAAGATCTTAGTTATTGCAATGGGGTGTGACCCTCCAAAGGGCCACAGGGCATAAAGAGAGAATAAGTATATTTCTTGTATTAAAATTTCATTGGGGGTACGTGAAAAAATACAGTGATCCCTCCGTATCCATAGAAGATTGGTTCCAGGACCCCCTCGGACACCAAAATCCTCAGATGCTCAAGTCTCTGATATAAAATGGCCATTTGCATATAACCTGTTCACATCCTCTAATATACATTAAATCATCTCTAGATCACTTATAATATCTAATACAATGCAATGGTATGTTAAGAGTTGTTATACTGAATTGTTTAGGGAATGATGACAAGAAAAAGTCTGTATATGTTCAGTGCGAATGGAACCATTCATTTTTTTCTGAATATTTTTGATTTAAGATTGGTTAAATCCATGGATGCAGAACCCACGGATACAGAGGGCTGACTGTATCTTAAAAATTCCTTGGTGGTGGTGGGGGGGTGATATGGAAAAACAAGGTTGAGGAACACTTAGAGGAATGATATTTTTGCTAGGCTTATGCATATATTAGCCTGGGAAGCACCCTTATAGTTTAAGCCACTCATTTTATGGATGGGGAAACAGTCCCAGGGGTGGGGGGCATAACTTGGCTATTAATTGGCACTATAGTCATGTAATTTTCTGTCTGGACATCAGCTACTCCTAGGGACGAAGGGGTTTAGGCTAGGTGATCTCTACAGATCTCTCCAGCTATTGGGTTGTGAATGAAAAGTCACTTTCAGAAATCAGGATCTAAGAACAATTTCCAAATGGGAGAGCCAGTGGAGCCAGATGACCTAAGGAAATTGTCCTGTAAGGCAAAAGAGAAAGTACCTAGTTTGCATATATGTACACAGGTTTTCACAAAATCCGCTTGAATTTGATTGAAACCGATATTTCTCCACAGTAGCTTACAGAAAGAAAACCACAGAATTCCTGCAGCTCATAAAAGCTGGAGAACATTTATTGTAAAAAGTCATTTACAATAAAAGATTCTGCAGGACCTCTAGCTAATCATTTTATAGTTGTACTTAATCCTTTGCTAGAGACAGCTACTCTGCCATTTTGAGAATTGAAACTTTCACAGTTGCATAGAAAATATTTTGATAAAAGGTATACAAGAAAATTAAAACAGCTAAATCTGCATTATATTCCTTCTTTTACATAAAATACCATATTAGTGGAATTCTTACATCCTGCTATCAAAAATTGAAAATGTTAAATCCTGTTATAAAATACTCACTATAAAAGTGTCATGTATAATATTCATTACACATAAAAAAGAAATCAGTATGTCTAAGTCAGTTTAATCATGACCATTATCAGGGCTAAAACCTTTGCAATAAAATTTTACCAAACTAAAATATTTAGTAGTACTATATTTTTTGGCTTTTTGACACACTATTTCAAACTATCATTTATAATGAAAGTGATGGGATTATTGTCAACAGTCATACTACAGCTTCTCATCTTTCATGACAATAGCATCAATTTGTTAATCTTCTCCTGAGAGTGAAATTGATGTCCTCACAAAGAGTTCTAAAGCAAAAATGTATGTGTTCATTGTCCATGAGACTTCTAAAAAGCAGCCCTTAGTTGCAAGTACTGTCTATAGGACACTACAATGAGCAGATAGTTTAGTAAATTTCATGAATAGAAACTAGTTGAGGCAATGATTTGGATTCAGGTCCACCAAAAAGATAGCAATAACAGCAACAACAATGCCACAAACCACATATGATACCCTGCCTGCATTTTTCTCTTCTCAACTAGCCTTGGTGTCATGATGATAGAACCTTAAGCCGGTAACTTCATTGTTTTTTTTTTTTTTTTTTTGAAAATAGCCAATCAAGTTTATTTATAGGTGGTTAACTGGAATATATATTAAGAATAGTTGGGCATTGAAAAGTATACATAGGCAGATAGGTGGCATATAGTTGGCTAAGTGTTGCTAATAAGTTTGAAAAAACAGTTGCAGACATGTCACTGTCCTTTTGTCTAAGTGAGGCGATACGGGCTTTATGCCCAAAGGAAAATAGGAAATTAAACTTTTTTTTCATGAGACTAGGTATCAGAAAGGCCAATCAATATCTTTCAGGTCAATGGTCTTCTCTGGGATTTGAGAAATTGACTGGTCCTCTATGTCATCCAGATTTATCAGACAATTTCTCCCCTATCTTGCTTATTAATTTGGTGGAAACTGAGACATGCTTTGTTGTTTCTTGCCTCTGGAGGGGACAGACCCTTAGGTAGAAAGGAACTGTAAAGTGCCTCCATCACCTTCCCGCCTCTCATTTCTCCCTGCCTATATTAATGAAAGAAAATTGAAGGCAGGGTCCCAAGGCATGTCAAGAAGAATTGCAGATTAAGTAATGTTGTTGTGTTATTTTAATTAGACAGGCTTTTTCAATCCTAGAAAATATTTTTTTTTCTATTTCTTTTTTTTTTTTTTTTTTTTTTAATGTTTTTTTTTTTTATTATACTCTAAGTTTTAGGGTACATGTGCACATTGTGCAGGTTAGTTACATATGTATACATGTGCCATGCTGGTGCGCTGCACCCACTAACGTGTCATCTAGCATTAGGTATATCTCCCAATGCTATCCCTCCCCCCTCCCCCGACCCCACCACAGTCCCCAGAGTGTGATATTCCCCTTCCTGTGTCCATGTGATCTCATTGTTCAATTCCCACCTATGAGTGAGAATATGCGGTGTTTGGTTTTTTGTTCTTGCGATAGTTTACTGAGAATGATGGTTTCCAATTTCATCCATGTCCCTACAAAGGACATGAACTCATCATTTTTTATGGCTGCATAGTATTCCATGGTGTATATGTGCCACATTTTCTTAATCCAGTCTATCATTGTTGGACATTTGGGTTGGTTCCAAGTCTTTGCTATTGTGAATAGTGCCGCAATAAACATACGTGTGCATGTGTCTTTATAGCAGCATGATTTATAGTCCTTTGGGTATATACCCAGTAATGGGATGGCTGGGTCAAATGGTATTTCTAGTTCTAGATCCCTGAGGAATCGCCACACTGACTTCCACAATGGTTGAACTAGTTTACAGTCCCACCAACAGTGTAAAAGTGTTCCTATTTCTCCACATCCTCTCCAGCACCTGTTGTTTCCTGACTTTTTAATGATTGCCATTCTAACTGGTGTGAGATGATATCTCATAGTGGTTTTGATTTGCATTTCTCTGATGGCCAGTGATGATGAGCATTTCTTCATGTGTTTTTTGGCTGCATAAATGTCTTCTTTTGAGAAGTGTCTGTTCATGTCCTTCGCCCACTTTTTGATGGGGTTGTTTGTTTTTTTCTTGTAAATTTGTTTGAGTTCATTGTAGATTCTGGATATTAGCCCTTTGTCAGATGAGTAGGTTGCGAAAATTTTCTCCCATGTTGTAGGTTGCCTGTTCACTCTGATGGTAGTTTCTTTTGCTGTGCAGAAGCTCTTTAGTTTAATTAGATCCCATTTGTCAATTTTGTCTTTTGTTGCCATTGCTTTTGGTGTTTTGGACATGAAGTCCTTGCCCACGCCTATGTCCTGAATGGTAATGCCTAGGTTTTCTTCTAGGGTTTTTATGGTTTTAGGTCTAACGTTTAAATCTTTAATCCATCTTGAATTGATTTTTGTATAAGGTGTAAGGAAGGGATCCAGTTTCAGCTTTCTACATATGGCTAGCCAGTTTTCCCAGCACCATTTGTTAAATAGGGAATCCTTTCCCCATTGCTTGTTTTTGTCAGGTTTGTCAAAGATCAGATAGTTGTAGATATGCGGCATTATTTCTGAGGGCTCTGTTCTGTTCCATTGATCTATATCTCTGTTTTGGTACCAGTACCATGCTGTTTGTTAAGACCAATTCATACATTGTCTTCTGTATCAGGGTTTCTTAGCCTGGGCACTGCTGACATTTTGGGCCAGCTCATTCTCTATTGTGGGAGCTATTTTGGGCACTGCAGAAGTTTATAAGCATTTCTGGCCTCTGTTCACCAGATGCCCCCTCTCCCCAGGGGTGACAACTGAAAGTGTCTCCAGACATTGCCAAATGTTCCCTGTGGGAAGGGGGCAAAACTACCCCCCAGTTTCAAACCACTCTTTTATATGAAGGAGAAAACAGAGAGTATTATCTTGACGAGTCATCTTCCTGTTTCAGTTCGAGAAATTTGGCAAAGCTGTGAATTATGCTGATGCCGCCCTCTCCTTCACTGAATGTGGCAATGCCATGGAACGCGACCCTCTGGAAGCAAAGTCCCCATACACCATGTACTCTGAGACTGTGGAGCTCCTCAGGTGAATAGCCTTTCTGCAATCATCTTCCTACACTCATTTCAGCTAGAATTAGAAGCTATGTTTTAAAAAATGTATCATTTCCACTTATTAATAATTTGTCCAAGCCATCCTCTTAGAAGTCATCATAATTAGTTCTTGCCATTTTATTAATATCATGGAAAATTTATAATTGATGGATGCTGACTTTATAAATTATCCCCTCCAGAAGTTATAATGTGAGTGTTATAATTTTCAATATTCGTAACATTAAAATGGAAATGTAGTGGGTAGAAATAAGTATAATCATTTTACCGTTTAGCATTGACTTGTCTTTTCAAAGGTGCAGTTTTATAATTCAAAAAAATGGTGCTCTCAGGATTTCTATTACAAACCATGTTTTCTAAGAATTTTTATCTTGGTTATTAAAAAGGGAGGGGCACTGTTCCAACTCAGAGTTGGTGTTTAAGGCTGCAGGTGTGGAGTAGACTTTCCATGCATCTGGAATTAGGGAAATAGATGAGGTGGTAGTAGGGGCTGGCGGTACAGATGAGAGGATGAGAATAAGAGAGGGGATATTAACTGCACACATTATTGGTTTCATTTACATTTTAAATGAAATTTTCTGGCTGTTGGTCTTGGTGGTGTAGAAATTCTGTGTTATCAAAAAATTCATAGAAGAAGAGGAAGAAGAGGTAGAAGAAGAAATAATCCATTCTGGTGTTATCCAGTGATTTGCAGATATTTGTACAATAATTTAATCCACCCCTGAATAGTGGATAAGCACCATCGTTCACTAGATGGACTAAATAATCACTTTTGATTGATTGAGTAAGCAGTTTTTTACCTGAAAAGTCCTTATGTCCAGTCCCATCTGGCTTGATTAATCAATAATGCCAGGACTGGTTTATACTATCTATCTTGCTTGTACCTGCATTAACTGTTACAAATCTGAGGATATTTGTACCTAAATCTTCAGACAAACACTGGACAGATTTAGTGTGCATATTTTCCCAGTGACACATTCCAAAAGATAAAAAGAACTATTTTTTTAAAGCAACTCTGCTCACATAGAATCAGAAGTTTAGTTAGAGCCACAAAAGTAGGGTGATTATAAGGGCAGCTCTAGCCTTGCCTGCTGAGCCAATCAGCCATCTTTCTCTTTGCACTGCTCTGAAATGTAGGCACTGAGAAAAGTGTCAAGTATTTCTCCTTGACTTATTTTATATACTGTGAAAAGCACCACCACCATTCTGTAGCTTTCAAGGAGAAATTGATTGCCCAGTGTCTAGTCAAACTACCTGTGATTTTCAAAGATACACAAGATGAACATACTGGCAAAAATCATAAGGATTCAAAACTGAAGGGAAACATTAGTGAACAAACACAGGGACAATTCATGCTCTCTATTCATTCAAAAATGCAAATTAAAACAAGGCACTTTTTAAATTAACAAGAAAACGTAACAATGATAATATCTAGCACTAAAAACTACAGCAAAAAAAGGCCTAGCAGTGAACCAGACCTCTCCTATGCAGCTGATGGGAATGGAAATTGATTATTGTAAATTGAGGGCAATTTGGCATTGTGTAGGGAAAGCCATACAAATGAGTATTCATATCTTTTGATCCAGTACTTTAACTGTGGAAATCTGAGTTTTCTCTCCTGAAGAAAACAATTGTAAAGACTAGAACAAGTAATCGGTATGATGTTCAATTTGACATTATATGTAATAGCACACAATTGGAAGCACACCAAATAATAATAGAACAGTAATTACATAGTAGGACACTCAACAGAATACTTTGCAGCGATTGAAATACAACAATGACAGAGACTATGCAGCCGCACAAAATATATTTATTATATGATGTTAAAATAAAATCGAGCTGCAGAATAACATGCACACTACAATTATGATCATGAAAAGTTTGTATATGCATCTGAACCAAACTGGAAGGGAAATGAAATCATAGCTGTAATAAGTCAGTGAGATTATGGGTGATTTCCCTCTCTGCATATTCTTCTTTCTTATTTTCTTTTAAGAAGACACATGCTGTCTTAAAAATATGAAAGTAAGGCCGGGCGCGGTGGCTCACGCCTGTAATCCCAGCACTTTGGGAGGCCGAGGCGGGCGGATCACGAGGTCAGGAGATCGAGACCATCCCAGCTAAAACGGTGAAACCCCGTCTCTACTAAAAATACAAAAAATTAGCCGGGCGTAGTGGCGGGCGCCTGTAGTCCCAGCTACTTGGGAGGCTGAGGCAGGAGAATGGCGTGAACCCGGGAGGCGGAGCTTGCAGTGAGCCGAGATCCCGCCACTGCACTCCAGCCTGGGCGACAGAGCGAGACTCCGTCTCAAAAAAAAAAAAAAAAAAAAATATGAAAGTAAAATACAAATTTCATTTTATGGTAAAAGTGCAACGTGAATCATTAAGTAATTTTCTTTTAATTATTCACGAAAAAGTTATTTAGGGAAAAAAACATGATTTATGTTTTATTATATGCTATTTTACTTCCCATAGAAGTTTATTTCAATGAAATCTGAAAGTCAATGGAGAATTTACGAGCATTCACTTTAAAGTCAGTGTTTTTAAACTTTATTTTGAGGTAATTGTAGTTGCACATGCAGTTGTAAGAACTAATACAGAGAGTTCCTGTGTATTCTTCACCCAGTCTCCCCCAATGGGAACATCTTGCTTAACTATATTACAGTATCACAGCCTGAACATTGACATTGAAACACTCCGAAGACTTCATTCAGATTTCACCAGTTTTGTTTTGTTTCCAACTTCACCATTTTTGCATGTACCCATTTATGTCTTCTCTATGTTTTACTTTTTTTATACTTTCTGTAAATTACATGTGTGTATAATATTTTTTTAATGAGAGGAATTTCAGTTGGGAATAAAATGAGTTAAAGCAACTAGGTCTTCTGGTCCACTTAAGCAATTGAAACTCCACTATCAAGTCACTTCAAATGTGGTTGCAATTAGAGGGTGAGTGTAATGTGAACATAGTTTTTAGTAGTGCAATATCATGTTGAAGAAATTTTTATTACTCTCTCCCCGACAGTATGCTGGCTACAGAGAGAGAGCCCCATTTTCTTCATTCAAGTAATTATAGTTGCTCTGAGCTCTGGGAATCTGCAATAGAAATGTATTTGTGAAAACAAGTGGGGCATCACAATGACTTGACATTTCAGTGATCCAACTGTCAAAGAAAGCTAGATTTATTACATAATAAAAATTCCTTTGCTTAATATTGCAACAAAGGAAGGGACCCACGTTAAATGTACAAGTGCCTTTCCTGGAAAATGTTCACTCAACAGAACTAGAGCAATAACCAGGAGAGCAAGGCGGCTAGAATGCTGAGGAGGCCGAGTCTCAGGGGGTGAGCCTGGGCTCCCCAGTGTTCTGCGGGGGAAGGTTGCTGAAAGCGAGGAGTCAGGCATGCCAGCTCAGTGGCCCTGCAGGCTTTCTGTCGCCTTCTTATAAATGAGAACTTTCAACTTCCTTCTGCCACACTGAACTCCATTACTTATTCTACTACAAGTACCTGTGAAATTGCATTAAAGCTCAGACAATGATTTTATGCAATGAATTGATTTTCAAGAGTCTAAATGCTCTGAATGGAATGTACTTGGCTAGAAGAAAAAAAAATGGGAACTACTCAACCTTTTATCACCCCAGTGCAGAACAGTAACAATTAAGGAGAATAGAAAGACAAAATATACAAGCATCATAAATTAAGGGTGCTTAGACCTTAAAATGCTGTGAAATCGACCTTCCTTTAAAAAAAAAAACCAAACCACTTTCAATAGGAATATATTCAAAACCTGAGCCATTAGAAAAGACCTTTTAGCTGTGTGATTGAGGTCTCCCTATGCTCATGTCAGACATAGTTATATATTATTTACCTAATCTGTCATAAACTGAACTGAAACTGACATTCTTGTCCACCTCTCATTGAAAACCAGTCATAGTATTTAGCTACAGTGTTCCTAGAAACAGTATTTTACCAGCATTTAGACACACACACACACACACACACACACACACACACACACACACACTCACGGTAATTCCACAGCATTGTCCTAAGGCTCATGATTTCACTGCTTTCTCCAGAGTTCAACTCTGTATTTCACATGAGTCCTCTTATGACATTTTTATCCTCATTTTGTGTATGTTTTCGGGGAAGCATGCTTTTGCCCACATGTACCAGTCAGTCCTCTTGCCCAGAACAAATGTGGGAATAACTCATTCAGGCAATCAGAATACCAGTGACTTTAGGCATTTCTGAAGGGTAATACAGATTCCACTTTAGCTTTTCTTTTCTCTTCAAAGGTATGCAATGAGGCTGAAGAACTTTGCAAGTCCCTTGGCTTCGGATGGGGACAAAAAGCTAGCAGTACTATGGTGAGTCCCATGGAGGCCACAAGGAAATTGCTGAAATGTCATGGAAGGATTTGAAAACTCTAGATCAACTTAAGCTGCTTACCCCAGATCATTACTCTTGTTTTCCATTAAACTATTAAAGGATAACTAATGGATTTCTTCAGTCACTGACTAAACATTTACTCTCCTAACTTATACCCTTATCAAAATGGGATTTTAATGCTTGCCCCTTCCCTCTTTAGAATTTCTTTATTTACTTATGTTTCTCAATCTAACCATAGGAAAGTAACTGCAAATTGTGAATCAGCAGTCTTCTTAACAGTTTATAAAGTTTCACTAAGCACTGGCATTAACAGAAGCCTTTCCTCATCACCACAGCTACCGATGTTTATCACTCCTCTATTTGAGAATGTTTAAGCTGAAGAAGGACCATGCTATGAAGTACTCCAGATCACTGATGGAATATTTTAAGGTAATGCTTATTTTGTATAATTTATAGGTACAGGATGATAAAATCACTAATAAGACACGACATGCAGGTTATCGAATGTCAAATGCTGCCAAAGGCTTAACCTCTCTCCTCCCTGCTGGCCATGGCCGTCCTACCCTTCCTTAAGGGCTCAGCAAGGAGTTTATGGCTGATTTGGTTCCAGGGAGAGAAGGCACGATGGTGCAATCTGCTGACTTTTTTCCAGACTCACCAAATGACCCTTGGCAGTCTCCTGGTTGCAGTGAGGAGTATGTCACCTTTTTGCTGCTCTGTGAGGTGGGCACAGCTTGTGGCTATAGGTTTGGCCAGTCTTTTGTTAAATGATAGGTCAGCCCAGGAATCTCTCAGAAGTGAGAGAAGTCACTGTGGCCACCCTGGCTCTATGTGCACGTCCACAACCCTGGAAGGCCTTTGTCCATGGGGAGTCTTGGAGTGCAGTAGTTGTAATTAAAAACAACTGATTGCTTTGGTTACCAAAACAAACAAACAAAGCCATATCGTAGGGAGCTGGGGCTTTTAACTTATAAGCACAAAAAATATAGGCAATCTCAAAATGCAACGCCAAAATTTGAGAATGAGCCCAGGTAAAAATTGCAAACAGCAACTTCATACTAGGCCTGATCACTGTACTCTCCAACAACAGTCATGATTTAGAGTTGGGGAGACTCAAGCTCCTTCTGTTGGGCAGGTCTAAAAAGAAAAGGACATGATTTTTTTTCTTTCTTGCCAAGTGCGTGAGACCTCTTGGCTAAATCATACCAAAGTAGTTGTTTGAAATGAGCGAAATTATGGCCTTATGTGAAACATGCAGTGAGTGGAAGTGCACAGCTTTATGACGACACTGTGGCACAGTTGGGAAAAAGAGCATGTTTCCCAGCTATTATGTGGTGTGGCCATAATGCCATAAGGCTAGTATTGATGTGGGTAAAAGGGAGTCATATACAACAGGCCCTCTTCTCTTCATATGCCTACACTCTTAACTTCTGCTTTAGAAAGTTCTTTATTGAACTTCAGTGGGCATCAGAATCCCCCAGAGGGCTTGTGAAACAAGAATGCCTTGCCCCAGCTCCCAGATACCTGATTCTGTAGGTCTGAGGTATGGCCCAAGAATTTGTA
This sequence comes from Homo sapiens, assembly GCF_000001405.40. NCBI lineage: Eukaryota > Metazoa > Chordata > Mammalia > Primates > Hominidae > Homo > Homo sapiens. Next base: position 148,979,590 of record NC_000023.11, read on the forward strand.
TTGCTAATAAGTTCCCTGGTGATGCTTCTGCTGCTGTTCTTGTGATCACACTTTGAGACCCACTGATGTAATATTTGCCCTCTTTGGCCTACCCTCTATAGTTTACAGGGTATTGTAAAATTCCAAACAAATACTAAATAATTCATTCATCCAGGAGTATGTTGAGCCTTCTTGAGATTAAAAACTGGAGTCTGCAGAATGCACCTTAGGTGTGGGTCTACAAAGCTCCAGAGAAGTATTCCGTTCTCACTGGACTCCCGAAAATGCTGACTCTTTCCCTGACCCTCCTTTCGCAAAGGGGGCTGGGCTAGCAGCAAAGAGGCAGAAGATGAGCATCACTGGGGATGTAACTTCCGAGAGCAGGTCTGAGTCAGGCACAGTGCCATGAGTGTGAGTTGTGGCCATCTGTGCTGCTTGACCTTCCACCTGGCTAGGCCATTACAATGAGCCTGATCCCTGTCCTGTAGTGGTAATGCTGAATGTCAGTTTTCCCTCTGATCCACAAGTGTGTGGTCTTGAAAATACAAGGAAGCCCATCCTTTAAACCAGCCCACTTCCATCAGAGGAACAAAGGCATATTTAGTATTTGATTGCAATGCAGCCCTGGACCAGTCACTTTGTTAAATAGGGAAGCTCTTTAGCCATGAGGGTTTGCATGTAAATAGAGCAAATCAAGGTGATTCCTGAAAACAAACAAACAAACGAAAATACTGCTTGGCTCTGACACATTCTTGGATTATTAGAAATGACAGCTCACTCTGCATCCCAGGGAAAAAGTTTGCAACTGGAGCTAAAGGTGAAAAGCTTACTTGCACTCTGAAGAGCTTGTTTGGCAGAATAAATTTCAGATGAGGATAATTAAACCACTTCTTGGAGAACCGAGTCTGATTTCACTGGGCCTTTTAGTATATAAGATCTTTCATCAAGTGACTTTCATGGTCCTGATTGGAGCCCACTAATTATCCTAACCAGCTATTTTCATCGAGTGTGCGTCGTGGTGTGCTGACGTGCACATACATCCCAGCTCTGCATCCCGAAATGCTGCAATCAATATTAATGTACTCTAAATCACACTTCCATCTGTTTCTGAATTAATAAAACACAAAATAGATGTCCTTATTTCCCTTTCTCTTCTCTCTCTCTTTTAGCAAAATGCTTCAAAAGTCGCACAGATACCCTCTCCATGGGTAAGCAATGGAAAGTAAGTATTTTCTGAAAATTGCTTTTTCGTGAAGATGAGTGATTCAATAGACCCCAGATATTTTGCATTGACAAGTCAGGAGTGAAGGTCAATTCTAGAACTACAGTCATTTTTGTGCATACAAAATTCCAGCCAGGCTTCGGCTAATGGCAAGACAGAAAAGTTTAAAAAGATGTGCTTCAGAGTTATTTAACTATTTGATCTTTAAGCCAAATTATAGCCATAAAAATATCTGCTAATAAGATGGCAAGCACCATGCCATTTTAGGGAGGCAGGACAAAGTTAACTCCACTGCAGTGATTTTTCAATGATTCACTCAATAATGAAAGACCAATGAAATATTCATTGATATATGGTAAGTGCTGTTTAATAAAACCAAAGGCATAATAGTGCTGAAAATGTGAAGGCACTTGCTCAGCCAATTATCCAAGCCTTCATGATAATTTTTATATTAATACTAAAATGCCCTAGCCTAAGATAGAAAAGCATCCACTATAATGCTGATTGGAGGCTCAGGGAACTCACCTGCGCCTGAGGCCTTATTTAGAGTTCTATCTGCTTGGGACAGCTCAGTCTTAATAGCAGTGGAGTAGGGGCCCAAAAACCGTTGACCTGGTGCTGAAGCTGCCCTTGGCTTACAGGGTAAGCTAAGAGGGCCCCTTCCTCTATCTGGGCTTGTTCTTTATCGCTAAAATGAAGGGGTTGGACCCAATGCCCTCGAAGTCCCACTGAAGAGATGTCTCTTATAGAGAGTGAGTTCGAATCCCAGTTCTGTGTCAGCTGTGAAGTTAGCTAACTTGCCTGAGCATCAGTTTCTCCTCTGATTTCCAAATACCCCTTACCAGCCCAAGCCCACACCCCTCAGTGATGGGAAGGGAAACTAGATGACTGTGGACATAGACCGCTTTATAACTCCAAGCTGCTTTTTCAGTTTTTCATCATTTCAAAATTCCTGCATCTCTGATCAAAATAATTTCTTCAAGAATAAAACAGTCTCTACTGCCACTTTATAAATATCTAGAAAACGTACTCCAAAAGCAACGGGACAATGAACTCTACTTTGAAATCATAAAAACATTCAGTGCGAGGGAACAGATCCATTGAAAACTACACATTAACTCAATTACTTCACTGAAAGGAAGCACTGTTTAAAATGTTGAATTAGGTCTTACTCTTATATTGACGAACAAAAGAGAAAGAGTGCTTCTCTCTTAAGAGAAAAAATAAGTTCAGAAAATAAAAATAACCGGAGAAAGGCCCAGCTCTGTTTTCCCTGAGCACAGAGTAAAGTAAGGGCAAGGGCAGGTAAGCAGCTATTAAAGAATCACTGGGGAAAAAAGCGTTTTTTTAAAAAAAATTCTGAAACGCAAGAACTCAAACACAACCTAAGCTTGGGAAGTTGCATGAAAAGCCTCCTGAAATGATTCTTAAGCAGATTTTGCATGAAGAAAGCACATTCCCTTTGGTAGGCCACAGAGCTTTTGACTGAGGCAACTCAAAACAGTCACTCAGGGGTTATGTCTCGTTCATTCAGCAAATGCTTTGCGTGCATCTGCAGCACGATGGGCTGGGGACAGAAAGCTGAATTTGATATGGTCCCTGCACTCCAGAAGCACACAGTCCAGTGGAAGGAGGTGACAGGTATGAACAAGGTGCTGTGGAAGCCTAGGAGAAGGAGCTTGGGCCTCCCTGCGTGACCAGGAAGGGCTTCTTGTCTGCAAGCAAGATTATGGCCTTGTTTCTCTGTGAATGAGGGTGGTGTCCCCCAAGGAGGGCTCTCACAGCACCTTCCAGGAGCAGCACCCTCTGACTTCAAACCCTCCTAGGCTGGCTAGCAATTGGGGAAGTCAGCTGCCCAGAGGTGGTTAAGGGCTCTGCAGGAAATTATATGGAGAGATGAGCAGAGGGTTAAGAACAGACATTCAGGAACTGCTTCCATGGAAGCTGGAGAAAGAAAGTGCAAAGAAGCAATTGGAAGGAGAAGCAGAAAAATCTGCTGAGTTTACAGCAGGGGCCAGGAAACTTTTTATTTAAAGCACCAGACACTATATATTTTGGGCTTTGTGCTAAGAGGTGAAACCAAGGCTACTATGTAGAAAAATATGAGAGAAAACAAATTTTCACAAAATTTTTACTGATAAGATTCAAAATATAATAACAATTACATATAATTTTTGAAATACAAGTCTATTGGTGAGAAGAATGTAAATCTTTTTCATAACATTTTGCTTAATTGGGGTTCAAAGTTAGTGTTCCCTCTCAACAAATCGATTGCAAATGTTCATCTTTCGCAAACTATTCAGAGCTTACAGCCCATACAGAAACACAAGATGGGCCAGATTTGCTGACTCTTGACACAGGGTTCTGGAATCCACATTGTGGAGAGTTTAAAAAGGCTGAGCAACAATTTCGAATGTCACAGAGAGATAATAAAAAGAAAGAAGCTGGGCAAACATGGATGGCAGGACTTTGAGGTGACATGGTGGAATGGAAAGAGAATGAAGAGAATGGGCTTTGGAGGAAAATGGACCTGCTATTAGATCCTGGCTTTTTGGCTCTCTGGGCTCTGTGGCCCTCAGGACGGAGCTGAACTTCTCTGAGGCCAGAAACAGTGGCAGCAGAACTTTCCCTGCAGAGTTATGGTGAGGCTTGGACAGAATATTGGTGAAGCCCTGAACTATGCTTGGCACATAGAGACTGTGCAACAAATGATGGCTGCTGCAGCTACTGTTGCCATGATTACTGTTGTAATTGTTACCTATTTAAGTTAGAAAAGATAATGATCCTACCTCTAGAATTCCCACAGCACTTGGTTAGCACCACAGTTTTGGCACTTACTCCAGATTGCCAGAAAAGAATGTAATTTGCTCCTCTAGTATACTCTTTGCTCTTTTGCAATAAGTAGCCATCCATCCTATCATTCCCCAAATATTTATTGAGTGCCTACCTTGTGTGAGACACTCTGCCAGGCCTTTTGTAGACATATCCCCTATCCTCATGCTATATATGCTCTTCTCCTTCTACCTTCCAGAGCGCTTTATATGTAGTAGATACTAAACAAAGAATAGAAGCAAGTCATTCATTTATTCAGCTGGTGTTCATTGAGAACATATACGCCAGACACTGTTCTAGATACTGAAGTATGGCACAGAGTGAAATAGACAAAAAAAAAAAAAAACTGCCCTCATCAAGGTCACATTCTGTTGAAGGAGAAAGATAACAACAAACATGTGGCATACTAGGTTGTGGGAAGTGTCATGGAGAAAACTGAAACAAGGAAGGCAGGCAGAAAGGGCTGCTGAGGATAGGGGAGGGAGCAGTGGTACCATGCTGAATCTTGAGTAGGGATTTTAGAGAAGGATGATGGTAGAGAAAGCCATGGCAATGCTGGAGGAGTTTCTTCCAAGCATAGGGATGGCAGCTGCCTCTGAAGCAGGAGGGAGCATGCCTGACAAGTTCAAGGAACAGCATGGCAGAGTGTGGCTTAGAGGTGAGAGGATGGTGGGTTGGACCAGGGTGGTAGTGGCGGAAGTGGTGGGAAGCATGTGCTTCTGTGTGCATGCTCATTTGCATGTGCCATGGAAATGTGGAAAAAAGGGTGAGATCTGCAAGCAGATACACACAAAGAACAGGAAGGGAAACCCCACGCAGTGATGAGAGCTAAGTCAGAGTTGGAGAGCACACTGAAGTGAGTGGGCCCTGCATCAGCCCTCTCTTAGCCACAGTCACAACTTCTTAGGCAGGTTTTCATTTAATGAGCACAAGGTAGTGTGCAGACATGTGCATCAGAATATGTCAGACCTTAGAGCCTGGTGTGAGAACAGTAACAATTGAAAACAGACACTTATCCTAGCTGTTCTTGCCTCCACCACTGAGTATTTAAAATAAATAAATTAGAGAATAGTAGGGAGAAAAGTCCCCAATAACACTTCAGTGTAATAAAGTAAAAAGGGCTTTTCAAGATGTATGTGGTAAAGAGAGATGATTTGGTTTCTCCTGTGACTCCTGGACATGATTGGAAATCATTGAATCCAACCTTTTCTTGCAGTCAAGAAAAGTAAGGCCAAGCAAGGAGAAGGGATATGCTCAGGGGCACACAGCAATTTTATGGCAGGGCCAGGGCTAGAGTCCACATCTCCTGGGATTCCAGCACCTCTTTCCCTGCACCATGTGGTCTCTCTTTCCCTTTTGTTTTCTTTTTTTCTGTCTTTTTTTTGGGAGATGGAGTCTCACTCTGTCACCCAGGCTGGAGTGCAGTGTCTTGGCTCACTGCAACCTCTGCCTTCTCAGATCAAGTGATTCTCCTGCTTCAGCCTCCCAAGTAGCTGGGACTACAGGCGTGTGCCACCATGCCCAGCTAATTTTCGTATTTTTAGTAGAGACGGGGTTTCACCATGTTGGCCAGGCTGGTTTTCGAACTCCTGACCTCAGGTGATCCGACCCCCTTGGCCTCCCAAAGTACTGGGATTACAGGCATGAGCCCCTGTGCCTGGCCTTTTTTTTTTTTTTTTTTTTTTTTTTTTTTTTTTATGATACAGCCTTGCTCTGACTCCCAGGCTGGAGCACAGTTGTGCGATCATGGCTCACTGCAGCCTCAGTCTCCTGGGCTCAAGCAATCCTCTCGCTTCAGCCTCCCGAGTAGCTGCAACTACAGGCACACGTCACATGCCTTTCTAACTTCTTTCGACATTTGTGGCACATGACAACTTTGTCATTTTCTCTAAGAATTACAGACGAGAAAGTCTTTCTTTCTTGCCATAAATTGACATTTAAGAGTTAATGACTAACACTGGGGAAAAAGACTAGGAAATAGCTTTTGCAACCTACCACAACAAAGAAACCCAGCTTTCACTGCCTTTTTGTCATTTCACTGTCTTCTGTGCCTAGACCCCTTAGCTTGGACATCTCCTCATCCCACTCCTACCTTAAGAATAAATCTTTCTATCAAGAAGTGACGAAGTAGCTCAGAAATTATAAACATAGCAGAAACACTCTCGAACCCATTCACACCAGACAAGCACAGAGCAAGTGTGAGGATGAACTTGCTCCCTCAGACCAGACCAGAACATACCAGAAAATAGATGGTTTGCAGAAATGGTCCAACTCTGTCCTATAGCTGTAGGCACAGCCTGTGTGAGTCTCAAGAGCATTGCAGTTGTAATTGTTCCCAGATCTAGTCAGCAGCATTTCAGCATTTTGGTATGCTACAATTGCTGTTTCCCCAAATCATCTGTATGTGCTGCCCGTCAGGGTGCACATCTGTTCTGGGAGCCACACTGGAAAACTAGAGTTGCCAACAATAGCAACTGGTAAGGGGGTGGGGGGTGGGGCAGAAGACAGAGTTCCTTGATTGTGTGATAAGGTGTGTTCAGAGGAATAATGAAGAGATTCTTTCAAACATGCAGACTCATGGAGTCCTAAAGACATCTTCCCTCCATTTCATTTACTCACTCATTATGTTCTGTCCTGAAAAATTGATGCGTTTGCCTGGGCAGATGTTCATAGTGTGACTGGAGGAGGAGAGAGAACCAGAGGGGCACACAGACCTTGCTTTAGTGACTGTTCCTGGGCAAGCCTTCAGGTTCCTTAGGTAGCCAGATCTAACCCTGGGCCCTGGAAGAAAAACGACCCCCATGCTGTATACAGCCAGCAGGTGACTCCTTGTTGCGAATATTAAAGAATATAATGAAAATGTGTGTCTAAACACTGGTACTCTCTGAAGTGGAAACCCTGAAGACTTCTTTTTATAAATCAGCATGCAGGTAAATAGTCAGCAATTAACAGCCCATCTCTGTAGCATGTCTTAAAGAATCCTAAAGAGAGAGAATACTACTTTTCCCAGCTTCCCAAATACTGCTCCTTGGGGGGCTGTAAGAATTGCACTTTGCTTATTGTGGTAACAGTATTTGGAGCAAACTGACATTGTGGTTTCCACAAAACACTTTGATGATAGACCAATATTGGACATCAAGTGTTTTCTAACTGCTGATAGCCGTTCCAGCAGCAGGTAGAGAAATCATCATAGCTCTGAGCTGTTTCTTTCTCTGAAACATCACAACACTTGTTATATGTATTCAAAGGAAGAGCTATATTTGTGGGTAGAATTAATGCCAGAGAAATATCCACCCAGCCCTCTCTGGTATTTGAAGACAAAAGCAGTGGTGTGCATGGAGCCCTCGGTGGTGGTCAAAGGCAGTGGAGACTTTGGTGTTTAATGTTAGAAAAGAAGAAGAGTGGGCCTCATTCTATAGTGTGGCACTGTAGCTCTGGGTGGCTTGGTCAGATGAGGCAGGTATGGGGTGGTAATAATCTCTGTATCCACTAGAGCCCCTGGAAAAAGCTATTGTGTTGACAAAAGCTATTGCATTGACAAAAGCTGTAGCTGTACTGTGAGAAGAGTCAGTGGGATGTCAGAACAAGCTCCACTCTGATGGGGCTTCACATGTGTACGCTATGCTAAACTTCACTCCAGCAAATGGCATTCTGATGAGATCCCAGCGTGATGGGGAAGGCCTAGAACCCCACTGTCACTCTTTCCTACCAGCCTAACAAGGCTTGTCTCTTTCCATTTCCCAGGAACACTCCATCCCCAGTGTCTCTCAACAACGTCTCCCCCATCAACGCAATGGGGAACTGTAACAATGGCCCAGTCACCATTCCCCAGCGCATTCACCACATGGCTGCCAGCCACGTCAACATCACTAGCAATGTGTTACGGGGCTATGAACACTGGGATATGGCCGACAAACTGACAAGAGAAAACAAAGGTATGCTCATCTGTTCTACCCATATAGCTCACAGACCATGATGGAGTTAACTTCACTTTGAAGGACTTGAGTTGTACTTGGTGGCCTTATATCTTTCTGTCTCTCTGATTTCCAGAACTTAGATAAGGGAAGACAGAGTTCGCTCAGGGCTGACACAGTGACCTATTATTCCTGAGAGCATAAAAAAGCCCCGGAATTTTGTCCTCCTTTAAAGCTTAAACTCATTTGAACTGTGATGTGTTTTGAATTTCACTCACTGACAAAGATCAACACAGAGAAACAGAGGCAAAGACAAAAATAATGGTTTACAATTAATTATGACCCTGTTGGCTCCTGTTATTATTGTTATTATTATTTTTTTGAGAGGTGAGGTTGAACTAAGGCCTTCAACCTTCAATATAATTATTAGCTCCAGTTGAGTACACGATAACGCAGCTTGCATTTGGAAGCAAGGGCCAAAGTTCAGCTAGTACTTTTCACACACCGATGGCTGGGATGAAGAATCAGGGTGCTGTTCATGATGACACTTGAACTTTGCTACAAAACAAATGCAAAGAGGACCCTGCTTTACCAGAGTGAATCCGTGGTCTTTGGTGACTCATGCAGACATCTGTGACCTTAGCTGTCATTGAGGATCACAACAAAGCCTCACTACCCTAATGAAGGTGGGAAGTAAAATTAAACTGCACATTTGTCTCAGCCATTCATTTGACTTGGCTGATTCTGGCCCAGCAGTCACAGACTGCTCCACACCAGTCAAGGTGGGGACAAATGTGGGCTACCCATTACTACTGTATCGCTGAGCATGTGGGGAAACCATCTCATTGGAATAGGAAGGATGCAGATTTTGCAACCCAATCATTTAAGTTTGAATCCTACCTGGGTCATGCATTACCTAGGCAACCTAGGCAAGTTAATTAAATCTGTGAGCTGCTTCCTAGCTTCTGTCTCTATAATGGACGTAATGGTGATGATGATGGTGAAACGTCCCAGATGGATGATAGAGATGGGTTGAATTAAATAATGGGTGTAAAGCACCTAGTATAAAATTCTGAGTTCAAGGTAGAAATTCTACAAAGATTTATTATCTTTCCTTACTCCATAATATTATGTATCTATATAACTCAAAGATTTTGTGGCTCACAAAGCACATTCCATAATTTGAGACCTCACCCCTCAACGCAGCTATAAATTTACACTGACTCCTGGGAATATCTGCATGTATTGGTTCCACAGGTTTGTGCAGCAATTTCTATGTGCCAGGAACTGCACTATTGCTTTATCATTTGTTGTCTCATTTGCCCTTATTTCATACATGAGGAAACTGAGGCTCTATGAGATTAAGAAACTCACCCATGTTATCACAGCTCTTGCTTGTTAGAAGCAGAAATCTAGAAGTGTCTGATTCCAGAGTCTCATTTCTTAATCAATAGGCTACACTGCCCATCTAGAGAGCAAGATTAATGACAGGTCCTCAGAGACCTTTGGTGAGATCCCAAACCAGTTATCTGAGCAATGGATAATTATTAAATTGTCTACTTTTCTACACCTCTGGAAACTCAGAGACAACTGGCCTATACAACCAGACTCATCCAGGGGTTCTAGAATTGCAAGTGAAGATAGACACATCTTAAGATTTGCCTAGCATGTCTGCCTCTGCTATTTCTCTCTTATTTTGTATTAGTAACTGGAGGGCAGTTCAATATTTATGGATTTCCTTTATCATTGCATCCATTTTCAAAATCTGTTAAAAGTATTTCCTTCTAAATTAACTAACTTCAGAACTTTCCAGGAGCAATGTGATGGCTGTGCTGATGTTAGGGTGAAATGGTGTTAATCTTGTCATTAGCACAGTGTGTCAAAGAGTTGCTAAATTCCCTGTGTCATCTTGAATGAAAACAACTCCGTCACTCTACCAGCAGAGAGAAAATGTGTCCTGTTAATGCTGTCATTGGGGTTTTCAGCGGACTGGGGAGAAGACTAGTGTGAAATCTTCTGCTCAAAGCCTGGAGTTTCATACTTTGTCATTTCTGATCTACTTAGCTTTGGGGATTCTATTCACATCTACCTTGTCTACATAGAAAAGAGAGAACTGAAGAGCTTCCCTTTTGGTTGCAGCTCTGCATCTCACTGGAGACAACCACGTATTTGCACGTTTTTTACCCAGTGGAGATGGGTGAAGTTGGTTCTCCCAGTGAAAGGTCTCCACTCCTGCCTCATACTGCCCACAATGCAGCTGCAGATGGCTTATTGTAGAAGGTTCTGGTGCTGAAATGAGCCAATGGCACTTATGCTGCCCTCTGGCCTTTGGTCTAGAAGCTTACCTGCCCAGCTGCTTATACTGCTCATTTGGAGCAGTTATTAAAATGGTGTCTAATTAAGAATGCCACAGAGAGCTTTGTACAGAATACCCAGGGAACATCCTGGCTCATATGAGGCTCACATTCATTCAACAATGACTAGGTCCTTAAATGTTTTCCTTAATACTGTATTACATAGGAAAATATTTTAGATGCCAGAAATAATTTACTCTTTTATCAGCAGAAATTATTTTATTGCATAGTACAGGTTAAAAAGTATCATATAATCAAATGAGGTTGACACCTAGAGAAGGATCCCATATGTTATATATAACATGAAGAGTAAATGCATTGTTTGATGAAATTCCATCTGCTGAGCAATCAAGCACATGTAACCCATGCATGGAAATCACTTTCCAAGAAGGCAGGAGAGCATCCCACGTTAGGGCAGTCTCCAGTCCTATCCCCTCACCCCACCCCCTGACACGGATTCCTTGCTGCCAGCCAGCACATAGCTGAGGCTGCTTCCTTTGCCAGAGAGCTCTCTCATAACTAAGTGCCAGGCAAATGAATTCGTACATGAAAAGGGAACACCTAGCTAGTTTTTAGAGATCATATAGTTTTTCCCACATAGTACTTCTATCGCCTAAGGCAGACGTTCCAAAACTCCAGTCGCGCTAGTTAGTAGTGTAGCCTCAGGGCTGCCCCCTTCCCTAAGTGAACCAAGGGGAAATCAGCTGGGCATTCTTACCATTAATGTCCTAGGTCAGGGGCTGGAAAAGTTGTTAAGTGACAGATACTTGCAGGCCATTTTCCATCCCCAATGAAATTGGTAAGAAGACTTACAGAATCAAATTCCTCCTAGATGTTTATTTAGCTGTGGAGGCTGACGGCTACTATTAATGTCCAGATTCATGGGCCTTGTCTAGACCATGCCAAGAAAACTCAGTAAACTCGGTTCATTTAGACAAAAGGAAAAGAGGATATTTTCAATTCATTAACACATTGAATGACAAACAGCTTGACATTAGATAGACCATGGCTCCCTACAATTTTGTGTAGAAATACCCTTTTCTAAATATAAATGTATAATCTATGAAAACATAAATGTATTATGTACTGCAGAGTTTTTGGAGCTCACTAAAGATTAAAATAATAGGGCTTGATAAACTTGTGGAGTTTTGGTCTCCTAGTAGGCACTCTATAAATGTTTGTTGAATGAATGAATGGACAAATGAATCACATTTCCATTGTCCATGTGGTTGTGGTGTTGTGTGAAAGCAGCTTCTCAATGTGGTGCATATTTTCATGATATCATATAAAGGCCTAACTGAGAACTGCTCTGCTTTTCAGAATTCTTTGGTGATCTGGACACGCTGATGGGGCCTCTGACCCAGCACAGCAGCATGACCAATCTTGTCCGCTACGTTCGCCAAGGACTGTGTTGGCTGCGCATCGATGCCCACTTGTTGTAGTGGGTGTTCTCAGATCTCTAGCATCACGACCCATCACTCTACCTCTACCAGCGCACTGATGGTCACTGGTGGAACTCCACTCACTGGGGAACGTTCTCTTTGGTTATGTTTGTTTTTATGCTTCTTTTGTTATCTGTAAAAAACAGAAGTCATTGTAAGTTGACACTACAACTTAAGGGCAGTGTACGTTTTATTACTTAGTCATTTTTTTTCTTTTAGCATTTGATATGCATTTCTCAGATTCCACCATCTTTTTGTGCTTTATGGAATGACAGTCCCTACAATATTGTTTTAAGCCCACACTACCCAAAACAAAGAATGGGAAGCACTTGTGATAAAGACAGGCTCCTGAGAAATGCAACAAGTGGTCTTACATATACATGAGAACTTAGACACAAGGGACCATCCCCCAAACTCTACTCTTATACCCAGAAAAGAACATATTTCAGAATCTGTCAAACTTTTGTGTATCCCACAGATTCAATCTTCAGGTGAGAATTTTCATTGTCAAAACCCACTGGTTAGATGTTGTAGCAACATCATAAAATCAAGAGTATCAAGAAAATAAATGAGCATAGCAATGCTACTCTTAAAAAGATGCTATGCCACACAACCAGAGGACTTTCTTGTTAGCATCCCTTTCCTGATTCCCTATTTTGTTAATTTTAATGATAAGAAGAAAGGGTGACATTTATTTTGACAAGTTTTAGGCATCAGCTGGCATCAGTGTTTTTCAACTCCATTATTTGAAGTGTAAATCCTCACCTGGGGTTCTCTGTGTGCAAAGCTGTCCTTTTGAAGAACAGTTTGGTTGATGCATGCCTTAGTAGCCAAAATGCTACACTCTAGACTTACAAGTGGGAGTTAAGAGAGGTCTGGAAAGTGTCCAACAAGGAATTCACACCTCTGCCTCCTTTGCAACAACAACATTTACACAGTTGGTAAGTGGGTCCATAACTGGCAGGATTTTTAAATTGTATTTTGCTCAAATCTATGGGAACAAAAGTCAAGGTATCACTACCTAGAAGTAATGATATACAGTTTTCTTCCTAGTGGCTTGAAAATCTGGACTTCCTCAATTATTATTCACATTTTCTCTCTTATAGGTTTTCTGTTTTCTACTTTCTTTTTTCTCTTATCTGTGTTTCCCTTTCCTTTGTTTGGCTCATTAACTTTTGACTGAATTACAATTACTCCTTTTATTAAAGTCCATATTATTGTGAATCATTTCCATGAAAATTTCTAAGAAAACTCCAAACTCTCTAAATAGTAGCTAACTTTTATTTTTTTAAAATGAGTCGTGGGGTAGTGCTTCACCTTGAGATGCTTTGAAAGAGCCCTAAACATTGGGAACCATTCACCTAATTTGGAGACATTTCTCACTGGTTGTGACTACCCCCTTATGATCCTTCACATTCATTTTATGTCCCTAAACATCACAATGTAAATATCATTTTTGATGTTCCAGCTCACCAGAAGATTCTTACACTTGGGGTAAACACTATCCATGCATTACTTACTGGTAATTACCTGCTGGTATATAATTCCATGTAGCCTTTAATATGCTGGGTTATCAAATTCTGTTCACTGAGTTATGACCAGATAAATAATAGATATGCACATGAAAGATGCAAACTTGTGTGATTATTAAAGCCAGCCATGCAGGTCCATGATAGAAACAGCAGGTGATGACTCTGCACTCTCATTGTCAAGGTTAGATATATCCCCAGTTGCAAAACAGCCAGACTTGAGCTGTGCTCTGGTCATCTTTGAGTTTAAGGCCTTTTGTTGTATAAGGCTGTGGAAGTTGTACTCCAATGGCTGAAGCCATGTTGTTAATATGGCTGATGGGAGCATCCCTGCAGCTGAACCCAGCACTTTTTATGCTCCCACTGTGGTTGAGCTTTATGTTTACAGTCTCAGCAACAACACTTATGCATCCAAACACTCACAAATGAAACCTGAAAGAATCTTTTCTGAGCCTCTTAAAAGAGGAAAATGATGATAACATTAAAGACTCTGAACACCCAAGGTTGGTGTCACATATAAAAATTAAGCTGATGACTTTGCAGTGACTCAAGTTGTCTCTTTATCATGGTTTACCAGGTAGAGTGCCTGGCTATTACTATATAATGAAGCCCACTGGCTTGACTTGTAAGTTCAACCTAAACCACAATCCTAGACCATCATGGATTTAGGAGTAGATTCTTCTTGAAATCCCACATCCAGAAACTAGACATTAGAATGTTGAGGCAGTTTCCCAGAGAAACAAGCATATTGCCTCATGGATGAAAGACTTGTAGTTCTAGTTTCAGTGACTTGTTATATCTACTTACATACAACAGGGAGGCAAGAGGATTCTCTGTCATCTCTGGTGACTGAGTGTAAAATATGTGCCAAGTCTGCAGCACAGTGACCAAATCTGACAATCGAGCTCTGGATCACCACTTGATTATGTAGTAGACTCATTTATAAAGCAGCTTAGGAACTAATTAAACATGGAGGATGAATTACCTTCCTATCCCTTGAGATAAGACATCTTTCAGTTTCATGATTAAGGATTGTTGCTGTTTTATAGTTACTCTGTTCATCACAGTGTAAATGGTGATGCGTGTCGTAGGTGTGCAGCTATTTGAGGGACTAAGGGATGGAGATATTCTGTCAAATGAATCTCTTCAGTATACCAGTTTGTGGGAGGGATATGAGACATGTGGATGGCAGTGAGAGATCGTGCCTCTAGATCTTGATGGAGGCTTGGTGAGACACACTTAAATAAGCACGTGGAGGTTAGAATAGAGGGCAGAGTAAAAGGAAGCTCCATCTGAGCAAGTACACCAAATGATCTCAGCCCTGCAACTTGACCCAGGTAGGGCCACCACTACGCCTTCACTTGTCACCCAAGCTCCAACCACAGAGAGTTTGACAAGTTTGTGTTATGATGTTGGCTTGGCTTTGTATTTTTAATTAACTTTGGATTTTTAGTGGTTTTGTCATATAACTGTCTGAGTTTGGTAGGTAGGATTACTTTGAAAAGGGTTTACTAGTGTGGTCCTCCGGGTAGAATTTAGCTGTAAGCATGTTGTTAGCCAGCCTGTAGACTGTTAATTACTTAATAATCTCATTGGGAAAATACTAGTAGTTTTATATTTGGATGACATAATTGGAAAAGCAGATTAGCTGCTACTACTTTTAAAAGACTTAAGGTCGGGATGCCTTTTTTTCCATGTAAGGAAATGAAAAGACCAAAATCTTCAGGCAAAAAGCAAGTTGCAAAATTAGAAACCATTGGCTAAAAATGTGTTTTGTTGAGTTTCCAAATGGATGAATTTTCATTTGGACATTACATCACTAAATTCATTAGATTTTGTCTGCATTGGAAAGATACTCTTCTAGCATATCTTTCCCAAAGATATCTAATTTGGATTCTGTTTCATGCAAATTTGCATCCCGGAGGTTGAAGTTGGAGTTTGAGGTTGGAAAATATCTTTGAAGGCAGAATCAGTTGAGTTGTGAGGGTGAAGCCTCACATACTTCTCAACAGACATGATAAAATTCACCTGCATGAGTTGGCAGGTGGGAGAACCAAACTGGATCACTGGGTAAGACTACTCAGTAAAGCAATGAACTGCTTGCTTAGAGAAGCATCACTATCCCCATTGAGAAAAATGTGTGGCAAGATGATACAGCTACACAGTATCAAATGAATGGGTCAATTCAGCACCCCCAAATTTAATTCTGTGGGGAAAAATTATTGAGCCAGTTGTCAGTGTTCTGTTACATGACTGGCAGACTAAATTCTTCATCGTTGTTGTTATTGTTGTTGTTGTTTCTCATTTTCACTCGCACGGCCTTATTCTCATAATTAAAATCTAATTCATTTTCTCTTTAGTGTTAGTAGACTCCAACAACAGAAGTGGCATCTGTGTATTCATAATCAGCATTTACCCTGGCAGGAGACTAATCAGATAGGCCGGTCTCAGACATTAATCCTACCATCTGATATTTTTGGTGAAGGAAAAAGTATTAATTCTCTTTCCATCCTCCTCCTCAGAAATATAGAAGCCCTCTTTACCAAAATCATCACATTTTACTCTGTAATCTACCAGCTAAAAGAAAATTGCATTGTGGGGAGGGCAGAAAGGGGGTGGGGGTGGGGGCGGGGGGGTGGGGGGTGGGGAAGCCCCACAAAGCCAGATTGCAGTTCTTGCCCCTTTTTGCGTCTGACATGAGATGTTAAAGAATTATTCATAGTGCTCACATTGGGTTAGGGGACACTGAACTGCTTTTTAGATCCATGATCAGTCATCATTCTTCTAAGAGATTGGAGCTTTGCTGTTTCATTAACTGTGCAGTGTAGACTAATGGTGTTTAATAAAAATCATTCAAAATTTCAAACTCTTTTGCCAGTGACCTCAATTTTGTTGGCTCTGTGATTTGTATCAGACTTTGAGGAGGGAAGGGGGAAGTGAAGGAAGCCTACGTCCAGGCCCCTGACAGGATGCTGCAGTAGCAAGCTCAAGCTCGCCTGCCTGCCAGCAGTTGCTGGTGAGCAGCAGCATGCAGACCAGCTGTGGGAAGCCTCCTGAAGAATGCCCCAGCTGATGCTTTCAGCTGGGAATAGTTTGTTCCTATTGGGGAACTCATTGTTCTCCAGTCTCTGCAGCAGGAAGCCAGCTGTCATATTCGGAGGGAATTTCAGATGCTTTACCTTTTTGGTTTTGTCCTGCATCACTCATGTGGCTACGAAAGTGTCTCTGAGAATAGAGCCCAATGTGGTGACAATGGGTAGTCAAATGCACCCCAGATGCTCAAGCCCTGTTGTGGTTCTGCAGTGTTTATGAAATTGGGAGGAAGGAGACCCTGGACAGTAAGCAAAATTGGAGACACTCCAACGAGGCTAAGTTAATGCCGTGTTGCCCAGAACAAGATCTAGCTTCTCATTTGGTCAGCCTAGCATGCAACCAGTGGTGTGCTGGTAAAATGTTTAACAACCAGCTCGCTGAGAATAGAAAGCACCTGGTTTGCACCATTTGCCAATTTCCATGGCATAAATACTACCACTTTAGATGATTTTAAGCTACCAACTGTGATGTCACTGAACACATGGTTGGAAAGAGATGCACGCAGTTGGCTCTTGCAAGCCTGGGCAAAAATGCTTCAACACGCCACTGGATGCAGCCAGTCAGAGGGTTCATATTTAATATATGTGTTCATGTGGACACACACAGACACACACACACAAACTCACCCTTACACACACACTTCGATGACTAAAACAATTACATAGTTTTAAGATATGAATCAATGTGTGAATGTAGAAAGCTTATGATAAGGCCCTAGAGGTATGGGTTGCCCTGGAAGCCTAGGTTTTAAGCAGGAGAATAGCTGAGAAGAATGAAGCCCTCCTGAGCTGAAAGGAGAGATGGATCAATGGAGATGGTTCCATCATCTCCTTCCATATCTCACAGGTAAAATGGGCACTCAGAAAACCCTCACGATTGATTTTTTAAAAAGATAAGTGAGTGTTTTTTATTTTATTATTATTGTCATCATTATTTTGATTTACAAATGCTATTTGTAACTTTTACATGTAACTAGGATAAAGTATTTACGGGAACTCTATGGAGAATAGCACAATCCAGAATTTACTGTGTTTTTCTTTTATGTGACGTGGAAACTCAGTAATTCTCCCACCTTCACATTGTTGTTCATAAGAATTTTACTTTAGTTATTAGGGAATCTAAGTTTTTTGTTAACATTTGTTTTTAGTTAAAAGTATCTACTTACTGTTTTAGCTCTGAACTCAAACCAGAATATCTCTGTATCAATTGCATGACTATTCAGAAACAATAATCCAAACCAAAATAATTCTTTTTCCACCCAGTACGAAGAAAACTAAGCTCAGTAACAAGAAGGCATAAACTAAAGTATATAATGAGGCTTTCATTAAATACACACACACACACACTCACACACACACACATACACTTTTTAAATTTTTAAATTAGGCCTCCACACATAAATCATTTTGAAAGTAGAATAGAAAATCTCAAAGAATTCATTCTCCTGGTCCTGTGCATCTTCTGCAGTTAATAAGAGGTTTGTATCTGGAAAGATGGAAGAACTTGTTCTAAAATCTTATTTTTCAAAAAAAAATTTCCATTTTCTCTCTGGGCCTGTATCCATGGTTGAATGTTAGCCCTGGAGGAGATCCATGTCTTACTCGCTCTTTCTGGCCCTTCTGTCTTTTGCCTCTGCAATTCTTTTTGTAGCTGGCACGATAGCAGGGACTGGGGGTCTATCCTTTCATGGTATTGCTACAATATTTGTCCTTACTGGAAAATGGTAACATCCGGGTCTGATTTAATTGGCATTACACTTACACAGGGACTCTGAGCACCCCCGTCACCACACCAGACAGTGGACCAGTTTTCACAGCTACAAAGAGCTAGAAATGTGTTTAACATCATCCAGTGCATCCCCTAATTCAAAACCATCCTCACTAATCAATCATATTCACCCATAAATATTACAAATGAGATTGATTCCATCTCAAGACAATTTGTCAAATACTTAATTTTCTTCCTGGATGATTCTACTTACTGGATATTTTAGAAAGAGAAATGTCTGAGATAAAATCCCTCACATTTACTCAATATAACAAATTACTGTTTCTACTCCTATTCTGAGTAGTGCTTCTGAAGATT
This sequence comes from Homo sapiens, assembly GCF_000001405.40. Lineage (NCBI taxonomy): Eukaryota > Metazoa > Chordata > Mammalia > Primates > Hominidae > Homo > Homo sapiens. The sequence goes on from NC_000023.11 coordinate 148,998,040, forward strand.
GTTTGCTGTAGTGTTGTCTTTGATAAAATGAATGTCAGTAGTGAGCCTTTTAGAGATACCATGCTCAGAAATCCTCTTTGGGATCAGAAGATACCTAAAATTCTCCCCTTTTGCCCACTTGGTTAGATGAGTGATATATTCTTTGGATCCTGCAAAGAAGAGATTGGTTTATTTTCTTTTCTGGTGGTGGTAGTGGTTGTATCTGTGGCTGTGATGGTTGTTGTTACTTGTCTCTCTCTCTCTCTGGCTCTGGCTTTTGCTTTCCTGCTAGTGTTCTTTCTCTTTCCAAACAAATAGTTAAATTAAATGTGAGCTTCTGAATTGTACTTGTTCATACTTTCAAAACATAACAGATTAATAAAAATAGATGTGTCCTGATTTAAAACATGCCCCCTGGAAAGGCATGCTGTATTATGAAATCGTGATAATATAACTGCATTATTACATGGCAGTATAAATATTAGTCTGTTGAATTCATTTGTCCAATTGTATAACTTTGTGGAGCAGTGTTTTGACCTTTGATACATAATTCTGGAGCAAGTGGAGTGGTTGCAGGCAGATGAGACAGTGTTATATCAGGATTTTTCAATCAACTTTAGTTGGAGGCCTGGCAATTACAAACATCTTCAGATGTTTCTGTAACCATTATAAATATGAAAAAAACCTCTTCAAAAAATTTCCCATAGTACTTCAGTCAAGACTTTTTAGGTTTATCTTTTTTTTTTCATTTCTCCTTTTCCTTTTCCATTATTTTTCGATGGGGGGGTTGTTATCATTGACTGAAGAAATATTTTGATTGCAATGGTCTCTCTCTCTCTCCCCCTCTCTCTCTCTCTCCTCTATTCTTTCCTCCTTCCCTCTGTCCATCACCCCTCATTAAAATATTGAAATCTGGAGTCTTTGATAAATCTGCATTAGACCAGGCTATATGCTAGGAATGAAATCTGGGCAAATATCGATGGGTTTTCAAAGAATGCTCCATGTTCATTGGGCCCTTTCACACCCCACAGTGATAAATGAAAAGGATAGAGGTAGTTTTTTCAAAAGAGCACTTTAATAATATCCTCTGAGACCTAATGCAGTTTAACAAATGACTCCACCTATTTTTCCAGTAGGTAAATTGACTGAGACTTGCAAAATACCCCTGAGAGTTGTCAGGGGTGTCTTCTGCCTGGTCTATAGCGTGTGTGTTTGCTTTGTATCTAACAGGCACATTCACGTCTCGTGTACTCATATGAAGTATTTCCTAACATTCCCATTAGCCTGTATATAAGAATCAGAAAGATAATCCCAACATGTTGTAAATGAAGATGTGACTCTATAACCTTTCTCTTCTTCCTGGAAAAAAAAGGACATTTTCATGCATATTTTAAACAGAAATTTTGTATATTTAAGTGTCATAGAAAATATTTATTGAGTAACTGGGACACAAATGGGAATTTAATTGTCATCATATGCTTTGTGTGTGGGGATGCTTACCAACACCATGTCGCTGGACCATTGTGGCAAGCCATAACTGCACAAAGAGTACACATCGTCAGTGTGTGTGTGTGTGTGTGTGTGCGCGCACACACGTGCGTGTGTGTGTCCCTGCATGTGCAACATGTCTAGCTTGCTGTCCTTCATGGGATTTTAGCTTTCCCTTCTTGAAAAACATTATTTTACAGTTCCAGGAGGCCCTGGTTACATTACTATATGAAGGCAGTGATTTGAAATGAAAATTCCTTTCCTCTTGGAAGCTTTGGTCATAATATCATGGTTCAATTAAACGGATTCCACCGGACTTTGTGATGAAAAAGGCTCTGTTAAAATCCAATTGAGTTTCCAAGAGGAAATTGTAGTAGGTCAAGATGCATGAGAGGGAAGATGGAGGCCACCTCAACTGGAGAACATGAGCTGAGTTGAGCCCTCAGTGTTGAAGTTGACTTGCTCCAAGCTGCAGTCTAAAACCCTGGGGCCCGTGCCTGGCCTATGCTCCCTCCCAAGTAAGTAGAGGAGCAGAACCATCAGGAACAGCCTGCCTGGCTCCTATGAAGAAAACTTCCTGACGTCCTGTCCCCAAAGGAAGACCCTTTCCCCAAGGGCACCCCAGGTGGCCATTAAATTGTGATGATCATTCAGAAAGTGCCCCCTTGGCTTTATGAGAATCCAATTAGTCTTCTGAACCACCTTTTCTTGGGTGCAGATTTCCAACATTCATGCTCATTGCAGATCCACCAACTGTCACTGTTCTTAACAAGCATGCTCGTCTTGTCAGAATTTCAGTAAGTTCCAATTTCCTGTACAGACCAGGGTAAACTGTTCTAAAATCAATCAATTAATGAAATGTTATCTGGTTTTTAAAAGCTGGTTTCATGTGCTTTATGTGTATAAAACTATATCTGCCTGTGTGGCTTTGCATTTCAAATGTGTGGCGCACAAGCGTTTTGTTGGTGCTTTGTTCTCAGTACAGTAACTCTGTGTACAAACATTTTAATGTGGTTTTGTTGTTTTCCAACAAGATGTCTCTGTAAAAATGATATTGGCTGAGCTGGTGCGTTGGTTTCTCTCATAGAGGCATTAACTATACTGCCAATGCATTGAATTATTTAAAAATGCAAAATAAAATTTTTATGAAAATCTCATTTTAGACATGTAGATCATTCTGCTTAGAGACTTTCCAAGCCATAGTACCTTGTTATCAACTCTTCCACATTATAATACATAGCCAGTGCCCCCGCTTACATCAACAGCCATAAAACTGATGGCCATAAAGAAAATAACTCTCACAAAGCCAATTCATTTTATAAGAGAGACCCTTGGACCATCATTCAAAGCCCATTTAAGAGAAAATTGTAAAATATTAGTTATCTGGATTCCTAGTACACAGCACAAAAAGCTTGCAAAGTATAAAGTTATAACTAGTAGATGCTGACAAAAGAGAGAGAATTATAAAACTAGACTGAAAACTTAAAAACACAGCTGGCAATGGCCACTTACTGCAGGGGTATGCAGCCAGTAGCCCTGGAAGGACAGCACAAGCAATAATTTCGGGTCACAATAATGTCTGAAAGTCATCAGGAAAAGGTTAAGTATACTCTTAACTAACACAAAAACTCATGCCATATATGTTAGAACTGTTTCCTTCAAAAAGATTTCTGGACAGTTAAAGGGTAGGTTTCAGGTATCTAGAAATTTCATTTACATGAAATGTATTCTCTGGCCATGTAAAGTGAGGAATTGCAATGCTAAGACTACACGGCACAAAACACCTGTCAGTAAATGCAACATTAACAGCTTGGCTAGATTTCCTGTGAACAAATGAACTACACTTGGCTTGACCAGATATTTTGACTCTGCATAATCATAATCATAATCATAGTCCAAGTGTAAGCACGAATATAGCTAAATGTGATTGAAACTGATAGTTGTAATACCGCCACTGTGAATTCCAAATCCTTTCCAAAATGGAAAGGCCACAATATCTGTAAATATGAACATTTTTATTGTGAGATGATGGGGAAATATTTGAGCTGAGTAAATAGAGCTAAATGAATTATAAATGTGTTCTCAAGCAACCAAGTTGTTTTCTGCTTCTCTCAAAACAAACAGATACCATAAATGATGACCATGCCTGGGTAAAAGTATACACACATGCAGAGAAGAACTTAGAGGAAATATAGAGAATGACATTTTAAAAAATTAGGAGTGCTGGCATTATGCTAATTGATTAGTTTTTGTGACATTTACAACCAGTAAGGCACTACTGGCCAGGCACTGTTTTAGCACTTTCTTATATATTAATGCATGTAATTCTTGTAAAAGCCCTATGAGATAGGTACTAGTATATCTCTGTTGTATAGATGACAACATGGAGACACAAAGAGGTCTTCAGGAAAGCAACTTTCCTGAAGTCACACAGCCAGGTGCGTGACCCCAATGTGGCCCCAAAGGCTTTAATCTTAACCACTATCCTCTACTACTTGTTGTTATTATTAATAATGCTACTGATTCTATAACATATATTATTTTCATTTTAGAAACAAAAGTAAAGAAGGACCACAGGCCCTCAGGAAGTGATTTCCGCTCAGTCTTTCCAGAGGTCTCTAAAGGAAAGGCATTGGGCCAATCTTCAGAAACACCTTTTCCTATGAAGACAGACCAGGGCACAGGAGGAGTCAGCAACTCAGAAAAAGTTTGGTGAGGTGGGGCCCCTTAGTCTTGGAAGTAACAAATAGAAGAAGAGATGGCACCACCTTACTGGCTGTCACTCTGGCTGAGATAAAGATCAGGCATTGGATTGGCAGAGCTATTTATCTATGTATTTATTTATTTGAGACAGGGTCTCATTCTGTTGCCCAGGCTGCAGTGCAGTGGCACAATAACAGCTCACTGCAACCTCCACCTCCCGGGATCAAGTGATCTTCCTGTCAGAGGTGTTTGAACCAGAGCAGCTCTATCTTGAATAGGGGCTAGGTGAAATAAGGCTGAGACCTACTGGGTTGCATTCCCAGGAGGTTAAGGCATCTTAGTCACAGGATGAGATAGCAGTTCGGCAAAAGATACAGATCACAAAGACCTTGCTGATAAAAGAGTTTGCAGTAAAGAAGCTGGCCAAATCCTGCAAAACCAAGATGGCAACGGAAGTGACCTCTGGTGGTCCTGACTTCTCATTATACACTAATTATAATGCATTAGCATGCTAAAGGACATTCCCATCAGCACCATGATAGTTTACAAATGCAATGGCAACCTCTGCAAGTTACCCTATATGGTCTTAAAAGGGGAAGAACCCTCAGTTCCAGGAAGTGCCCACCCCTTTCCCAGAAAACTCATGAATAATCTACCCCTTGTTTAGCACACAATCAAGAAATAACCATAAAAATGGCCATCCAGCAGCTCATGCTACTGCTCTGCCTATGGAGTAGCCATTCTTTTATTCCTTTACTTTCTTAATAAATTTGCTTTCACTTTATTCTATGGATTTGCCTGAATTCTTTCTTGCATGATATCCAAGAACCCTCTCTTGGAGTCTGGATCAGGATACCTTTCCAATAACACTCCCACCTCAGCCTCCAGAGTAGCTGGGACTACAGGTGCGAGGCATCATGTCCAGATAATTTTTGTATTTTTAGTAAAGATAGGATTTCACCATGTTGCCCAGGCTGGTCTCTAACTCCTGCGCTCAAGTGATCCATTCACCTCGGCCTCCCAAAGTGCTGGGATTACAGGCATGACCACTGTGCCTGGCCGATTGGTAGAGTTTTAAAATCAGTTCACTTTAAGACAGGTCCAGCCCCACCCTAACTCCTACCCCTTGCCTCTGAGGTACAGACACTGGTTCAGAAGGGAAGTAGAACATCCCAGAGGAGTGAGTCCCCTGGGCTTTTGGCAGGATTTTAAATGAGGTTCTCACTGCCTGAATTAAGTGAGACATGTAAGAGGAAGAAAGCCCCGCTTTCTTCCTCGTAAAATGAAGTTGGTCATATCCACCTTCTCCCTGCTACCCAGAGATGAGCAAGATGTTATCTAGACTGGTGTTTCCCATCCTACATTCTCTCTTGGAAACCCTGAGGTTTTCCAAATAATTTCTTCTGACACACTGTCATTACCAAGGCCAAGAGACTTAATCCTCTGAGGGTGTAAGAGTAGTGAGGCAACTTCAAGGTTGCCTGTCTAGCAGGGGATATGCCACAAGTGGCACAGTGTATCACACAGAGGGCTAGGAATACACTGAGGCTCATGCTTTGGGGAAAGAATATGTTTAGTTTTGTGAGTTTCTCCAGGAAACACATTTTAGCTTAGGTGGGAGATTTTGTTTCAACCCCTTTTTAAGAAAAGGGAATAAAATTGTAAAAACGTTAGCTGTGATATGAAAGAGAATCTATACAATTTGTTAAGGGAAATTTGGCCAATACATTTCAGGTATAGGCATTTGAAATTGACTCATGTTATCAAAGCCCTTTGCAATTATGCAGGTCATGAGCTGGAGGTCTCCTGGGATTGACAGTTACACGAACTAGTGTGTGAGTTCAGGAGTTCAGTGAGAGGCAGGAAATGACTTTCAATCCCTGTCTTTCTAGCTCTGGGACTCTCCACCTTGAAGAAATACCGGGGGACTTTTAAAAATGCAAATGTCAGGCTTCCACCTCAGAGATTGATTCCATAGGTGTGTGTCAAAGTTCTCTGATATCTGTATCTTTTAAGGCTCCCTTTTTGGTTCTTATGTGAAACCAGGATGAAGAACCACAGTTCTAGGCTTATCAGAGAAAAGGCCCAGTTACCTATTTATCCCACCCACCTTTCTGCGGGAACAGGAGATAATGGTGCTTCTAGTGCTCTAGAAAAAACATCCCACAGGAATCCAAGCTCTGAGTATTCTTCTCCAGCGAAGGAATTTCCTTTCATGCTTTTATAACTCTCCAGGAATTTTCCAGTTAGCTCAAACCACAATGCACTTGAACATATTCTCATTTCCAAAATAAGATAAGCCCTGCAGCAGGCCATAGATGTAAGGGGACACTCATGAGGAAGAATGTACCTCTCTGGAAACAATTCTCTTCAGCATGGCTGGACCTGGGCAGAGGATTATGTTGTGGATCTGAGTTTCTCCCACAATTCTCAACTCTGAGGACACAGCAGTGAATGACCAGAAAGGATCCAGAAGGAACCTTCTCTCATAGAGGTTCATTTTAAAAGTCCTCCCTACAGTCTTCCCCTATGTTGTTTACATTTTCATAGCAGGCAAGGAATGTTTAGTTCAAAAGCCCTGGGGACAAAATCAAAATTTTACACAACAAATTGTTTTAAATATAGCCAGAATAAGCAGATTTTTAGCAGTTTAGAGCCTGCTTGTTTTGCATACCTCATGAAACTGTGCCCAACATCTCTTAGGCATAGATCAGGTAACCCAGATAAAGACCATGGCTGCTCTTCAGAGCTGTCTGACCCAGAGACTCCCCACTGAGTTGCTGAGTGATATCACTCTTTCCCCTCTCTCTCCCCACTACCAGGTCCCTAGCTCTCCTCCCCTTCCTAGTGATGGCCTCTGGACCCTAGCATCTGGAAGGTCTGATTCTGTGAAGGACTTTCCCTCACCCCTCCACATGCAAACCTGTCAGTGTCATCCAAATAAAGCTTGTTGTGTGCTACTGCCACCTCACGGTGGTATCCTTTTCCTTGATCAGCCCCCAAATTTCCGCAAACTCACCACACCAGGAACCAAAAAAGGGCCTTGAAATGTCAACTGACAGGGGGAAGAGGCAAGCTTTATTTGGGGTCTCCTCCTGGAAGCCCCAAAGCATCCTGGCCACCCCCCTAAACTGACCAAGTCTTGGGCCAAGAATCACTGAATAAGTTCCATGATAGACACCAAACACATCCTAAAGCATTGCCTTCACTGAGAAAGAGCCAGCTCCTTCAAAGTATGGCCCAAACACCTCCAGTGCCCCGTAGGTGTGCCTTGCTCTGGACTTTAGACCCAGCTCATCTCCCACACTCTGGCACAGAGCACCTTCAACTTGGCTGAGCTTTAAACCTTACTAATTCTGGGAGCCCATCCCAGAAATTCTGATCTAGTTGACTTGGATACTACTCTCTACCTCCAACCCTCAACTTCCGTAAATGGGTAGTTTGTAAGGTTTTCCAAGTAATTCTAATCAGCAGTCAGAACTAAGAATCCACTTTCTAGCCAAAGCTGCTTCATCCGGGGCTGTACACCTTACCCCCTACCCCCACCAATGTCTGGCAGTGGTGGACTGGATCCTTGAATATGGCCAAATTTCTGGGCCCATAGCCTATCTTTGGTAGATAATCAAAGGTCATTCAAAAGCCATTGGACATTTGGGCTTGGGAACTCATATGCAAACCTCGTGGTGTACACTTAGCATCCCAGAATAGTCTTAAAATCCCTGTGAAATCTGTTATTAATAGAAATAGCCACCGACAAAATAATCATAATCTTTGCTAATTAAACTGTCAAGTGTAAGTTGTAGTCCCTTATGAATTAAGCCATGCCAGTGCCTTCTCAGATTATAACCCTTAGTTTGGGGCAGAGAGGAGGCCTAGATTTCCATCTAAGCTCTAGGGAGACATGCACTGGTGTCCCATGATTCCATCAAGTCTTTGAGTGAAATAAAGGCTCTTTAAGAGAGACAGCATTGTTTAGGGCACATCTGGTTACAAGATGACTGAGAAAAAAGTTTCTTCCGTTTGGGATTTCAGAGTTATATTTGACTATCCAGTTGAATCCACAGTCTTAATCAGCTCAGAACACAAAACACATCATCTGCAAGGTACAGGCGATGTCTTATGTTAGCTTCTATTATTGGGTAACAAAGTATCACAAATTTAGTGGCTTAAAACAATGTATGCATTTATGACCTCTCAGTTTCGGTGGGTCAGGAGTCTGGGCACAGCTTAACTGGGTCCTCTACTCAGGTTCTCATGAGGGTGCAATCAAGGTATTTGCCAGAGCTGTGATCAGCTGCAGCTCTGGGTCTCCTTTTACACTTCCTCGGGTTGTTGGCAGAGATCATTTTTTTTGCAGCCATGAAACTCAGGTTATCTTGCTTCCTCAAGACCAACAGAAGATGGGGCCTGTCCTCTAGACCCTCTTTCAAAATATCCCCTAATTCAGACCCACCCAGAATAATCTCTGTGTTAATGAACTCAAATTAAACTGATGAGGGTCCTTAATGACTTCTGCAAAATCCCTTCACCTTTGCCGTATAATGCAACCTAGTCACACAAGTGACATTCATTGTCTTCACAGGTCCTGCCCACACTCAAGGGGGCTTATGCAGGGTGTGCATACCAGGGGGCCTGAATCTTATGGGCCCTCTTAGATTTATTTCTACCCCATTCCCCTTAGGTGCAAGAAGACTTCTCATCCTGCACAGAAGACTCTTGTGCCTTCCTATTATCCCTGGAGCAGTGGACCTGGAGCTACTTAAACTATGGCCTTGCCACCAACACCATCCTTTTCTCTGTGCCTTAGTTTCTCCAAGCAGAAAATTATTCAAACAACCCTTACTTCTGTGCTGCTTAAGGGAGCGTTATAAATTAATGAATTAATTGTGTTAAGCTCATTAGTCAGATGAAAGGTGCTATAGAAATGCAAATTATTGTTATTTTGAAATCTTGTGGCTGTCATCAGAAAATTCGCACTTAGCTATTAGACACTGTGCCTTTGCCATCTATCAGCCCCCAGTTCACTAACAATGCTCATATTTTGCTTCAAACCATTAATTTGGAAATAACCACCTTGGTGCTCATGATGTGCTGATGAGGAATTATCTGCCCTGGGAACTTGCCAACAAGAATTATTTAAAAAAAAAAAAAAAAAGATTTGCATTAGCTGAAGCTCAAAGAGGAGAGCCAATGAGGAAGAAGGAAGAATATATTCCCACTGTTTGCTTCTCTTACCCTCCAGAGATTGCAGAATGGTTTCTGACATCTCTCACATCCCAGAGAGCCCCAACGTCCTGATGGGTGAGGTGCAGATTGACTCCTTTTCTTTTGACTATAGCTGCAGCTGCCCTAAGATGACGTAAGGTTTCCTGGCCAGGGGGCTTGCCAAGGACAACTTCCTTTTCTGGTCCCTGCTTTCCAAGCACTCCTGGAAGACCTAAGCCCTGCTCCCCACGTAGCATCAGACTCTTGATGGGGCCAAGTTTTATTTCTCTCAGCCTTCATCTATAGTCCCTGCCTACTTCCACCACTTCCCCTTGAGCTGTGCATATTCTCCTGAGCTTTTTCCTTGCAATCGACCCTGCCCTTGTTGGTCATGGGGGAATCTCTTATCTACAGGCAGATCCTTTATCTTTTCAGGAAACCCCTAGCCTGTCTCCAGCCCTAGAGGGTTCTCTTAAATCCATCCTCCTTAGGAGCACTTCCCAAGGTTTACCCCAGCCTCTGCCTCTCTGTCCTGCTGTAGGAGCCGATGGGTAGAGACAGGATTGAGTGGGTGGGAAGGGAGAGGAAAGCAGGCCTTGACCTAGAAATACCCAAGTCTGAGGCCTTTCGTTTGTGCTCATCCCTAGCTGGTGCAGTACCTCTCACTCGCTGTACTGACAAAGGGCTGGACCCCAGCTGCTCCACACTCTTGAGGTCGTCCAGCCCTCCACTAGCTCCAGGAGACTTCCATGTAGCCAGTGGTGTCAGAGCTGTGCAGCTCAGCTGTAATCCTCCCAGGGACAGGCTGACAAGATTTGAATGTGCAGAGTTGTAGAAGCCAGCTGGGAATAGATCTGCCATTCTCCTTAGCTCTGAGCTGGAGAAAAGTTCTAACTGCTTGCCATGGAAAAGTCTGAAGAATTTCTGCCCTTGGGTCAGTTGTGCCTAGTTATGGGTTGAATTCACGTCAGAGTCCTAACTCATAGTACTTCAGAATGTGACCTTATTTGGAGAGTCTTTCAGAAGTAATCAAGTTAAAATACACTCGTTAATTTCAGTGCTAATCCAACATGGCTGGTGTTCTTAGACAAAGGGGATATTTGGAGACAGATTCACATAGAGGAAGAAGGCCATGTAAATGTGAAGATGGCCATCTATAAGCCAAGGAGAGAGGCCCAGAACACATCCTTCCTTTACAGCTCTCAGAAGGAACCAACCCGCTGATGCTTTGATTTTAGACTTCCAGCCTCTAAATCTGTGACACACACATACACACACACACACACACACATATATATGTATATTTGAGATGGAGTCTTGCTCTGTCTTCCAGGCTGGAGTACAATGGCACGATCTCAGCTCACTGCAACCTCTGCCTCCCGGGTTCAAGTGATTCTCCTGCCTTAGCCTCCTGAGTAGCTGGGATTACAGGCACCTGCCACCATGCCTGGCTAATTTTTTGTATTTTTAGTAGAGACAGGGTTTCACCATGTTGGCCAGGCTGGTCTTGAACTCCTGACCTCAGGTGATCCACCCACCTCGGCCTCTCAAAGTGCTGGGATTACAGGCATTGAACCACCACACCCGGCCTTACTTTATATTGTTTAAGCAACCAAGTCTATGGTACTTTGTTATGGCAGTCCTAGAAAATTAATATAGCAGTCATTCCTTTATTTGATAAGTAGTCATTATGTGGACAGTATGAGGTTCTGGGACCTCATGGGGAAGCAAAACCAGATACTCCCCTACCCTCATGGATCATATGGTCCAAAGGGAGAGAGAGCCATCCAGCAGGTATTTACACAAATAAATGGAAAATTGCAACTAAGATGAATACTGTGAAGAAAAATTGCCTGCTACTGTAAAAGCCTAGCGCATAATGGGAGGTGGGTGGCAAGTCAAGGAAGGCTTCACTGAGGAGGTGTCACTTGATCTGAAACCTGAAAACTACGTAAGCCTCAAGTAGACAAGGAAGAGAGGGAAGAGCAGTTCAGGCCGAGGGTGTACTTGGTACAAAGGCCCTATGCTAGGACCTGCTGCAGGCCCCCACACAGACTCTTAGATGGCCTTCCAACATGCTGTCACCCTTACAGCCCATGCATGAGTGCCATTAGCCATTGTCAGCTCTGTGAGGGCATACCCAAAGGACCCTCAATGGAGGATACCCATCACTAAGGGAGGAAGAATTCTGATGAGAAGAAGGCCTGGGAACTAATGCAAGAACAGACTTGCCCAAATACTGGCTTCAGTTTTCTGCCCTCTGAGTCCATGACATATGCACCAAAGACAGCACAGGTGTCACATGATGGAGTCATGAGAAGGCTGGCCTTGGCTGGAATAGTCATTCTGCCGCTTTCTGGTCAACTCATCATTTAACCTTTCTGAGTTTCATTTTCTCACCTGTAAAATGGAGACAATAAAGTGCCTCCCAATTTTAACCCCATATAAAGGGTATATATAGCACAGGAGAAATACTCAGTAACTACTACTATTAACCTACCAATTCTACCCATACTTTACTCCTCTACATTCACATATGGCATTGGGATTGTTTCTGGAAATGGGGAGTGGTAGACACACTATACCCATAAGATTAACCTTCCCTAGACCCCTTAGCAGAATACAGGTGGTAGGGTATGAGAAGGCAAGTCAAGCAGGTTGGGCCCTGTGAGGGGAGGTCGCCTCCAATTAGGCCAAAGGCCAGTGGAATGGGGATTGAGTAGTCAAGGAGAGGAGGCAGGGCCAAGGGAGCTGCTCCAGACCTGCCTCCAGCCCCAACTGGTCCTGGCCTACCACTTCTGGCCACGTAGCTATATTTCCTTACTGATTTTCAGGGACTGTAATTTATGGCTTGGCAAACTATGACTTCTTTGTAGTGGAGACATTGTGTTTGTTAGCATAATCATTTCGCAGAAAGAATGTCAATAAAGGCTGGGGAGTGAAACACAAAACCCCCCACAACCCCAACTGCTAAATAATTTCTGGAATGAGTTGTCAGGAACCTTTTATTTACTGATTTTGTGCATTTCATTTATTTCTGGCACAGGGCCAACCTTCCTGACAGTTAAGATTTATTGATTTAATTGCCTAGGGTAACCATGCAATAAAATCATCTCAAAGATAAATTTTCATGGCACTGTGCAGCATAGAGGTAATTTTTCAAATGCTACGGCTATATTTCTGCAGGTTACAGGTGCAAAATTTGCTTAAAGCTGGGATGTCTCATTATTGCAGCTCAGGAACATTGGGGACCAGCTCTTTGGTGGAAATTCTATAGAGGAGAGAATGAGACACACAAAGAGACAGAGAGAGAGAGGGAAAGAGGGAGGGACAGGGAAGGGAGAGAGAGAGAGAGAGTGAATGAACAAGAGAGCACAGCCCTTTCAGGAAAGAAATGATATTTCCTTAATTGGTTCATATATTCAATGCCCATGAGAAAGTGGGGCTTCAGTTTAATTAGGAATGGGCTTGGAGGTTATTTACAGTGTTCTGTGGAATCATTTGTTTCCAGCTGTGCGACACTTTGTATGGCATGAGCCTCACAAGGTAGATGATTGCCACTTGTGACATTGCGTTTATTGCTTCTTTAGATCTTTTTATTTACCCTGTTAAAGTGCTCATATGGCTTCGAACAACGGGTAAATGAAAAACTCTGATTAACTCCCAGGTTAATGGTAACATTTCGGGAAGTCAGAAATAGCATAAACTTTTAACAATGTGAAATCTTTTCTTATCTCTCTTGATTTATTTTACAGTGTTTTTGCTTTGATTGCAGGTTTCAGATGGTGCCATTTAATAGCTTATTAAACTTGCAGCCTAGCAGGTCTGCTGTTTGGGTAAAATTTTATTTTTGCTCAGGTGTAAACTTTTGGAGCAGATAGGGATTTTTTTTCCCACTTTATTGAATTCCAGTGACCAGGGTCTGGCTGATTTTCTCAGATGTTCTTTGTGTGATGCAGGACCATGCAGGAACCAGTCTGAAATTGTTGCCCTTGAAATTTCATCCTTGCCCATAGTGGAGAAGGATGACAACCTGGGATGGGAAGGGGAGCTTCAGGCTTTTCAGATGAATCTGAAAAAGGAGCCAAGAGCTATTAATATATGTTATATTTAAATTGAGCCCCAGCCTCCTCAATGCTCAGATGGTGAAACTGAAGCCCAGAGATTTAGGAGTACAGCTCCTAAAAGCAGATCTTCTGATGTTCAGGGCAAATAATCTCGTTTTTCTACTACCTATACTGCCCTGATCACATTACTCACTGCAGTATAGTCCAAGTGCACATTAGCTTGGGAGACATCCCTCTCTTTACTTCAGTTTCTGTTTATAGATAAAGGGGGTTGGAGTAGATGCTCACTACGTGCTCACCTACCTCTGACTGGCTGTGATTCTACGGACATGTGCATATCTAGCCAGTCTTACTCCCACCACCTGGCCATTAATACAACTGAACCATTCTCCCCATGAACCATTAGACTTCATGAATTCAATATGCACATGTGCCAATGGCCCAGACTCACATGATCCACTGTTTCATGGCTACATATTCTCTTCCAATGGAGTAGGCTTTGCATAGTTCATAGCTTGTGATTTGCAGAACTACAACAAAGTGAAATTAGACTTTGACTAAAGAGGAAGCGATGGAAATACGAACTAAAATGAAGTGGTGAGCACAGCTGACCGTGCAGACATGTTTCCCTGCTGTAGCCAATGGCTGGGTGGAAACTAATCTGATGTGGGGGTGTCTGTGGCAATGTTTCTGAGGGTCAGTGCCAGGACTGGTTGCTAGGCACTGGGTCTGTGTGCGTGCATATCCACATAACCCACCCAGATGTGGAAAGAGGCCATTCTAACTAGGGTCCTACACAGGAGGGAGTGTGAAGAATGAGAGGCTATGTGAGCATTGAGGGGATCATACCAAACCTGGCTCAAGTGTCCTGACTGGCCCCTGCCCAGCAAACTAAGGTTTGGGGTGTTCCATATTTGCATTGCAGCAACAGCCTCATATCTGTTCTTTCTGCTTCCACTCTTGCCCTCTCTAATATACTCTAACTGTAGCCAGAGGCACCTTTTTAACATGCAAATCTGATGATGCCAATTCTCCATTTATAATCCTTAAGAGACTCCCCATCACTCCCAGGATAAAGTCCAGAAGCCTTGGTGCGATGTGACAAGACCTGAATGTCCTGGCGCCTGCCTTGCTCTCCAGCTGTCCTCTTCCAACCAATTACCAATTCCTCTACAGCTTCATTGAATGGGCCAGCGATCAACTCAGGTGCACAAATGAAGCATGTGCATGCGTATGTGCATGCGTACCTGTATGTGCGCACACACACACACACACACACAAACACACAGAGTTCTCCTTGATTTTCTCCTTTCCATAATCACTTATATCCAATCCATCAAGAAGTCCTGTCAACTCAACTTCAAAAACAAATTCATAAGCCATCTCTTTCCTTCACCTCCACTGCCTCCACGCTGGTTCAAGCCACCATTATCTCTCATTTGTTCAGTAGCATATTAAAGAGTCTTAAAAGTCTCCTGGAAAAGGAAAGCTCTTGAACTATGGTTAACCCTCAAGTTACCAAATATATTTGACAATGACTTTTGTTGAACAACAGTTAACATTCACTCAGCAACTATTTTTTGAGGGCTTTATGTTATAAATTGTCTAGGTGTTGAGAATATATCATTGAAAACAAAAGGACTAATTCTATGCTCTTACAGAGCTTACAGTCTAGTGAGGAAGAAAGGCAATACACAAAATAAACTCTAGAACACCAGGTAATAAGTGCTGCTCAACTGTGACAAGAGGATGACTGGGAGGGATTCAAATGAAAACGCGCAGGGTTGGCTCTCCACAGGAGTACAGACAGTTCATCCATTGTGACAGAAGGGCATGCAGTGGACATTGGCACACACATCTGAGAATGAAATGTTCTAGTGTTCCAGGAAAATGTGCAGGAAATTCTACCTAGAGGATAATTGCCTAACTCAAAAAACTTCTTGCTCCAGCTGAGTTTTTCACTATATCTTAGCTCTTGTCAGCACTGACCCCTTCTTCCACCCCTCCAACATACTCATACGCCTCTCCACTCCAGCAGCACCCGGCTACTTTCCATTTCCCCAAAAATACCTAGTGAATTTCTTTACCCACACGGCCCTCTTTACTTGAAGTGCAGATTCCCCCCTTCTTTGTCTGGCAAAATCAGACTTGTTTTTGTATCCCTTATCTCTTTAGCAATTAGCACAAGGTCTTGCCTGGAGTTGATGCTCTGAAAATCGTAACTTGAATTGTTCTACCTTACTCTTTGCTTATTTAACTCTTCCCTTCCCACAGCCACACCATTGTTATTACTTTTCAAAGGAGAAAACTGAAGCCTCACCACAAGACTTCCCAGGCCAAGAGGCTGTCATGCCCCATTTGGACACAGAAGGATGTCTTAAGGCCTCTGGCCCCCAGTGCCCCAGATATCCCTAAGAGGAAGCCCTATAAGAAGAATGGGAAGCTCAGAGTTTCTCTGCCCCCTCCCCTCTACAAATCCTGAGAGTGAAGGCTCAGCTCAAACCAGCACTTCTGAGTCTCTGATTCTTTCCACTTGTTCCCAAGTTACTACAAGGGGGCATGTGAAAGCAATCAAGGTCCTTCCCCAGGCAAAGAAGACAATGGCCAATAAAGGGCTAGTTCTTGCCAAGAGAGTGGTTTGGGGACCATAGAAGGGCAAGGCTGAAAGTTGATCCCTTGTGAAGATTTCTATGAGCTTGTTAGGACCCAGTTAGTCCAAGGTAATGGGTGGAAAAATGAAGGTCTCCCTCATATGGAAGACGTTAAGATTATAAAGCAGGAAGTTCATGGTAGGGAGTATATTAAAAAGCACACATTGGTGCTAATTTGGAAACAGTCATTTGGAAGAATGTACAGGAATGGAGCAGATCTGGCAGTGCTCTCTTGTATAGAAAGCTGGGGGTATATTTCTCAATTGATCACCAGCCGGAAGTTCAAATGCACCAAAGCCTTTATGGCTCCGCATTAACATTTTAAAGTCCACTGGGACATTCATGTCTCTCTAATTAGAAAATTCCCATTGTCAGGGGTTCGAGGCTTCCAGCCTGACAGAACCACTAAGGACCTTTCCAATGTAGTGGTCTATCTGCACCTGTATAGAAGGAATGGCCAGTTTTCTTGGCTTGTCTATGCAGGGAATTTACCAATGAATTTGGCCTGGTGTGCACTACAGTGACCATTAAAATGTAAGCATGACACATGTAAATTCAGGCCAGAAGTGTTTAAATAAACTTCAGTGGGTAGAATCTAAAGCTGTTTCTGTTGCTGAATGGGTTCAACTCACAGGCATGTGTCCGTGAACACTCTGCTGATTTGCTATCACCTTCATGAGCCTGGTTGGTGTGCTGGCAGCAGCCAGGATAAAGCACATTTCCCATTGAATCAGGTCATTGCTATGGAGCCAAGCAAAACACATCACTTGAGGTTTCTTCTACCTATAGTAGTCCTTCCCCAGGGTACCTGTGTCTTAGCATGGCCCACTGGATCACGATGAGAGAAGCCAGTAGCATAAGCCCCGACTGCTGATTCAACAGCAAAGTAGAACATTGGAAGAAACTAAACTGGGTCTTCAGAGATCATCTCATTATCTCCACCTGGGTCTGGCTTCATATTGATTTGAGCTGCTCTGCCTACGTCCCAGCCCCCATCTTCTGTGAAGCTATCCAATGTCTCATTTACTCATATGATCATGAGCTCAACAGTCACTGGACACTCACTATGTGACGAGCACTTTTGCTGGTCATTAAGAATACAAAAATGAATGTGACAGGCTCCCCTCCTCAAGGGGAGACAAGAGGCCCCCACAAAACCTGTGCTGAGAGACCTGTGGGTGGTGATGAGTACATAGCCACATGCCCCTTTCTCTACGTCAGCAGATGTCAAGCTTTATATTCTTAATAACTATTGAGGACCCTAAACAACTTGCATTTACGTGGATTATGTCTATCACTATCTACCGTATTAGAAGTTAAGACTAAGATATTAAAAATATTAATTTGTTAAGTAACTATAAAATAAAAAATCAATCCAGTACATGGTGTCATAAACAGCACGTGTTTATGAAAAGCAACTATATTTTTTCAAAACAAAAATTATTTAGTTAGAAGAGATGCATTGTTTTTCAGTATTTCAAATGTCTAATCTCTGCCTTAATGAAAGATAGATGGATTCTTCCACTTCTGCATTGAATCTGTTTGCAGTATGTTGCTCTGTTTGAAGTATATGAAGAAAATGCACATAGATACGCATTTAGAAAAAATAAAATTATTTTAATAGACCAGATAATTTTGAATATTCTTCACTGATGCAACATGAAAAATCTCAACAAAAGGGGCTTTTTAAAAAGTTTAGTAACAATAAAGATCTAAAACCATATCAATGAATGATTGTACTCTGCTATGTTAAAATCCATTGATCTATCACTTTGAATGGATTTTTAAGCAGTCATGCTTTTGTAACACTGTGCACTGTTCATTTGGAAAGCATTGGTACCCTGGGTTGCGTCTATCTTTTAAATGATGATACCTTTCATTATGTAATACCCCAAAGCCACATTTGTTAGTATCACCACTGATCTGATGGAAAATGTCTTTGGCTTTTGGGAAGCTGTCAAGCTCACAGTGGTGAATCTACGTTTCCCAAAATTCTAATTTTTGCTCCAAAGCTCAAATTTTGTCATTGGAAAGAAATTAATTTGTTTTTTATTTTTGAAGTGGCAGGGTCTCTGTGTTCACTTTTGAGAAGATGTTTACTAAATACTTAAGTCTAAGTCACCATAGATTGTCCCACGTAATTTCAAGTCAAAATGGGGTTCTATGGAAAAAAATTCAGCCAGTTCATCTCACAACTCAATTGCACAAGTGGTTTTCTTTGAGTCAACAATTGTACTATAGTGTATAACAAATGCTTTATATGTAGTTCCCATTTTGTCACACAGAATATTAAAAAGACCTGTACTCAAGGCTTGAGCTTTCATAAAATTAATAACTTTTTCTACTTCTTCAAGGACATTCTTAAGTGAAACTGTTTTTTTAACTGCAAGTGTGGCAGTGAAGAAGTCAAAAACTACTAGTACAGTTTGGCATTACTGGTTTGATTTGTACCCAGGTGCCAGTAGTTTTACTCACTACTGCTTTTGCACCATCTGTGCAGATGTCAAGCCAGAGAAAAAAGCAAATAATGAAAATAGTTTTTACTTCACAGAATCTCCAAAAGAGTCTCTGGGTGCCCATGAGTCTATGGATCACACTTCAAGAATCATTGTTCTGTTTAATTTTCATGCCACTCCCTTTAAAATGGGTGCCTATGTTCACCAGACTCTGGGACCTGTGCCATTGAGTCTGCCTCTATGCATAAACCCCATCCAGTTTGCAAACTTTGTGAGGATGGGGTTCTGCTCATTGTTGTATTCATGTCATCAGGCACAGGGTCTGATATGTGGCAGGCCCTCCTTTAATATTTGTTGAATGAAAAAATGAATGAATGAACGAATGAATTGCTTGAGAGTGAAGCTGAATATAGGGTACTGTGAAAGGTTCACCAGGAGGTGGCTACTATGCTCTTTATTTCTCCACTTTTCTGATTTCTGTATATGTAAGAATGGACTATACCGCTCATGGAAGAGTAGTGCTTTCAGAGATGAGCAAAAGCTACATTTACAGAGCCTTCTCTGCAGGGAGTGTTTGCAGAAGCCCTAAAATTGCTAACTCAAAGGGAGCTTAGTGAGAAAAATGAAAATTCCACTCCTTTTCTTGCAAAGGCTATTTCATTTTCCATTTTAAGATACTGATGATGCTGCCCTAATGGGGTCTATTGACAGAGGAGATGGAACCAGGAGGGCCCTCAGGGAGAGAAGGCTGCACCTAAAGGGCAGATTGGAGTGAATCACAATGAGGCACATAAAATTGGTCTTCTGAGCCACTCCACAGAAAGCCTTAGACATGAAAGCCACATTTGAAAACAAATCTCACATTTAAAAGGTAGCTCACATGGATCACAGAAGAAGCAGGAGCTATGTGCAAGAGAGACAGCAACCCTCAGGGAAGTTTTCTCCTGTTCTGAGTTGTGTGTGAATTAGTCCAGCAATCATGACTGTGGGAAACCCTTCTGTCGTGTTCACTGTGGCCTAGGACATTGCCTGGCCAACAGTAGGAGCTCGATTGAATTAATTAATTAATTAATTAATTAATTAATGCTGAGAACTGTATAATCCAAAGATCACATTTTACCACAACAGGCTACTCCTCTTTACAGACATCCACCTTACCTGCTTTGGTTCTGGTTTCCACAGGCTGAAATGCTATTCTTTGTCAACATCAACCTCACCCTACTCACCCGTGAGTCTCCATACGAGGCCAACCCCCTATGAAGACACTGTCTTTCTCAGGCCCTGACTCCACTTGCCATGGAAGAGTTGACCTTAGCTAGGAGCACAGGCAAGATTTTTTTCTCCCCATTCTACAGTTTAGAATAGTGCTGGAGAAGGGGCTGTCCATAAAGGCGGGGCTGCCCCTGGGATGTGCAGGGTCCTAGGCAAATATTTTTGTGGGTTCTTCTCTATATGAACAATTTAATGAAAACATGTATTGTGAAATTCATGGGCCCACATGAGGTATAGTGATTTGTTGATGAAGATTGAGCATTACAGGGGGAGAGGAGGTACTTAGTTGTCTGTTTACTGTGCCGTTAGTGCTTGTGAAGTTTCCCTATAGGGTTCAGGTTCCACATCATCTTGTCTGGGCTCAGCAAGCATGTCTTTATGTTCCTAATTGTCTAATGCACCACACATGACTAAGGTGATATCTCCCACTGAGAAGAAAAGAGAGCATCGCTGTTGTTGCTCAGTGTGCCATGGCTCTTGAGCACCTACTTGTACTGAAACAGTCTAGATCTTCTTGCCTCTACAGGCCCCTGATACCCTTAAGTTCATGCAGGCTACACCAAGACCCATGACACTGCCATTATCCACCAGGCTGCCTGTGAATATCAGCTCCCTGTGGACTCTCAGACGTTGTTACTGTGCTTCGTTGATGATGAGCACAAAGGCATACCTTCTCCAGAGTGTGCAGGAAAATGTGAACAATATATCACTTTATGGTCATGTTCAATATACCATTTGGCACTTTATAGCACACATGTAGAATGACACATCTTCCAACCATAGCCTCTCTTGAACCCTGGAGGCCATAATCATCGCATTCCTAGGATGGGATGTCTTTCCATGTTGACTGCACCCCTGCATTCTACACATGCCACCACAAGCAGGGAGGATGAGTGGCGGGGGCAGGGGGCCCATTGGCAGAGCATGAAAAGTGATCACATTCATGTAAGGAATGATCATGACATCATCACATGATTGAAAGCAAAATAGGAAATTTATCAGAAAGGCCCATTGAAAAAGTGAGACAACAATATCAGAAGCTCACAGAGATAGAAATAGTTAACTCTATATGACTGCTTGACAAGTGCCAGAGAGCCCATAGAGTGGTGACCTGGGTGTCAGTGGAAGGGGTCATATCAGGTAAAAAACTCCTGCCACAACCTCCACCTCTGGTGCTATAGACTAGAGGTGGGCACACAGATGGGCAAAGACTCATGCATGGGCCCACACATGCAACTCAAGCCCAACTGGTGATGGTATACTAACAGGATCCTGGGGCTCTGAGCCTATCCTATGTCAGTCAAGTCAGCATGTCAGCATTATTCTAGCAGCCCAGTCTTGCACAATTTCCTGAAAGAAATGCCATACAAGACACTGGAACAACTTGTAGATATGAGTCCAGGAGCTCCAAAGGGGATCTAGATGACCCCATGATCACCTGTGCCCTGTGAGGGCACCACAGGGAAATCGGTGGAGAGTACACAGAGAGAAGAAATGGAGACTGGAACTTACATCGGTCCCTGTTTGGGCTCAGGACGCCTTGTTCAACTGGCACTGCCAGTCTGTCTGGTCCCTCTCACTGGAAGGGGACTTAGAAACTTTCAAGGAAGGATTTTCCGGTGATCAGGACCTATAAAGGACCCAGTCCAGACTGGCAACACCCTGCCTGGATGATACTACTGGCCCTGTCTAGTCACAGGTACCAGATGGGGTCTCAGAAAATTCTGGAAAGCATTCCAAAGCAGGGGACCCCTGAGGAATAGGGACTGGATGAGAGGATATGTTTGCTCAGGTCTGAGGGTGGTATTGCAGCTAGAGACTGTATTTCCGAGCTCTCCTTGAATCTAAGTAGAGTTATAAGACTAGTTCTCACAATGGAATGTGAGTGGAATTAATGTGTAGTCCTTCCAGGCCAAACTAATAAAAAAAACAGAAATGATTTGTCCACCTTTCATTTCCATTTCTGCCAGCTGGTAGCAGAGTTCTCTGAGGCCCTAGTTGTGGCACTTCCACAAGATGGAAGGACCCAATGTCCCTAGATCATACGTGGAGGAAAGGCTGCCAACCAGCAATTTCCATAATGCATTGCCACCTGAATGAGAAATAAACTTCTATTGTGTTAAGCTACTGACATTTGGGAGGTTTATTTGTTAGAGAACCAAGTGTTATTCAAAATGTAAAGTTCAAGTTTACACGGGGCTTACATTAAGAGTGGGCATGATACAGTCTTAAAGCTCTCCAAATGTGTCTTCTAGCCTTCTGATTACCAGCAACCTCATTAAATCTGACATAGCTTGGGATTCAATGGGACTGTAGCAGGTGAAGATACAAAATGCCTAGAGGTCACAGCTCAGGGGACAAGGATTAGCAAAAGGGATGGGTCTGTCTTTTTTGTGTTTTGCATTTCTAGCTGCACTCTGCAAAACTGACACTTGCAGGTTCAGACAACTGTGTCTGAGCTTTCCACAAAAATTCTCCAATGTCCAGGAGCCCTTGTAGACGTAAGGGATCTAGGACAATGGTGGTTAACCCTGGAGCTAAAAAACTATAGAAAGGGGCTGTGTGCTGGGGCTCATGCCTGTAATTCCAGCACTTTGGGAGGCCCAGGTGGGTGGATCACTGGAGGTTGGGAGTTCGAGACCAGCCTGACCCATATGGAGAAATCCTGTCTCTACTAAAAATACAAAATTAGCCGGGCATGGTGGCGCACGCCTGTGATCCCACCTACTCAGGAAGCTGAGGCAGGAGAATCGCTTGAACCCAGGAGGCGGAGGTTGCGGTGAGCCGAGATCGTGCCATTGCACTCTAGCCTGGGCAACAAGAGCGAAACTCCATCTCAAAAAAAAAAAAAAAAAAGTATAGAAAGGTAATGAGGTTGATTTGTGCTCCCTGAATTTATTAGGCAGAGCTTTGATTGACTACATGATTTCATGGCCCTTCATAGTCTTCATTTTACTTTGAAATATAGCATATAGAACACTAATAATTGATGATATTGATTTAATGGGGGATTTTCATGAGGAATAGATTTTTATGAGATGCAACAGTACTTATTTGAAACATATTGACATTTTTAGTGCATGCTGAACAGCTTCCAGATTTATAGACTACAGCCTTATAATAGAAAAAACAACAATGAAGATCATTAGGAATCCTAAATTAAATTGGAAGTCTTTAAGAACTATAAAGTTTTAGTCAGA